>NC_000008.11:2478280-2780565 GCF_000001405.40 Homo sapiens | reverse complement strand
TTACTATGTAAACTATAATATTTGCCAGAAATAAAAATATGGACTCACAAATGCCTATATATCTATATTTTATTTTTACTGCCTATTTCACTGAAGTAAAACGTGAAGTACAATATTGAATAAAGATAGTAAAAGTGTGTATCCTTTTCCAGTTCTTAATATTGAAAGAAATGATTCTCATATTAAAACATTAAGCATAATGTTTGATGTCATTCTTAGTAGATCATTTTTATTAGTGAAAGATATTATCTTCTTGGCTTATTTGATTCCATATTTAGAAATAAATGAGTGTTGCATCTCATGGAACTTTTGTGTATGTAATAAAACAATTATAATGTTTCTGTTCATTGATATATTAATATGGTAAATATTATTAATATATTTTATTTTTAAATAACATTCCTGGGATAAACTCAACTGATCCATGCTATATGAAAATAATACACAAAATATCTAGCATAGTTTAAGTATTATTTTTATAGGTATCGTTGGATGTGGTTTGTAATTTCATTTTAATATTGTGTATGTACATTCATTATTTAAGGTAGTGTCAAATTTTTATCATGTTTTGAATTGAAATATGAAGTCAACTGAGTGGTATTTACTCTTCTTATTTTTTTTCTGGAAGAGTTTACACTCCATTAGAATAATATGATACTTGAATAGTTTCACCTCAAAACTTCAGGATGTAGAAATGTTTTTGTTGTTATTTTGTTTTGTTTTATTTGGGGAAGATTGTGTTTTATTTAACACTGCAGAACTATACATTCAATTCTAATACTATATGTTTGTGCATTTTATCTTTTATTTCTTAGTGAGCCCCATGAGAGATTCATATATTTTGTGAGTCGTTCAAAGAAACAACTGACTTGCCATTTAAACGCTTTCTATTTACTCTTCATTAATTTTTCATTAATTTCTTCTCCCAGCAGTATTTTTTCTTTTACTTTCCTGAGTTTTATTTTCTGTTCTGAAATAACCTTCAAAGTAAAAAACTTCTAAAGTTTCAGCTTTTCTTTTATGCTGACCTTGAATTTAAGGTTCTGAATTTGCCATTGAATATCATTTCAGTTGCCTCCCATCTATTTTGAAAATCAATATTTTCCTTTTCATTTAGTCATAAGTACATTATAATTTAATTCATGAGCATTCATTTTCAATGAGCTTCTTTATAAAGGATATTTTAAATTTTTCATTCGTATGTTTTCTCTTAAATTTGTTTCTGACTGAAAGGTGATTAGAAAATGATCTGCATGGTGATTACTTGGAGACTCTTTTCTTAAGACATCAATATTAAGTGCTCCATTTGTATATGAGAATAATGTTCAGTCTCTAATTATTGGTAGAGGGATTCTAATACTTTTCACTAGTTCAAGCTTGATAATTGTATTTTAAATATATCTTCTACACTGTAACTGAATGCACCCTCTCTTTGGTCTATCAGTTAATGAGAGAAGCATGTGTGTGTCAGACTCCTCTAGATACCAGATTTTTTTTAAATAATTACATGTATAAACACCAGGTTTACTACCATGAATAAATACTTCTAAGTACCGCACATGAGAATTCTCTGTCTCATCTTTCACATTGTCTGCTGCTATATGTCTTTGTGAATCTTTAGCTGGGGCATTAAGTCGTTTGCTGTCTTTGGGCCAAACAAGTTTCCAAATTTTAATTTTGTAAGAATAGGTTTTTATTCTAGATTCAGATTATATCTATGTGTTCTCTTATTTTCAATTATTTGAGAAATACCTTTAAATACTGACATTTAGGTATTAAAAACATTGTGCTATACTGTGTAGAAAAAAATATATGGTTTACCACCGACACCTATGAAAAACTGCACCAAGCCTTAAAACCATATTAAAATCCTCATCTTGGCTGAAATTTAATAGTCATATAGTAATATGTTTAATCTTCGTGATATATTAGTAGGAAAAATTTTTGTGAGTACCAAATAACACTAAGTGAGGTATATTAAAATATATCAGGTTAGGTAAAGTTTTCGTCATTGTATTTCATAAATTACATCATTTACTATTTCTGGTGTGGCTTTTAGACTTATTTCAAGGAATAGAGAATGTTTATTTTCAGTTTTTATGTTGTTGTGTGTGTTAATATCAACAAATAATGCATTTGAGAATTTTTAAAATATTTTCCTGAGTAGTGTCCATTTTCCCACACTTTTTATTGACGGTGAACTCTAACCATATATTATGTTTCTCTACATATAATTTAATGTACAATTACGATTGTTTTTGGTATAAAAGCACTAAAAGTCTCTAATGCATTACATTATGTAGTTTAGATCTGTTCAAAAGATTAATATTTCATATGAGAAAGGGCAGTGACTCACCTCTGTTCTTCACATACTTGTGGGATATGCTGATAAATGCACACCCTCATTAGATATTCTAATCAAGTTTTGCATGTAGCGGCAACTTTCAAAGAAATAGCACTACAGGAGAACTAATGCAAACCTTACAGAATGTGAGTTAACCCTCCGCTAATCAGCCTGTAGGCATTTCAGGCCTTCTATTTATTTACCTGCATGTCTATTAATTTGCCTCTTTATCTATCTATCATCTGTCTTTTTGTGTTTTATATATGGAAAGGAAGAGAGACAAAAAGATAATATATTTCTTGAACTTAAAGAATCAATTCACTTCTCTATGTCTTGCACAGTTACACTTAGAAAAGTAAGACCTGTGCATAGTAAACACATAAAAATATTTATTGAATGAATGCCTCAAACTCCATTGAAAGCTGGAATAAAAGATTAACTAAAGTGTATTTTCTGAATATATCATACATTTCTCTCTGGAACTTGCTTTTATTAAAATAATTAAATTACCATAACAATTGACACTGATTGCACTGTGTGTCTGCAATGGAGAAATTGAAAATTTCTTTGCCTTCAGTGAAGGTGTGACGTTATCTTTGTAATAGCAAACTGAGATGAGCAAAGGTGGTGTTTGCCAGATGAGTGGTCTAGATTTTACAATGCAGGGCAGGAAAACTCGATGTCCACAGTGCAATCTGATGGGTGGTTTAGATTTTACAGTGCAGGGCAGGAAAGCTCGATGTCCACAGTGCAATATGATGGATGGTTTAGATTTTACAGTGCAGGATGGGTGGTTTAGATTTTACAGTGCCGGATGGGTGGTTTAGATTTTACAGTGGGGGGCAGGAAAGCTCGATGTCAACAGTGCAATCTGATGGGTGGTTTAGATTTTACAATGCAGGGCAGGAAAGCTCGATGTCCACAGTGCAATCTGATGAGTGGTTTATGTTTTACAGTGCAGGGCAGGAAAGCTTGATGTCTGCAGTGCAATCTGATGGATGGTTTAGATTTTACAGTGCAGGATGGGTGGTTTAGATTTTATAGTGCGGGGCAGGAAAGCTCGATGTCCACAGTGCAATCTGAGAATGCTTCATGCAGGCTTAAGACTTAGGCTGCTTCCTTACATCTTATTTAGCTTTTATGAGTTTTTTTCCAGGACTATGAGTTCTACAGAGTTTGTGATTTTACTTATCAGCCAGATATCAGGCAAGGTCTCCACACTCACCCACTGGAATTTGGGTATGATTGACATCAGTGGTTATATAAAATTGGAGAAAGTTCAAGATCTTCATTGAGAGTTGTGCATAGTCTCGTGATGAACTGTAATCAAATGGACACTTCTGATATCCAACTTATTTCTCTTGTGAATTATTATTTTATCTATTATCATTCCTTTGCTTTTAAATCTAATATAGAAGATAAAATTTAATTATGAAAAACACATAACTATTCCAAAAGGAGGTAGAAGAAAAGAAAAATAGATATAGGAAGAATTGAAAGCAATGTGTAAGATGGAAGATTTACATCAAGAAATATCAATAATTTCATTAATTTTAAAAGGTGAAAATATATCAATCCAAAGAAAAAGAACTTGTCTGTTTGAATAAAATATAACATCCAGTTATATACGGTCTCTATAAAAATCATATTACATTAAATATGTAGACATAGGTGAAATAAACACATGGAAAATGTTGCCTGGAAACACTAATTGAAAGAAATCTGGAGTAGCTATATTAATATGAGAAAAAGTAAATCAAATATATAATTACCAGTGGTAAAAAAGGATATTACATAAGGATAACAATGAAAGTTTACCAAGAAAATATAATAATTCTAAATTCAAATGCAGTAAACTATACAGCTGTAAAATAATTGGAGCAACAGCTAATATAACTAAATGTATGAAGATAAAAAATATAATTGTAATTGGAAATTGCAGCGAACATTCTCAGTAACTGATAAACAAATAGACCAATAATTGGTCTGAACAATTTTATTAGCCAACTTCATCTAAATGATACTTTCAGGACATTCACTGAACAAGAGCAGAATACACTTTTTTTTTTCCAATGTACTTTGAACTTGTACCAAGAGAGGAAAGAGAATATCATGCAATGTATGGTTCTGTCCAAAAAGAATAAAATTAGCAATCAGTTACAGGAAAATATCTGAAAAATCACCAAAACTTACAAATTAAACAGCATAAGATATGTTAAAAATATTTTAAATTGAATAAAAATTAAATACTAAATTTCAAAATTTGTAATATACAGCCGATGCCGGGCTTCTTAGAACATTTACAACATTAAATGCTTATATTTAAAAGAAGAGAGCCCTTGAGTAAATCATCTAAGCTTTAACATTGTTCACCTATGTATACGAAGCCCAGAAGAATAGAAATCAATAAAATAGAAATGAGAAAAGCAATAGAGAAATCAATGAAAACAAAAGTTAAGCAGTCTAATGGTTGGTGGGTGGGTGGTAGATGCAAATGACCGAGATAAACATCAAAGAGCCATCACCACCATCAACACAGACATTTAAAATAAGAGAATAGTATAAACACCCTGAAAAATTTTGTAAAGATACAAATTTCCAAAGCATATTCAAGAAGAAATACATAAGCCCAATTGTCCTATATTTATGAAGTAAATGCAGCTTTAGTTAAAAACCCTCCTTCACAAAAAACTCCAGTCCCAGACGGCTCCACGGGTGATTCCTTCAACAACCTAAGGAGAAAATTATTCTAATTCTGGAAACAGTCTTCCAGAAAACAGAAGAGGGACCATTTCCCAACTAATATTGTGAGACAAACATTACCCTGATATCAAAATCAGAAGAAAAGAAAAGAAAACTTCAGACTAAGTTCGCTTGTGAACGTATATGTAACAGTGTACTTAACACGATATTAGCAAATCAAATCCTGTGATAGATGAAATAGATATTCTATCATAAACAATTAGGAGTTTATCCCAGTTTGAGACAAGATTTATTTCAACATTCAAAAAGCAATTAATATTATTCACCATATTAACAAACTCAATATAATTATTGGGAGTGTGTACATATATATACACCCAGTCATATAAAAATATGTGGAAACTAGCTCAGTATGACAAAGTGAATCTACACAAAACCTATAGCAAATATCAGACCCAAGGAAGGACTGAGAGCTTTCAATCTGAGACTGGGAATCTCATGAAGGTCTGTTCTCACTACTTCTACTCAGTATTGTACTACATGTTCCTTCCAGTAAAATAAGAAAAATATAGATCAAAATTGTTTGAATTAGAAAGGAATACATCAAACAGAGTTTATTTAGAAATGGCATATTTTTCTTAATAAAGAAAATCCAAATGAATCTACAAAAGAAACTGCTTAAATTAACAAATGACTTTGGAAAAATTGCAGGATTAAAAATCCTACCACCATTCTATCTATACACTAGCAACACATATTTTGATATTGTAATTTAAAAAAAGTCACTCACAATATCATCAACAAACGTTAATTACTTAGAGAAATGTTTAAATAAATATGCACAAAGTCCATAGGCTAAAAATTACAAAACATTGATGAGAGGCATTAAATAGACATAAATAAATGAGAAATATACTTTGTTCATTGGATCTGAAGGCTCTCTACTTTTAATATGCCAGTTATCTTTAAGTTGATATATACTTCCTAGCATCTTAATAAAAAATTCAGTATGCATTTTGAGCAATTGACAAGCCAATTGTAAAATTTAAATGGAAAACTAAATCTTTTAAAATAGCCATAATAGCCTGATTTAAGATGTAATATAACGATGACACTACACTAACCAAGACAATGTGGTATCTGAGTTTGGACAGACGTAAATGGAACAGAATAGAAATTTCAAAAGAAAACTACTGCAGCTTTCAAAATATTTGTCAATGTTGCCAAGTGAATTTAATGGAGAAAGCATCGTCTTTGTAATAAATGACGCTGGCACACAGAAATACACAAAAGTGAAATGGAAAACTCTACTTCACACCTTATACAAAATTAACTCGAGCCAAATCATCTCATGGAATGTAAAGATCAAAAGCTTTTAAATTCTTTCAGACTGTACAGAAGAATATCTTTGTAATCTTGGATTAGGTAAATACTTTTTATAGGGGACACAAAAAATACAACTCATAAAAAAAAGTGACATAAACAAAAGTACCCATTTTTTGTTCTTAGACACCGTTATAGAAATAAAAAAAGGACTAGATTTTGATAAGCCATTTTTAAAACTCATCATCTAATAAAGTACTTACAAAATAATACTAATTCAGTAACAGAAAGGCAACAGGCCAACCCCCCAACACCAACAAATAGAGGGGAGGAGTTAAAAATTTGAAGAGAAATTTCACCAAAACAGAGTAGTAGGTGGCAAAAAAAATATATGAAAATATGCCCTACATCTTTATTTTATAGGGAAATGCAAATAAAACTGCAAATAAATTACCATTCCATGCAAGGAATGAAACAAAATATAACAAAACAAACATTAGCAACATCAAATGCTGGTATAGATGTTAAGCAACTGGAACTCTCATTTCTTACTGGTGAAGTATAGTGAAAGTGGCTTGAACACTTTGCAAACAGTTTGGCAGTTTTTAAAATAAAATTAGCAATCCTTTTCCCAGATATTTACCCACAGGCAATAAAAGCATTTTCCACAGAGACTTATAGGTCAATGTTTATACAATTTTATTAATAGTCAAATGTTGAGGGGGAAATCTGAAGTTCAAACTGTTAAATGGTTTTGTAAATTGTGGTACACCTATACAAGAGAAATTACTCGGCAATATGCAGAAATAGCCACTGAAATCGATTAATCTCAAAAGTATTAAGCTAAGTGGAGGAAGGAGACATTGAAAAGAGCGGACACATGCCACCTGGATCCTTTTGTGACATTCTCATAAAGCAAAAGTCTAGGGACAGTGATCATATCTGTGGTGTCCAGGACCTGGGGCTGCAGGGAGAATTAACTAGGGGGAATGAGAACTTTCTGGGGTGATGCAAATGTCGTGCATCTTAATTAAAATTGGCACTGATGCCTCTGACACATGTATGAAAACTTCTATAAATTTGCACCTACCAAAAGCATGTAAATAACATGTCAAAGAACCCAGCTTTGGAATAAGGGATATAAGGATATAGATGCCGAAATGTAAAATCATGCCTTGCCTTCCCAACCTTGAATAATTATTTATCTATAAGAAAAGTAAATGCGATATAATTTCTAAATTCTTCAGAGGATTATGAAATTATTTTTTATTCACTGCTGCAATGAATTATTTGGAATTTGATGAGCCACAATATTATTAAGTAAATTCTAGAAATTAATGTTGCACTGAGTATAGGTTCAAAATAATCTTTATTCTCACACATAAAGCCCTGATATACAGATCCACATATACATATTTTTTGCTATATACCTGCCAGAATTCTTATCTATAGTCTACATTGGCGTACTCATTATTACTGAACAATTTCTTTTTTTTTGAGACAGAGTCTTGCTATGTTGCCCAGGCTGGCGTGCAGTGGCGTGACCTCAGCTCACTGCAACCTCCACCTCCTGGGTTCAAGCAATTCTCCTGCCTCAGCCTCCCAAGTAGCTGGGATTACAGGCATGTGCCACCGCCCTAATTTTTGTATTTTTAGTAGAGATGGGGTTTCATCATGTCGGCCAGGCTGTTCTCGAACTCCTGACCTCAAGTGATCCGCCTGTCTTGGCCTCCCAAAGTGCGGGGATTTTTACAGCGCCTGGCCTGAACAGTGTTTTTATTTTCATGTTCTTCTTGTTCCACAACCTTGGAACTCAATCTTTAGAAATAAAAATAAAAACACAAACAGTTAAGATACATGCATAATTGGGCCTTTTTGTGTTTGTTGTACAGGGAGGTGAAATATGAGAAGCAAAGATAAATTAAACAAAGATGTCCTTAAGAAAGTTATCTAATCTAATTGGCAAATTCGGAAACCCAGGCACAAGTACAAGTTTCAAGAGCATATGAGCACAGTGCCATTCAAATGAAAGGAAAGAACAATTTTTTTTAAACCTGGCTGGCCAAAGGTGCGGACATTGTGAAAGGGAAGTGGTATGATTAGTTTGATGGGGAATGTGGGAAACAGGGACAAATAAGATTAGCAACTTGCTCATATGAAAGTAAAAGCATGATCAGTGACAGAGATGAAAATCAGAATGCAAATGGCACTTTAATAAATTCTGTTATATTTTTATTTTCTGTTCAGATGCAGAGAAAGAAATGTGAAAAAATAAGGAACATGAGATGTTCCCTTTTCTGGGAAGATTGAGGGGCAGTCACAGATAAAGCTATTCGCTTTATTGTACATTAAACTTCTAATTAAGGTCTTGGTGCCCAGAAGGGACAGACAGAAATGTGAGGCCTTCCAGCAGAGAAACAGCAATCCCAGGTGTATCAGTGTATTAAGCCCTTTAAGCTTCTCAGAGTCAAACAGCGTGAGCTGGTGTCTCCAAGGCTGCTTTGCAAGTCTCAGTATAAGCTGCTGGAATCACAGAGGGCGGTATTGCCCAGAGGCTTCTGAATTTGGAAAAAGAAGGACAGAAAAAATTTCCTAAAATATTTGCAGATATCATAGAGTTTGGGAGAGAATAATGCTACTTGTTTTGAACAGCAAATTATATATTTAAAGATAAAGTCACATTTTTGTACATTTTGTGTTTAACAAGAGTGAATTGTCATATGCTTTTTTGATTGGATCAGAGAAATCTTTTTTAAGTTTCTCGGTGTGCAGGTGAGAATTACAGAGGTTAATTGTTTTGCCTAAAGACATAAAAGTTTAATGGTGGAACTGGGAAGTATCTAATTGGGATATTTCCCAATTCTCAGTAAAATCTTCCCTGTACACCACAGCTGGATGTCGTGATGTTTAAGAACACAAAGGAAAGAGTGTTTGAGTAATTCACATCTCAGTCGAAGTCCTCTGAAGGCTTATCAGCAGGCGCTGCTCTGCAAGGGGACGGGAAACAGAGTCACCCCCTGGGGAGCATCGAGGAAAGCACAGTCACGTTACAGAAGCACAGGAAAAGTCAGCCCAAACACACCGTGTATCGTGACAGATGGCACCGTTAAGAGAGGAAGGAGCGTCCTTCCCGGGCTGGTCCCACTTCATCCACACGAACAGACATCCTCCTTACCCATTGGCAGAAGTGTATTTTCCTTTCCAGAGCTTTTCCACATCAGAAAGGAAAATATCCTTTGGAAATATGTCAGGATTACTATAATCTCTGCCTACAAGTGTCCTTGAAAAGTATTTCTCTGACTCTTGTTATGGACCGATTACCCAGAACACTGGTTTGAATGCGTGCATCCCTCCAAAGTTTACATGTTGGGACTTCAACCCCACGGGGATAGTGATAATAGATGCGGCTTTTTGGGAAGTGAGTAAATTCTGAGGGCTTCACCTTCCTGAATGGGATCAGTGCCCCATAAAAGAGGTTTCAGAAAGCTGCCTGGCCTCTTTGTTCCTAAGCCATGTGAGGACACCGAGATCCATGAGGAAGGGCCCCTCCCCAGACAATGAACCTGACAATGTCTTTATGTTGGAGTTCCAGCCCCAGGGCTGTGAGAAATACTTTTCTGGTTGTGTATACGTTACCCAGGCTCAGGTGTTCTGTTTTAGCAACACAAAATGGACTCAGGCAATCTCCTTGAGGGAGCTGCAGCACTCCTTTTGCTGTTTGAGGTAAGAATCTTTTTTCCGAGTGCTGGATATCCATCCCCAGCAGCTCCATCTGCACGTCCATGTGACTCTCCATCCCAGAAGATGGTCTATGTGTCTTCAAAGTTTGCCTAACCTCGCATTCTTTTCAGCCTCTGTGGAGCTCCTACAGACATCGGAGGCAGGGCTCCCTTCCAAGGACTGGCTTTTACCATTAAACAAAGGTCAAGAACGTTTAGGGCAAAAATAATAAAAACATGTAACTGAGTAATTGGTCCATAAACAAGAGTAGGAAATATCTATCTCAAGGACATTGGTAAGCCACCATTTTTTATGAAATGGGTATCTTTTAATGGCCCTGGAAAGAAGAGATCCCATTACCTGGAAACAGATCAGCTATTCCCAGTAAGCTCCTGCTGTTTTATGGGGCACTTTAAGTGACAGTGTGCAAACACAAGGGTGACACAGCCTGGCTCAGTGTACACTGGAGAATAGAACGGTCGCAGTGTTGAAAATCAGAGAACTGTGCCCACGTCAGCCCCTTTGAAAAAGTCAGTCAAAGAAACTCAACTTTGACCAAATAGGGGGAAATGCTCTCACATTAAAGGTGTCCTCATTTTTTTCCCCCTCCAGCCATATAATTACTCATTAGTGCTTTCCTCAAATCACAGCTTGCAAAAGAACTGGCTGAGCAGACCCAGAGGAAAATTGTAGCAGAATAGCAAATTGGGCAGGCAAATTCATTTCTTCTGCCATTTGATGGCATTTACAAGGAGAGTGCGGCAGAAGGCCAGCTTGCCTTCCCAGCCTCAGGTCAGAAGGCTCATCTGTGTGCTGGTACATTGGGCTCAGGTCAGGAGCTGCCTGGCAGGCTGTGTGTAATTAGTCAGAGCCATTTAAGAACGGAGCTACTGCAGTTTTCTCCATTCCAACTGTCTGAAGAGCATTTCTCCATTTTATTTCCAAGCTAACATTAGGCTTAGTGACAGCGAAGACAGAAAAAGACTCAATAAAAACAACAAGTCTGCCGATTCACGCAGGGAAAAGAGTGCATGGTCAGCAAGGGAGGCTCCTACTTTCTAAAAGGACTGTCAGCAGCCACAGCCCCCACAGCAGATGCTGCATGAACCTAACAGGCATCCAATTCTATTTTCTTTTGTTTTTAAGAATCTAGGACAAGCTCCGAGCTCTTCTCCCTGATTACAGAAGGCTTCTACCTTGTCATTTTCTGACCCACATTTTTTCTCTCTGCATCTTGATCCCCTGAATTTACTCTGTTTTGATCTTTCTTACCAATTAGTTAGAAAGTTAAGTGTTTAAACAAAGTCACATTTTCTATATAGGAAAATAGGATAAATGCTCACACATTAATCCATTTGATGAATATTTTACTAAGGAAAAAATGTCAATATTCAATAGTAACATGTTCCCCTCCGTAAGAAATATTATTATCATATTCTAGAACAACGGGCACCACACACTTCCTTAACCACTCAGCCAACTGGTATTGAGGTAGAAGTAAGGTTAGTCATTGCAAGTTAAGAAAATTTTAAAAATAGATGTGAGAGTCGTCTCTGAAAACGATGCCGGGTGATGGTGATGCTACAGTGAATATGATGTCTCTCATTTCATCACTAGTATCAGAGAAGAGACAATGCAGACAATTCTCAGGTAAAGATCACACAGTATCCTGGAGAACTGAGAACATAATCATCCTAATATGGCACCAGTCTCTTAGGTACATTTTCCTGAGTCTACAAAAGTGTGGATCAAACTGTCTCAATGCAGAAGTCTTAAACAGAGGTAAGGAAGTTATCTCACTGACACATTTCAGGAGCAAGAGTGCTGCATTTCAATATCGTATTTTATATCATCGAATTTTACCAAATGAGATTAATCCATTTGCATTTTCTTCTGCATGATGATAACAGGATGTATTTTCTGTGTCCCAGGAAATCCAAGTAGAGGCTTCAGAGCTGGAGTGTCTGGATTTGAACCCTGACTCTACTCTTAGACTGTTGACATGTTCCCTAATCTCTTTGAATTTCAGTAAAATACAGATGATACTTCTTGAGACCATTTTTTAAAAATGAATGAGTTATCCCAGGAAAAGAACTTACGCTTACAATTTCTGTGGATCAACTAATGCTCCATGGACCATGCACTTAGACTGCCATATACATTTTAGGGTTTGGGGAGTGATTTCCCACCCAACGAAAACTTAAAAGCTATTCCTTAAACACAAGAAAATATAACAAATACTTCTTCTATTGAAATAAGCTAATTATTTTCCAATGGAATAATGTTGACATTTTTTAAGTGGAAAACCATGGTTATAAATTTTAAAGAAAGTTGAAGAGCAAGAACATACATTAGCATCACACATAAATCACACCGAGGTCATTAACAGTGTCATTATAAATTAATCTTAACAACACACCTTGCCTTCACAAGTTCCTATAAGCGATTTTAAGTTCCACCCATTTATGACTTCAAAATAAATATCTGACTTTAAATAACATAACCCAGAAAACCGACAACTTAAAGTATTTATTTTTAAAGTGCAAGACGAAAACCTGTTATGTAACGATTGCAGAAGGAGTAAGAAAGGGTTGATATCTTTTTGCTTTAAAAGGATTAAAGGCAGTGCACAAACATTGGTGCCTGCAACCTTCCTGCAGGTGAGTGTCACCCCTGGAGCTCAACTAATCCGTGAGTCCAGTGCCTTCCTGCGGGTAAGGGCTGAGATGGTTGCAGCTACGCAGCACAGTTTAGGGTTCTGGAAACGTGAAAGGGGCAAGGACAAGCCTCCCGCCCAGAGGATATTATGGTCCTGAAAATGTGTCACTCTTTGCGATTTTCTTAGTTATAGGCAGCAACCTCCCTGCGGCCTGAAGAGATTATTGAGAAACTATTTCAAGGATCTCAGTGTTTACCTGAAGGGAACCTTGTCATCCAATGCCTCTGCCGAGGAGAGGGACTTGGAGTCATGTTTTTCCAGAAGGACGGAGGCAGGGTATTGTTGAATGAAAGGCTGCTCACCTGCAGTCCCCGGCCCAGGTTCTGACTTGGCTCTTGCAATCTTAGAAATGCCATCTAA
Organism: Homo sapiens; assembly: GCF_000001405.40. Taxonomy (NCBI): domain Eukaryota; kingdom Metazoa; phylum Chordata; class Mammalia; order Primates; family Hominidae; genus Homo; species Homo sapiens. Next base: position 2,767,396 of record NC_000008.11, on the reverse strand, counting down.
ATTCTCTGGGTTTTGGTTTCATTATAAATGCAATAAATTGATGTCTAAAGTTTCTTTTAGCTATAGAATTCAATGCTATGATTTTTTATTAATTTATTGAGTTAGGCAGTAAATTACATAAGTGCCTTAATATTGAATGTACATATCACTGAATTATTTTCTGTGTATAAGCACCATTTAGGTCAAAATGTAGCACATTTCAGGAAGTGATTCTCATATTCCTTCTCAGGGCAACCTGTCAGTGCTACCCACAGGCAACAAAAACATCCACTTGTAATCCAGGGTTACTGTCCTGTGATTCTGTGACTATCATATGAAATACAGTGCCAAAGTTAGTTTGTAATTTTACGAGAGTTAACAGCAAACACCACCTAGTAAAATATGTTGCCCATACAATGTATTATCTATATAAATACATTATCAAGACTATTACAAAATAATAACTTTACCTTAAATGTTAGATATTAATAAGATTATTCACTGCAATGCTGTACATTTCTATTTTTGGTGACTGTAGATGATAAAATACTGAGACACTGACTATGATTTCTTTAGCTGTGGTCAAAATTAAGAAATTAATTTTGCAATGCCTTCTAGACAAATTAGACACTTCCTTTTTACAAATAATTAACATCTATATTACAAGGGCATAATTATTTATTTCACATTTCAGCTGTTTAATAATGTTCTCACACTTTAGTTCCAATTCCCCTCCATTTCACAATCACACTAAGCTATTCATGTTTCCATGTTTTACAATTAGATCTCTGAATATCAAGCTTGTTTATTTTGAAGCATGGCCTGTGTACATATGCCAAATGGGCTTTTAAAATGAGACGGGGTCTTGGGGCATTCTCGGCTGGCATTTCCTGTTAGACCCTATGGACCATCCCATCTCCTGACATTTCCCCTTTTCATCACCCGGTGGCAACTCCCCTTTCGGTATTCGTTGCCTGTGCTGTACTCATGAGGGCCTGAAGATGGGGAAGGATGGGGAGCTGGTGCGAATCAGCTGGGAAGAATAATAAAGCATTTCAAATAAATGATGGCAAAGCTGTGTCATCACGATACGACCACCGGCAAGTCACCATGCTGCGCCATCGCTGCACCACCACCTGCAATCACACTCCTGAGGACAAATACAAATGCTGTATCTGTCTGAAAATTCAGATCAAGGAATTAGTGGTTCTTCCATTTTTTGGAAGGATTAGTGTGTGTGCGTGTGCATGCATGTGTGTGTGTGCAATAGGTAGTGCCCTGGTGATATTTCAACCAACTATTCCAGATCTTGTTTTAACTTGCATTCTATCCATTTTGTTTCTCAGTTTGTTTCCCTTTTGGGGTTCTACACTGCACCCCATGGTAGGGCAGATCTGCCTTGTTCCTACTTTGGGGCATTCCCTAGACTATGTGCAGCATTCAGTTCACTTTCAACCTGCTGGACATTAGAGACATTGACCAAGGCAGCTGCCTGCCTGGGAGCCACACGCATGACCCTGTGTGTTATGTCGGTCAGGCCACAGAAGGAGCATGGGGATCTGAAAGGTGAAGATATGAGGAGACCAGGTATCCCCTTCTAACATGAAGAGGATCGGTTTCCAATCACTCCTGGCTGCAATAGCCAAGTTGGAAATTTTTGATTTGCATAAAGTCCTCGTCCTTTTTATCCTGTTTAAACAGAGAAGTCATTTAAATCGCCTAAGCACACTTGAAGTAAGATCTGAAGGATTTAAACAATGCCACTCACTAAAGTAATGTGAGAGCTGGAGATATTTCTCAACTTTTTTTATCTCTAGATTTTCTTTTTAATCTCCAATTTGGAGATATTTACTGACATTTCTTACTGAATGTAAAAAAGAGAATTCAATAAAAGGAGAAGTACTTGGCGTAAAGTTAATAAAGCTCATGTGAAAGTCAGAAAATCTGGAAAGCCAGGCTGTGACTGTGTGGACACAGGTCTCATGGCCACGGCCTTGCCATCTCTGTGAGCAGAGCGGCAGGTCCAAGTCTGCTCAAGGGAGGGACAAGCTGAGAGCCGCAGCTCAGCTCTCGGACTTCTTCTCTCTAACACAGCATGTCTTTGGCCAGAAAGCCAGAGTGTTACCGGGTATCCTAGATATGGCCTGTCTCCGCTTCCTGAACGTGTGAAGCTTTTTAGGGCAGAGTTATTTTCCCTGAATCGGCTTCTTCTCCAAAGAAGCAGAACCGTACTGCATTTAAGATGTGTTCACACACACACATATGCACACAGAGAGATTAATTATGGAAATTAATTTCCACAATCAGGAAGGCTGAGCCATCCCACCATGTGCCCACCGCAAATTGGAGACCTAGCAAGGCCCATGGTGTAATTCACACCAAGTCTGAATGCCTGGGAATGGGGAGGAGGGGCTGGGGTCCTCATGGAAGTCCAGGAGCCTAGAGGCCTGAAAACCAGGAGCACCCACAGCCAAGAGCAGGAGGGGATCGAGGTCCCAGCTGAGGCAAAGAGCAAGTCCACCTTCTTTTGCCTCCATGTTCTATCTGGGACCTCCATGAATGGGTGATGCCCCCTCACACTGGAGAGGGTGGATCTGCTTTACTCAATGGATTCAAATGCTGATCTCTTCCAGAATGCCCTCACAGACACACCCAAAAATAAGGTGTTGCCTGCTATCTGGACATCCCTCAGCCCCATCCAGTTAACACCTAAATCGACCATTGCAGCAGGCCCCAGACCGGCTATTTGTGGCCTATGTCTTGCCTCTAAAGAATAATGTCAGCAAGAGGACTGGGTAGACCCTACTCGTTTTTACTGAGGACTTTTTCCTTCCACCTTGCTGCCACAGAGTCTCTAACAATGAGTTTTTCTTGGCTTCTGTATTTAGTTCTAGGGTTGTACCGTAATTGACTTAAACAATCTCCAGTGGGCGAAACCAAAACCATTTATAATTCGAAAGCCTGTTACCTAGATTTAGCATGACTTTACTATTTAGCTATCTTCTTCACCACGACATTACCGTCCAGGAAATTCTTGCCTGGGTTGTGTATTACTCATGTTTTTGTAAAAATTGTATTTTATGATGCCTTGACATCTTCTTAGAGTCAGCTAATTCCTAGAGACAACACACAACCAGCAGGTGAGCTCACCTTTTGTATCCAAAGTCCATCCTCTCAGCCATCTTCTTCTAACTCTTTTACACCACGCAAGTATTTCCCCTGTCCAAAATCACCCCGAGGGGCAGGTACAGAATAACTGCAGATGATCCCTATGGCCCAGAGCTGCTGAACTTACTGAAACAATCCAATCCTACTCTTGGTGCATACATTGACCTTGCCTTACCCATTCCTTCCCCACTGTGGTGAGGTCTCCAGCCCATGTTCTCCTCACTCTGCCACTGAACCAACACCAGTGCTTTCCTGTGTGGCCCTGCATGGCATGGGATGGCCCCTCCTCTTGAGAACTATGAGTAATAAATACACTTTTCCTTCAACGTGGTTGTGTCTGTGACTATCATCTTACCATACCCAATTAAAACAAAACCCTATGTGTGATTAAAACAGGCTGATATGATGACAACTCTATTGTGTAGTTCAGGAGCTTTCCATAACGTCACATAAAGGGATACCAGCCTAAGCAACTTGCAGTAGATAGCATCAAATGACTGTTCACCATTCAAGCCTTGCTTTCAAACTTTCCTCTCTGGACTCTCGTGTGTGTGCACTAAACTCACTAAACTCACATCATGGAGCTTACCCAATCCTAATCAAGCCCGGCACTGAACTTTCCACAGTAAATCAGACTCCAGAAACCCTTGAAATATTACACCTTCGTTCCACCCTTTCTCAGACACTAACACTGTTGAGGAAGTGCTCTCCCTTCACTCAACTTTGCTTATCAGCATTCATTCTATTTTGATGGCATTTTCAGGGAATAAGCACTCAACTTGTATACTTTAGACCTTTGTAATAGATATTATTATAGATGATATCATGATGCACATCTTTATATATTCTTGTGTGTGGGGGTGTGTATATACACACAAATGTATATCTTACATAAATATGAATATAGTTAATGCTTATCATTTGTGATGTCAGATCTGTGAATTCATCAACTTGCTGAGCTTAATTTGCAAAATTAATACTCACAGTGCTTCTCTGGTCATTCGCATCCATGCACAGGTGGTGAAAAATGTCAGTTGCCCTAGAACACATTCCAAGCTGAGGCCTAAACTAGGACACTCTGCTTGCTTGCTTCAGTGCTCATGCTGAAAACAGGTATCCTTTCCACGGTATATTTAGTGACATGTTTTTGTTAATTTTTAGCCTTTTTTTTTTTTTAGTAATTTTCCAATTTTCCTTAGCAACTTTGCTGTTTAAAATGCCCCCCAAGCATATGCGGAAGTGCCCGCTGGAGTTCCTAGCCACAAGAGGGTGTGATGTGTCTTGCAATGAAAATGCATCTGTTAGGTACAATTTATTCTCTGCATGAGTTATATTGCTGTTGGTCATCAGTTCAATGTTAAATCAACAATATATAACAAATAAGATGTCTTTAAATGGAAACACACATATTGATCAGCTCATGAAAACATTGCAGTCAGAGGCTCATAGGAACCTCACCCTGCGCTCTGGCTGGGGGCAGCAGTTCAGTCTTCACTAATTCAGTGTCTGTGGTGACTTTGAGAACATAACCAGCAAGACTAATGAGAATCAGCAGTAGGAACACATGTACTGTTTCTATCATAAATTCTTAGAAGTGGATTTTCTAGGTCAAAGAGTATGCACCCCTTTAAAGTTTTTGAAATAGAGCAAAACTGTCCTCTAAAAGGGTTACAACAATTCATACACCCAAGAACAAGGCTGTGAGTTTCCGTTTCTCACCATATGCTTCCCAATATGACCACCCCTCTTCCATGTCTTGGTAATTTGCTGGGTAAAAATAACCTACTTCATTTAATATGCATTCTATGACTTTCAGAACAAATCTAGAAAACTGCAAATAGTACACTGAAATAATTTTATTGATCAAAAAGTGGTAACTAAGTAGAAACAGTGCTAAATTCTGCTTCCAATGACTACTTAATTCCTAACATGTAAAATGTGCATTGTACAGGAAAATGAGACTAACAAAGGGAACCATTTTAGTGTGACATTAAAAGCATGATTTATCTCTTAAATTTTATATCTGGAAATTATTTATAATTCCTGTCATTTTGACTCAATATGCTAATTGTAAAAATATAATTCATGCCACACAGTTGAAATTCAAGTCCAACATAGTTAATGTAATCAAAAACAACTATTTCAAAAAGTGGAGTCAGTTTAGTTGTGGCATTAAAACACCTGTCAGTGTTTTAACTATTGCTCTCAGGAAGGCTCCAAGGGTTTGTATGTTAATGATGGCTAATGGCTAATCCTTTGTGAAAGGCCATTCTTATATTTCCAAGGTTTTAGTTATAAATTAGCCAGAATATCTTGTAGATGACCTGTGGTGTTCTGTAGTAAATCTGTGACATTTCTTGTACAATAGTTCATGGGCTTCTTTAACAATACCTTTTCCTTTCCCCCATCTCAGTATCTTTCTGGAAACAAAGCCTTTAATGTATAATGTAATGCAAAATGAAAGACTTTTTTTGTAAGGGAAATGGGAATGTTGGTTCATAAACTCATATATGTCTCCTGCACAGGTTAAACAAAATGTTTATATAGGCACTAATTGGATCTATTCAAAACTGGAGGTGAAAACAAATATTTTAACAGGATGTATTTAATTCAGTTTCTCCTTTCTTCTAACCTCCTGGATGGAAAGGGTGAAACAGGGAAGACAGATGGAATTGTGTGAGTGCAGAACTGTTCAGCACACTCCTCAGCTGAAGGAGCCCCTGCCTTTTATAGGCGGATGGCCCTGACCATCTGGCAAATACAACACATGTGCTGTGAAGTTCATTTTGACCAGTAGGTTGGGGGAAAACTGAGTGGGTAGGATGGATGTGGGGCAAAATGGGTGGGTAGAGTGGGTGGGGTGAAAACCAAATGGATAGGGTTGTTGGGGGGAAACTGAGTGTGTAGCGTGGGTGGGGGAGTAACTGAGTGGAAATGTCTTTCTACAGAACATAATAAAAAGAAAGTAACTTTGAATTATTTAATATGCTACATTTTGTAGGAAGCATATGCTGAAATTCCCGTGTGAAATAGCTAAGATAAAGCAAGATGCATGCAAAGTTTTCAGTTGATTTTGAAGTGTAACAGACAAAATATCTCAAAAGCAACAGTCTAAAAATTTTGATTTCTTTTTGAAATTGTATTAGCAGCCCGTGGAAAAATAGTTCTTGCCTAGACGCTGTGTTTTTTTCCAGTTATTCAGCATTTTAGCTAACTGGGCTCTGGACATCATACCTTCGCATTGACCCGTAATACACTTAAATTATGTAAAATATTTAAATAATTTTCAGATTTATTAACCTTCTAAAATATCATCTTCACAATGCAATTTTTGAAATTCATTTAAATTAAAATTATTAAGTAATCTAAGAGTAATTTAATGGAAGAGTAAAACAATAATTGAGATCATTTAAGCCTGAAAATAAAATGTTGAGTTTAAAGAAAATTTGAGGTACAGTTTTGATTTATTTTAACATTGTCTGAATGTATTAAAATATTAACAGATTTTAAAGTTCATTTTTCTGTTGTCTAGAAAAACAGCATATGTGAGCTTCCAGAGTGGTGGATATGTTTTTTTCCCCATGAACCTAGTTCTTTTTTTTTTTTTTTTTTTTTTTTTTTTTTTTTTTTTTTTTTGACAGAGTCTCACTCTGTCACCAGGCTGGAGTTCACTGGCTCCATCTCTGCTCACTGCCATCTCCGCCTCCCGAGTTCAAGCGATTCCCCTGCCTCAGCCTCCCGAGTAGCTCGGACTACAGGTGCACACCACCACACCCGGCTAATTTTTGTATTTTAGTAGAGATGGGGTTTCACCGTATTGGCCAGGCTGGTGTTGATCTCCTGACCTCGGGATCCACGCACCTTGGCCTCCCAAAGTGCTGGGATTACAGGCGTGTGTCACCGCATCCAGCTGAGCCTAATTCTTTAATAAGAGAGTGGCAAAGACTATTAGAGGTGTTCAAAATGTTCCTCTTGGTCTTCATAAATGGAATAATGTGCTACAGAGATTACTGATTTAATGAAGGTTGCATAGCTAGTTGGTAGTAAAGCAGAGACTGGACCCCTGATACAGCAGAGAACTTTTCACATATCAGGTGTCCATAAATTTTCACTTCATTTTCCCTTCCCATCAGTCCACTATATTGTGTTTTTGCTAAAACGTTTAAATAAACACGTCTTGTTTCTCCTATAGCCTAGTGGTTCTCACATGCTATTGTTAATCAAATAATTTGGGATGCTGGCTCTAGAGCCCATTAGTGATTCAGATTCAAATGCTGAGCAGAAGTTTTAGAAGTTGGACTTTAAACAAACGTCTCTATTTATTTTGACCCAAATGGACTAAAATAACTACTTTGGAATACAGTACTTTAGACCACATGAGAGATGAAATTAATTTGGCCAATCGTTTTGGCACTATTTTTAATAAAAATACCTTTTCTCTATTGAATTCCTATAGCACCTTTGACAAAAATTAATTCCTCCTGTGTGTGTGCTATATTTCTACTCTTTGTTCTATTTCTCTATCTATTCCTAAGTAATATCATACTATCATTATCACTATTGTTATACAATCTGCCTTATACTTGGAGTCTTCCAAATTTGTTATTTCCCAAAAGAGTTTTGGCTAAGGTACTTTCTCTGTTTTTTGTATACCAAAATTTTTGCTTATCATTGTCACTATGGAAAGAATTGAGGTGTGGCAATTTTTGTTCTTCCAATCCATGAACATGGTATATCTCCCCATGTATGTGGGTTTGCTTTATTTATATTCTATCAGCAATGCTTTGTAGTGGTTACTGTATAAATCTTGAAGTGTACTGGAGTAAATAAACCTTAAATATTTCTTTTTGGATGATAATATATATTATTTTCTAACTGTTACTTCCAAATGTTCATCACAGTTACTTAAAAATATAGTTTTTCTATGTTGATTTTGAATTCTACAACTCACTTATTAGTTCTAGCAGATTTAAAATAGATCGTTCTAGATATGCTACATACATGATTATTTCTTCTGTGGATAAATTTAGGGTTGTTTTTTTCCAATCCATACACCTTTTGTTTTATATTCTTTTATTATTGCACTGGATCAAACCTTCAGTATAATGGTTGGCAGATGTAGTGACAGTGAATGCACTTGTTTTGTTTCGTATCGTAAGAAGAGTATATGGTCTTTTATGAGTAAATGTGATATTAACAACAGTTCTCATAGAGACACTTACTCAAGTTGAAGGGGAGAGAAAAATGAGTTTTTACTCATAGCTTGCAGGGAGTTTTGATCAATAATGGATGTTGAATTTTGTCAAATATTTATCTGCATCTATTGAAAAACATAACGTTATTGTTGTTGTTGTTTCTCTGTAGTGTGTTAGCATGGTGAATTACATCAATTGGTTTTCTAATGCAATCCACCTTGCATTCCCAGGATACATAATACTTAGTCATGATATATTATTGTTTTATATGTTTTTGGATTCTATTTGATAAAATTTAGTTTAGAAACATTGTTTCTACATTCATGGACTAAACTGATCTGCACTATTTTTTTTCTTATAAAGTCTCTATCTCACTTGGGTATTGGGATAATACTGGCCTCACGGGACAAGCAGGTAAGTGTGTGTACCTCTTCAAATTTACAGGAGTTGTATTGGCATTGTTTCTCCTTTAAATCTTTGTGATATTTCACCACACATACCTTCAAGGCCTAAAGATATTTGGAACATTGTTGAGGGAAAATTTGTAAGTACAAATTCAATAATTTTATTAGCTATATGGCTATTTGGTCTATTTATTACTTCTTGAATGAGCTTTGCAAGTTTGTATCTTTTAGAGTATTTGCCCACCCATCTAAGTTGCTAGATTTTTAGCATTCATTTTCTCATTATATTCCTTTATTATTTTAATATTAGTAGTTTCTCTGGTGATGTCACCTTTCTCACATTTTGTTTCTTCTCTATTTTCAGATCAGGCTAACTACAATTTTATAAATTTTAAAATTTTCTCAAAGAATCAGCTTCTGGTTTCATTGATGTTTTCTATTGTTTTCTGTTATGCTTTTCGCGGTGATTATGAGTATTTCCTCTACTAATAAATTGGGGGAACACTTACTTGTTTTTCCTCCTAGTGTTTGAATGTGAAAACTAGGGTCATTCAATTAAGAAATTCTTCTCTACTATTAGCACTTAGGACTGCAGCTCTTACTTCGCTGCCTTAGGGTTATCCCACACATTTAATACATGGCGTTTTCTTATTCATTCTGTATATTTCCTTATTTTATTTTTGATTTTTTCTTTGATCTATGGATTATTTACAAATGTGCTGATCAGTTTCTAAATATGTGGGAATGTACCACAGTTCTTCCTGTTATTGCTTTGTAATTTAATTCCATTTTGATGAGAGAACAACCTTCTATGATTTGAATCTGCTAAGGAATCTTCTGTAATTCTTAATCTTTGTTCCTCTATACATAATGCACAATATTTTTTCTGACTTTTTACAAGATTTTCTTCTTATCACTGTCTTTGAGCAATTTGTGATGTTTTCTTCATGTTTCTTTTGAATTAGTAAAATTTAGAAAATAATTAACTATTATATTTTCCATTTTTTTTCTGTTTCCACCCTTCCCTCCTCTCTTTGGAGACTCTCATGGCACTAGCATTCAGCAACTTGAATTGCTCTACTTTTTACAGAGGCTCTATTCAATTTTTATTTGTTAATATTTCTCTCTCTGTTTCAATTTAACTACTTATACTGATATAGCTTCAAATGCACTAGTCTTTTATTCTGGAATGACTAATTCACCGTTAATCTTGTGCTTTATATTTTCCATATGATAAACTGTAGTCTTCATATCTATAATTTTGAGATTTTAAAAATATTTTCCATGACTCTAAGTTTTTTGAACATGTGGAATGCAGTTATAATAATATTGCATATACTTGACAGGCAAGTCTGACATCTATGACAGTTCTGTTAGGTTTTAATCAACTGATTTATGTTCTCATTACCAGACACTGTTCCAAGGGTTTTACATTTATTAACTCCCTTAATTCTCATAGCAACCCTTTGAGATAGGTATAATTACCATTCTCGTTTAAGATGCAGCAACCAAAGTCTAGAAAGGTTAAAAAACTTGCCCAACATCACAAAGCACGACTTAGCGTCTGCATTTGAAACCTAATCTCTGCTGTGCCGCCACTTAAAAGTGAATACGGTCAATTATAACCACAGATCAAATAAGTTTAATCTGTCAAGTTTGTAAGGATTTACTAAGGTTTTTTTAAAATAACTTTTTAAAGGAAAAAATACTAAAAAATGAAAAAAAATACTAAAGAGCCGTATATATTCTGAAATCTACCAGGAAGTGAAAACAAATAACTTGATCGAAAATGCTGTATTATCACAAACCCCGTGTTGATTTATAAGTCAAACTGTAGATGAACAAAGCTTAAAGATTAACTCTGAGTATATTGAAGACAATGCTTTGCAAATGCAACAAAATCAAAAATAGACAAATGGGACCCAAGTAAACTAAAGTGCTTCTCTACAGCAAGAGAAGCTCTCAGCAGAAAAGACATCCCACAGAATGGGAGAAAATATTTGCAAACTATGCATCTGACAAAGAACTAGTATCTAGAATCTATAAGGAGCTTAAATCAACAAGAAAAAAAAAACACAAGTAACCCCATTAAAAAGTGAACAAAGGACATGAAAACACATCCTTTTTAAAAGAAGACATACACACAGCCAATAAGTCAGAATGATTATCATTAAAACGTGAAAAAAATAATAGATGCTGGCAAAGCTGTGGAGAAAAGAGAATGTTTATCCACTCACTGTTGGTGGGAGTGTAAATTAGCTCAGCTCCTGTGGAGAGCAGTTTGGAGATCCCTCAAAGATCTAAAAACAGGACTGCCATTCGATTCAGTAATCTCAGTACAGGGTTATACCCAAAGGAATAGAAATCTTTCTACTATAAAGACACACACATGCGTATGTTTATTGCAGCACTATTTACAATAGCAAAGACAGGGAGTCAACCTGAGTACCCATAAATGGTGGATTAGATAAAGAAAATGTGGTACCTGTACACCATGGAATACTACACAGCTGTAAAAAAGGAATGAAATCATGTCCTTTGCAGCAAAATGGATGCAGCTGAAGGCCATTAACCTAAGCGAATTCACACAGAAACAGAAAACCAAATACTACATCTTCTCACTTGATAAGTGAGAGCTAAACATTGGGTACACATGGCCCCAAAAAAGGAAACAATAGACACTGGGGGGTTCAAAAGGGGGAAGTGTGAGGGTTAACAATTGAAAAACTACCTATTGGGTACTATGTTCACTACTTGGCTGACAGGCTCATTAGAAGCCCAAACTTCAGAGTCATGCAATATACTCATGTAACAACCCTGTACATTGTGTCCCCCTGAATCTAAAATTAAGACAAAAGACAATGTTTTAAATAGTGACCATGAAAAATCTCCATCTACAATCTACCCTCATTCCCTTAATGTAATCTAAAATATTTTAATTGAGCAGTATCAAGAACAAACAGGCAATTTTTTATAATGCAATAACCTATAAATAACCTGCAATTACCTATATTTTATATATTTTTGCATATTTTGCATATTTTTATTTTTTGCATGTTTATATTTTTGCATATTTACATTTTTATATGCAAAAAATATATATATTTTATAATGCAATAACCTATGACTGTTTCAATGTTTGTTAAAGAAGAATGAATATGAAGCATGGGAGCTGAATTAACTTTCTATGTAGCTTTTGGAATTCTGTAATGCAAACTGCATTGTTTGCACTACAACATGGAGAGGAGTGTTGAGAGCCTTCGGATCTGTGGGTGAGTCTTGCCCTTCCCATGTAGTAGGTGATGTGATAATGCACAAGCTGTCTAATCTCTGGCATGTGTTATTTATCTGTAAAATGGGACTTTTGATGACATGATTCCCAGGTTAATTATTTGAGATTTGTGTCGGGCAACTGAGTACCTTGTTGTCACATAGAAAGACATCAGTAACTTGTGACTTTATCATTTCTCTTTTATTTCTTGGATTTACATAAATAAATGAAATGTTCCTCTTGAAATGCAGCAGAAATTCACCTGATGTCCTTCCTTACTGAACTAGGTCCCAATGTCCTCTATATAATTTGCTATCAATTTTCTCATCTTTCTCAGAATTCTGCTATTCTTACTTTTGATAGTCTCATTTTCAATTGCACTCACTCTTGTCTACCAAACAAAAATGATGAAAACACATAGTATTCTTCCAAGATATACAGTTGAATGTCTTTGTTCCTGACCTCCATGTGAGATTGAATTGAACCTTGTAGCCCTGACCTGAGATCAGATGCCAAGGCATTTATTTGAAACATACTTTTATGGTATCCTTTGGATCCAAGTATCTGCATCGGCTTAAATAGTTGCACGGGATGTCTCCCAATCCCATGGGTTATTATTTGTTTCACTAAACAGATCCAAAGTTACTTTCTTATTTTCACAAAGGCATTTGTGTATGTGTGGTGTTCTGTTTTGAAGGGCGGTTTTTGATTAAGTGGGGTTAAACAGTAACGCAAATGATGGCTTCGATTGACCCCTCCCCACATGCTCTCTGGACACTTTTTTGTTTGGCTGCTCTCATTTATCTTCCCTTCTTCTTCTTTTTTTCCTTCTTATTTCTACTCTCTCTCTCCATGTTTTGTCTCAAAAGTCTCCTTCATTTTTTAACATACTTAATTTTTTTTAGAGCACTTTTAAGTTAACAGCAAAATTGAAGAGAAATTAGTTTCCATCTACCCTCTGGCCCCACCCCATATGCAAAGCCTCCCCAGTTATGAACATCCCCCACTAGAGTGGCCCCATTGTTACCTACATGGACCATGAGCCTACATTGATGCATCATTATCACCCAAAGTCAGTGGTTAAAATTCGGCTTTACATTTGGCCTTGTACATTCTACAGGTTGAACAAATGTATAATAACATGTATCCACCATTATAGCATTGTACAGAGTATTTTCACTTTCCTAAAACTCCTTACTGCTCTGCTTCCTGTTTTATGTGGTGTGTTAGTTATGTGTTTCGTTGATTTGTTTCTGAAGACCAATTTCCTCAATGTCTAATAATTCCATTGTCTTCCACCTAAGATTCTTTCTGATTTTTTTTTAAACATTTTGTTTCTTGTAAGTACAAGTGCATTTTCCTGTCAACCTTTTTTAATTTAGAACATTCTTTATCAAAGGAAGAAAATGAAGAATGCCTTCAATCCTGATTCTCCCTCAACATCTTATTTGTCTTTTTTTCTATGTTGACTGACTCCTCAAAAGATCAACCTACCCTTGCTTCATCTGCCTCACCAACGTTTATCGATGGTGGAGTTACAGACTTATTCTATCCACATAAATCTGCTGAAATGATTCTTTTAGTAACAAGTGATAATTATCACACACACCCTTTTATTAGTCCTCACCCTCCTTGAAACTAAAGGCACCTGCATTGGATCACCTTTCCTTTTCAGAATATTTTCTCTTCTCTCACATTGCATTATACTGATTCTCCTCCTGTATTTCTAATTACCTGTTTTTTCTTTTGCTGTTATTTCTCCTTCTAACGCCCCACTCTAAATGCAAATGCTACAAATGTGTCTATATTCCTTCTTCAACCATCTTTTTGTTTGCAGCTCCACTTCCATCCAGCTGTCTCACCTCTCCGACTCAGTAAGGGTTTTCTTCTCTAGTCTCCATCTGCTGAATCCATGTTTCTGCTCATCTCCAGTCTCATATTTATGATATCCAGATATGAAACTTCATTTCACTTTAAAGTGAACAGGTTTATATGTGAACTCCTTACATCCTCTCAAAGTCATGTTCTTCTTCTTGACATTCAGAAATTGCTTAGTGTTATCATTCTAATGTAGGGCCCTAGGGCCAGAATCTTAGAGTCTCTGTTTTCTTCCTTTCTGCCACTTCCATTTCCTATAGAAAGGTAACAAATTGACTCCACTTGCACAATGCTACTCATATTAAGACCTAACTCCTCCTTTTCATTTAAACTTCCAACACAGTAACTCAAGTAATTTCTATTTTTTCCTCAGATGATTGTAACTGTTTTGCATATGGCTTTTGCATGCTAGTTCTCATACTTTCCCACTGTAGACAGCCTACAATACAAATTTACTCATGTTACTCTGCTGCTTGAAAACTTCCATTTGCCTTATTGTCTAATAAATAACACATATACTCTTTAAACTAAAATTGAAGACACTTCTCAGTACAGCATTCATTTCCTGCGAAATGCTACACTGCCTCCCTACTGGGCCCTGGGTTCATTTAAATGTATTACTGAGGTTTTATCAAGCATGTCTGTCGCCTTTCTTACTGCTCGCGCATCGAACCCTTCTTCTCAGGCTTTGTACTTCTTTGTGTTTGTCCTGTGCATTTTCTACCTCTTTTATCTACTCTAAGGGATTGAGTTTCTTACAGACAATATCATAAACATCTTTGTATCTCAGACTGTGTGGCCTTACACATAACAAATGTTTAATGGATGTTTACTCAATTAGATAGAATTCAGTGTTATCCACGGAATCATATTTTAGTACTTACTGCTATATGTTTACAATGAAGCAGGTTGTATACAAATGTAAACGAGTTTAAGAGTTCTACACTTCACCTAGCCTTAACATTCTCCGTGTAAAGTTATGAAAAAGCAGTCATGGGGTTGCATATACAAATTTCACATGTTATATGCTCACATATGTAAAGACTTAATGCTGTTGCTATAAAACTCAAATTATCTCAGAGCATAGTCTCATTGCACCAGTGAAAGACATTTAACACTTGCCAATTCAAGGAAATTTTATTGTTGTATGTTTAAAACTCCTGCCTTTGGTTAAGTCGTCTCTCAGTCTTTGCCCGTATAAGACTGAAGTTCTCAGGGACTAGCATTTTCTACTATGGAGAAAGCACCGTCCATCCCTTTTGTTCTGCCGTCCCCTTGCATCCAGTTTCTAAGGCGTTACTTGGCTGTCGGTACCAGCCTACCAGGTCACTGCATCTGCTGCGTTCTGGTGCCTGCGTGACTTCCGGATGTCGAGGCTGGCTGCTCCGTCCACGCAGGACTCCGAGTCTTCATGTCAATTACTGGACTTGTGTGCGCAGATCCCATCTTTGCAGTAAAGGGACCTGGAACGTTCAGCTGCCTTTCCTATCACACGAGGTGGTGCCCTGCCCTCGGCTTTGCCCTCCTCAGGGTGGCTCCCAGACACTGCTTCTCAGGTCTCCTCCAGGTTCCATAATCAATACTGCATTCGTTTGCTAGAGCTGTTGTAACAGTGCACCACAGGCCGGATTAAAGAACAAAAATGCATTGTCTTTCAGTCCTGGAGGCTGCAAGTCCAAGATCAAAACATCAACAGGGCTGGTTTGTCTGGAGGGTTTGAAGGAGAATCGCTCAGTGCTCTCCTTTTGACTTGGAGGTGGACGCCTTCTCCCTGGGTTTCCTTCGTATCATCTTCCCTCTGCATGTGTCTCTGTGTCTAAGTCTCTCTCCTTTTAATAAGGACACCAGTCATATTGGTTTAGGAGCCTCCCTGAAGATCTCATTTTAACTCGATTACCTCTCTAAAGACCCTGTTTCCAAATAAGGTCACATTTTGAGGGATTAGGGGCTAGAACTCCAACTTCTGATATTTGGAACATTTATAAATCTTATAAAATCTCAATTTATGAAATCTGCTAATTTCAGCTCTTAGCAGAAACAAAGCTTTTATTTGTGACCTGTTCTCTTCTTGGCTAAATCTTATGAAGCTGGAAAAATTGCTTTCAGATCCTGCAATCTACAGAGATTTCTAAAGTTTACCCTATACTGTATTACATGAGTCCTTCTGCAAGTCCTGGGTGGAGAATATCTAGAAAAAAAGAAAAATGTGAAGAAAGAAAACACAATTGCATAATCCTTCCTTCCTTCCTTCCCTTTCTTTTTTTCTTTTATTTTTTATTTTCATTTTTTTTTTTTTTGAGATGGAGTCTCACTCTGTCACCCAGCTTGGAGCGCAGTGGTGCGATCTCGGCTCACTACAGCCTCTGGCTCCTGGGTTCAAGCAATTCTTCTGCCTCAGCCTCCTGAGTAGCTGGGATTACAGGCACACACAACCACGCCGGGCTAATTTTTGTATTTTTGGTAGAGATGGGGTTTCACCATGTTGGCCAGGCTGGCCTCGAACTCTTCAAGTGATCTATTGCTTCAGCCTCCCAAAGTGCTGGAATTACAGGTGTGAGCCACAGTGCCAGGCCTATTATTCTTTAAATAATTCTTTAACATGAATGTTAGAGACAATATATAAGCAGGAAAAAATATAAATAAAATTTGTATTTCAAAGTAAAAATTTACTTCAATCTACTAGACCTGAATAACTGGAAGGAAGGAGTTGCAACCAACTGAGATGGTCTATTGGACCGTGTCTTAGGTTGGTTCTATCAGAGGCAGACCTTTCAGATTCTGAGAAGAGGATGAAAAAAACACTAACTTCCATTTTTCCTCCTGTCCCAATTGACAGCCCTCCTATTTAATAAATGCTGAAATGAAAAATTATGTAAGCACGCATTTACTAATTTTACTTTTACAAATAATGCATGAGTTAATAATGACTTGAGCTCTTTGTTAAAACTTCTCATACGTGAAAAGTACTCTAAAGAAACAGGCTCTATTTGAATACATACAGCAGGTTGAAGTCCATTTCAGGTCCTGGGAAAGTCTTGCTTATATTCCGAGCCATGCCTGACGTTTCAAAGGGAGGGATTTATTTTCAAATCTCAGTTAGCACCTGGTGGCTTCCTCTGAATAAATTATGCTGCTGGTGTCTTCTATTCTGATGAGTTTTGCTTTAGTTTTCAGAAACTCTTCAAGGAAGAATTGGTTTTTCTCTTCAATGCCTACAAATTTATTGTCCAATGACTCTGCCTGTAACACATCTCGTGGCCTCTGTTGAACCTTGCTTAGCAAAGGTTCCTCTCCACAGTCAGAATCTGCGCTTCCACCGAAGCCAGCCAGCCCAGTCTGGGCACCTGAGGCAGAGCATGAGTTGGTGGATTCCCAGGAGGAGGGAGTCCCCACAAAAGGGCTCCAGGGTGGGGTTTCGGTAGGGGTGACATGTAGGAAGGTCAGGGTAGGGGGTAGTACCCGGGGGTATGAAATAAGGGCTGACCCTCACAGGTTCAATTTAGGGGGTGATGCCCAGTTGACATGACCATCCAGATGTTCCTACAAATAACGAACCTCCCACCTCAAGGGAAGAGGCTGGAGAATCAGGCAGAGCTCCCCGCCCCGGACACCCACTGTGCTAGGATTCTCACTGTTGCTTCAAATTTGTGAGGTTTTCAAGTAAAATTAACACTAAGAATTAAAAGATGTCAAGAAAAGAAGTCAATGTTTAGAGGAATTTAATACTGCAACTGTATACTGAGGACTTCCTACGTTCTAGGCACGAAATTAGGTACCAAGGCTACCAAGGTGAAATCCTTCTGAGTGCCTGACTTGAGGAATGTTTTTAACCTGAGAAGTCATGCATACAGATACTAAAATGTGAAAGAATGTTGGATAAGCATTTATTCAAAATGTCAAACGTTCATAAAGTAGAAGATCATTAGAAATTTCTGCCAAACGTTGAATGGGTGGAACAAAATAATTGGTAAGAAATTTGAAGTCCCCCAATAAGTAAAGGGAAGAAAGTGTTGTTCCTAGTGGAGAAAATAAGTTGACTGAAGACTTGGAATATAGCAATGCGTCCCGCAGCTACTTCAAGTGGCCCAACGGAGCTGCAGCACAAAACAAAAAGAATGCTGGGAGAGAAGGCTCTAAGTGCTTTTTCTTTCCTTCATTGGATTTAGTGAGGTGTAATACAATAAAATTCATGTATTTTTAGCTTACAGTTCAATGAGTTTGTTAATGTATGCAAAGATACAAGACCACTAGCAAGTTTCAGAACCTTTCCGTGACACCAAATAGTTCCTTACTGTCCCTTCGCTGTTAATCCTTCCACCAAACCCAGCCTCAGAAAACCACTTATCTGCTTTCTGTGCTTTTTCCAGCATTTTGTTATTGATGTCTCTGGTGTTTTTCACTTGGTAAGGTGTTTTTGACAAACATTCAGGTTGTAGCATGAATCAATAGTTCTTTTTTAATTTAATCTTTTAAGTCTGTCATTGACACATAATGATTGTGCATACATATGGGATGCAACAGGATGTTTCCATACACGTATAGACTATGTAATGATCAAATCAGGGTTATTAGCATATCCATCACTTTAAATATTTATTATTTATGTATGATGAGAACATTCAAAACCTCTCCTCTGGCCATTTTGAAATATAGAATACATTCGTTTGAACTCTAATCATCCCGCTATCCAGTAGACCACCAGAAATTATTCCTCTCATCTAACTGTAGCTTGCACCCATTGACCACTGTCTCATCGTCTCCCCCTGCCACCGTTCCCATCCTCTGGTAACCACCATTTTACCCTCTACTTTTATGACAACATTTTCAATGTCACATACGTGTATAATTACACAGTATTTGTCTTTCTGTGCCTGGCTTATTCCACTGAACATAATGTCCTCCAGGTTCATCTATGTTGCCATAAATTACAGGATTTCATTACTTTTTATGGCTGAATAGTATGCCATTGTGTATCTATACCTTTTGTCTGTTGATGGACATTTAGATTGATTCCATATCTTGGCTATGGTGAATGGTGCTGCAATAAACATAGGAGGCCAGGCACAGTGGCTCATACCTGTAATCCCAGCACTTTGGGAGGCTGAGGTGGGCAGATAATTAGAGGTCAGGAGTTCAAAACAAGCCTGGCCAACGTGGTGAAACCCCCATCTCTACTAAATATACAAAAATTAGCTGGATGTGGTGGCACGTGCCTGTAATCCCAACTACTTGGGGGGCTGAGGCAGGAGAATTGCTTGAGCCCAGGAGGCGGAGGTTGCGGTGAGCTGAGATCACGCCATTGTACTCCAGCCTGGGCAACAGAGAGAGACTCCATCTCACATAAATAAATAAATAAATAAATAAATGCAGATATCACTTTGATATATTAATTTTATTTCCTTTGCATATACCCAATAGTGGCATTGCTAGATCTGTTTTTAATTTTTTAGAAACCTTCATAATATGTTCCATAATGACTGTACTCACTTATATTCCCACCAATAATGTGGAAGGGTACCTTCTCTATTTTGCACTAGTAATGTGTAAGAGTTTCCTTTTCTTTACATCCAGGCCAACACTTGTTATCTTTTGATTTTTTTGTTAGTAGCCATTCTGACTGGAGTGAGGAGGCTTCTTATTATTTTCATTTGCATATTCCTGATTATTAGTGATGCTGAGCATTTTTTCATATACCTGTTGGCTGTTTGTATGTCTTATTTTGATAGATATCTATTCAGCTCTTTTGTTTGTTGTTATTTGAGTTTCTTACATATTTTGGATATGAGCTCTTACCTGAGGTATATTTTACAAATATATTCTCCCATTCTGTAGTTTTTAATTCATGTTAATTTTCATATGTGGTGCACTACAAGGGTCTACTTTCATTCTTTTGCATGTGGATATACACTTTTCTCAGCCCCATTTATTAAAGAAGCTCTCCTCTTCCACTGTGTATACTTGGCACTATTGTCAAATACAGTTGGCTATAGATGTGTAGGTTTATTTAGGGACTTTCTATTCTTTTCCATTGGTCTATTTGTCTCTTTTTAATGACATTACCATGTTGTTTTAGTTACTATAGCTTTGTAGTATGTTTTAAACTCAGGTAGTGTGATACCTCCATCTTTGTTCTTTTTGCTCAATATTGCTTTGACTATTTGTGGATTTTTTGTGGTTCCATACAAGTTTTAGAATTGCTTTTTACTCTTTTTGTGAAGAATATTATCTGTCTATTGATGGGGATTTCATAGAATCTATAGCTCACTTTGGGTAGTATGAACAACTTACCAAATTAGTTATTTCAGCCCATAAACATGGACTATCTTTCCATTTATTTAGTGTCTTCTCAATTTATTTTATTAATGTTTTACAGGTTCCATTGTAGAGTTCTTTTGCCACTTTGGTTAAATGATTTCCTAGGTGTTGTACTTTTGTAGTTATTGTAAAATAGATTGTTTGCTTCATTTTTTTAAGATAATTCATTATTTATTGGCTATTGGTATTGAAACACTACTAAGTTTTGTATGTTGATTTTTTTATCCTTCAGCTTTACTAAATTTGCTTATTAGTTCTAATAGTTTTTCAGTGGGTCTTTGGAGTTTACTATATATCACATTATGTCATCTGGAAACAGGAACAATTTGACTTTTTCTTTTCCACTTTGATTGTCCTTTATTTCTTTCTCTTGCCTGACTATTTCAAGTTAGGACTTCCAGTACTGAGTTTAATAAAAGTGCTCTAAGTGGTATCTTTTTTATTCCAGACTTTAGAGAAAAGAGAAAAGGCTTTCAATTTTTTTCCCTTCAGTATGATGTTAGCTGTGGGGTTTGTGGTATGTAGCCTTTAATAAGTTGTGGTACATTTTTTCTATACTTAATCTCTTGAGAATTTGATCACAAACATATGTTGATTTTATCCAATTTTTTCTGCATCTATTAATATAATCAGGTTTTTGCCTTCATGCTGTGGATGTGATATATTATGTTTATTGATTTCCATATCCTTGCATCCCTGGAGTAAATACTACCTGATCATGATGAATAATCTCTTTGTTGTGCTGTTAGATTAGGTTTACTAATATTTTACTGAGGATTTTTGCACCTGTGTTCATCAGGGATATTGGCCTGTAGTTTTCTTTTCATGTCTGTGTCCTTGTCTGGTTTGCTGTTATGCCTTGTAGAATGAGTTTGGTAGAATTCCCTCCACATTATTTTTTTTTTCAATAATTTGAGAAGAATTGGTATTGGTACTTTTTTAAATGCTTGATAAAATTCAGCAGTGAAGCTATCTGGCCTTGGGCTTTTCTTTAATGGAAGACTTTTCTATTACGGATTCCATTTTGTTGTTAATTGTTGGTCTATTTAAATTTTCTATTTCTTAATGATTCCATTTTGTTAAGTTATATATGTCCTGGAATTTATCCATTTCTTCTAGGTTTTCCAATTTGTTGGGCATATAGTTGTTCATAATAGACTCTAATGATCATTTGTATTTCTGCGGTGTCAGTTGTAATGGCTCTTATCTCTGATTTTATTTGAGTCTTCTTTTTTTCAATTACTGTAGCTCACAGTTTGTCAATATTTTTTATGTTTTAAAAAAAACTTTGTTTTGCTGATCTTTAATAGTTTTTAGCCCTTATTTTATTTATTCCTACTCTGATCTTAATTAGTTCTTCTACTTATTTTGAGTTTGTTTTGCTTTTGTTATTCTAGTTTCTTGAGTTGTAACTTTAAGTTGTTTATTTGAGATCTTTCTATTTTCTAATGTAGGCCTTAATTGCTATAAATTTCTCTCAGCACTGCTTTTCCTGGATTCCATTGGCTTGGAAATATTGTGTTTTCTTTATAATTTATCTCAAAAAATTTTGTCATTTTCTGTTTAATTTTTTCATTGACCCAGTGGTTGTTTAGTAGCCTGTTGTTTAATTTTCATGTATTCTTGTAGAGTCCTAAGTTCTTGTTATTGATATCTAGTTTTATTGCACGCGTTCAGAAACAATTTAATTGTTTAAAATTTATTGAAACTTTTGTGGCCAGCATACAATCTCTCCTGAAGGATGTCCCATGTGCTGCTGAGAAGAATGCATATTCTGCAGCTGCTGGGTAGAATGTTCTGGTCTCTTAGGTACATTTGGTCTTGGGTGCAGTTTAACTCTGCTGTTTCTTTGTTGATTTTTTTTTTTTTTTTTTTTTTTTTTTGGTCTGGATGATGTATGTCTATTGCTGAAAGTGCGGTGTTGAAGTTCCTTAATGTTACTGTACTCATTTCTATCTCTCTATTTAGGTCTAGGAACATTTCCTGTATATATTATGTGCTCCAATGTTGGGTGCATACACACTTATAGTTGTTATATCCTCCTTGTGAATTGACCCCTTTTGCACTGTATGGTGACCTTCCTTGTCTCTCCTTAAAACTTTTGATTTAAAGACTATTTTATGTGATATAAACTTAGCTACTCATACTCCCTTTTGGTTTCCATTTGCATGGAAGATACTTTTCCATCACTTCAATTTTAGTATATGTGTGTCTTTACAGGTGAAGTGAGTTTCTAGTAAGCAGCTTGTAGTTGGATCTTGATTTTTTAAAAATACTGCTACCATTTTGCTGTTTAGTTTCTAGTTTTTTTTTTCTCAATACTTCCTTTCTCCCTTTCTCTCTTATTGTCTTTCTTTGTAGCTATGTGGCTTTGTCTAGCAGTGTTTCCTGAGTTGTTGGCTTTTATTTTTGGTACACCTATTAAACGTTTTTGATTTGCAATTACCATGAGGCTTACCAAAAACTTTTTTGTTATAACAAGTTACTTTAGGCCAATATCAACTTGACTTTGTTAGGAAAAAAAAAATTAAAAACAAAAAAATTAAAAAAATTAAAAACTCTGTACTTTACTTGCGTTCTCCCCCACATTTGGCGTTTTTGATGTTCCACATTCCATCTTTTTTTTCAATCGCCTATCTCTTAACAATTTAATGTAGTTATTATTATTTTGAATAATTTTGTATTTTAGTCTTCATACTAAAGATATAAGTTCTTTATCGTATTAAAGTATCCTGAATTTGTCTCTATACTTAGTCTTACCAGTAAGTTTTCTGCCTTCAGAGGTGTTCTTGCTACACATTAGCATCTCTTTCTTTCAGTTTGTAGAACTCTTGTTAGCATTTTTTTGTAGGACAGGTCTGTGAAATTCTCTGAGCTTTTGTTTGAGAAAGTCTTTATCTCACCTTCATTTTTGATGTATAGCTTTGCTGAGCAGAGTATGAGCACAGTATTCTTGGTTGACAGTTTATCACTTTTTTGTTTTTAACAACCTTGACAATATTATCCAGCTCTCTCCTGGCCTGTAGGGTTTATGCAGAAAATTCGGCTGCCAGGAGAATTGGAACTCCCTTATGTGATTTTTGTTCTTTTCTCTTGCTGCTTGCAGGATCTTCTCTTTGTCTTTGACCTTGCAAAGTTTGATTAGGGTATGTCTTGGTGTAGACTTATTTGAGTTAATCTGGTTGGTGAACTTTCTCTACTTGGATGTTTGTATATCTCTCTGAAAAGGCTTTTGACCCCTTTAGCATTCTCAATACCCTCTTGAACCGCATTAATCAGAATATTTACTCTGTTTATTCTGTCCCATAGTTCCTATGGGTTTTCTTTCCTTTTATTTCTCTTTCTTTCTTCTCCTCTGACTGGAGATTTTCTTTGAGCTTGTTTGTTGAGAGCACTAAATATTTTTTCTGCTTCTGTTGATGCTGCACATTGCATTTTTTCATTTGATTCCTTGTATTTTTCAGCTCCAAAATTTGATCTTTAAAAAATTGTTTTAATATCTCTGTTAAATTTCTCTGAGAAATTACTAAATTGTTTCTCTGTATATTCTTCAATGTCATTGAATTTCCTTAAAACAGCTATTTTGAGTTCTTTGAGAGGTCACACATCTTCAGCACTTTAGGATCTGGTCTCTGACACCCTGTCTCATCTGTTTGGTAAGGTTCTGGTTCTCTAAGCATTGTTCATGGCTGTGGGCATGGGACAGCACCTGTGCTTTGAAGGATTACATATTTATGCAGGTTTCCAGTATCTGGGCTTGTTCCCATCCTTCTAGAGATTATAAGCAGACAGGTACTCTAAGCCTGTGGGCATTGCCATAATAGAAGGCACCTCAAACCCTGGTTTGCTGCAAATCCACAGTTGGTGTGTTATTCCCAAGGAAAAGGCTTACAGAGAGTAGTTCTTACTGTGTTTCCACAGGTTTCCACCTGGGGCTGGAGTGGGTCTGGATGCTTCATCCATAGTTGTAGGCACTGAGTCAGGCACTGCAGGGCTCTGCCAAGGGCTGGGCCTCACAGTTGCAGCCCCAGTAGTGGGCTCCAAGGCAGCATCTTTTGTCTACTTTCTTCTCCTTTGCCCAAGAGGACACTATCTCTTTCAAGCTGTGCTGCCTGGGATTGAGGGAGGAATGGGGCGGGCAGTCTCATGGCCACTGCAGCCACTATAATGTTGGGTTGTCAGATATTTGGGTTGTTTCCGTTTTTGGCTATCAACATCAATGCAATGAATATTCACACACATGTTTTTGTGTGGATCTACATTTTTGGTGTTCTTAGGGAGAAACCTATGATTAGAATGTTGGATACTATGATGCACCTCTGTTTTCTTTCCAAGGGGAATGAAAGTCATTGGAGAATTTTGAGCATAGGGGAGATATGATGTGATTTACTTGTTTACACTGTTATTACAGACAATGGAGGAAGAATAGACTACAGAAAGATAAAGCCAAAAGTGAGGAGACCAGGGAGGGAGCAATTGCAAAACTTCAGATGAAAGATTGAGAAGCTTTGGATCAAGTAACAAGGTTTTTGTTATAAAAAGTAACACTTTAGGCAAAGAGTAACAAAGAAAAATGTTATTTATAATCTATATCAATTACTACATGGTGTACTATATCTGAGAGTACCTGTGACTCTCAGCACGCTGTCATTGCTAAAAATATCTATTCTTCTTTATCTAGTGAAAGTCATGAAGAAATTTCAGAACTGACCTTTTCCAGGAAGCTCTTATGAACTTTTCCTTGAAGATGCAGGATATATAGTTACTTCAAGGATGCTTATGCTTGAACTCCAAAGTGTATTAAATCACACATTCTGTTTATTTTCAGAAATATGCTGCCCCTAGTACTCTCATATCACTGGACTTTTCAATTACTACTCTTATCTACTCTTATTCCCAAAGAAAAACATTTCATTGAATATTTTTGAGGATTCTGAAATTTTTATTTCTGAAAGGCAACAGGGGCAGTAGATAAAAGCACAGTCCTGGGATATGGGTCCCAGAGATTTCAATTTTGATTCCACAGTCATCTGTGCAAACCAACATTCTTCTCTATTTGTGACTCAGTATTTCTACCTCTCAGATGAAGAACTTGGATTAAATAATTTCTACTGCTCTTTGCAACTCAAAAGTTATGATTGTTTTTAATCTCTCAAAAACTTGAAAAAATATGTTGATGAAAAGAATCAAACTCTAAAATACATGAAGAGATTTATTCTGAGCCAAATATGAGTGTCCATGGCCCATGACACAGCCTTCAGGAGGTCCTGAGAACATGTGCCCAAGATGGTCAGGGCGCAGCTTGGTTTTATATATTTTGGGGAGACATGAGACTTCAATCGAACACATTTAAGAAATACATTGGTTTGGTTCAGAAAGGTGGTACAACTCAAAGTGGGGGCTTCCAGCTTATAGGTAGAATTAAAATTTTTCTGATTGACAATTGGTTGAGTTGATCTAAAGACCTGGGATCAACAGAAAGGAATGCCTTGGTTAAGATAAAGGATTATGGAGACCCAAGTTCTTATTTGCAAAGGAAGCCTTTAGGTACTATGCTTTAGATAAAATAGGTTGTAAAATGTTTCTTGTCAGACTTAAAGTCTGTGTTGATGTTAATGTTGGAGAGGTACAATGAGGCATGTCCGACCCCCACTTCCTGTCATGGCCTGAAACAGTCTCTTAGGTTAAATTTTAAAAGAATCCTAGCTGAGGAGGAAGTCCATTCAGGTGGTTGGGGGAGGGGTCTTTGAATTTTGTTTTTGGTTTACAGGTAGCTGTGAAGTACAACTTGCACAAATTCTGATTTCTATTGGTGCTGATGAAAAACAGTCAAATATGGCATTGTAATGAGACAGTCCATTGATCAGATCAATTATGATCTGGGCTGCTGCTTCTGAGGTAGGCCACTAAGAAGGGAATTTAAATGCATGTCCTGCCACTTCCTCCTTTCCAGTGACTGGTTGGTAGTTTTTAGAGCAGCTGACTTGAACAGAGAGAGAGAAACCTGTAACCTTAATCAATACCACCCGGACCACACCGTAAGGGAAAAATAAATGTTTCTTCTTCTTAAGAAACTGAGTATCAGATTCACTTTTGTTACATCATTCAGGGTGCTACATTAACTAATATATGCAATCACAAGGAAGGATAATAGTAGTGAAATGTTTATAATGATTTCCAGTTTATAATATAAATGTAATATCCCAAATGTCATATGTTAATATCTAATGGCTATCTATTAATCAACAAGCTACTTTTTCTGAGGAAACAAATTTACTAGATGGATGTTAATGCATGTAGATAAAATAGCATGACCTTTCTAGGAGGTCAAAACAGGACGATTTTAGATGAATCCTGGGGATATGCCAGAGTGAATGAGAATTATACTACGCTTTCCTATGAGCCTTTGATTTACAATACAGAGAACAATGGCCCAGGAGGTGCAACTTCAGCCAAAATCCCAACTAGTTCATCTGGACAAGTCACAAAACAGCAGAGCCCCAGTTTTATCTTTATAAATGGGAAAATCTTTAGAAAAATCACCATTGTGTAATTCACAGTACTATGATAAGGAGGAAGGGAACCTCCATTTGCTAAGGTGGATTGGGAATTATAACTTTGGAGCAGAGGCTCTCACATGTGAGTGAGCCAAAGAAGACCTGAACGAACTGCTGAGACAGAGAGCTGGGCCCAACCTAGGGCTTCTGACCCAATAGGATTTTAGATGAATCCTATAGGTCTTGGGTGCAACAGATGTGCATTTTTAACAGCTTGCCAAATAATGCTGATATGTGTGATCTGTGTAGACCACGTTGAGGACCCCTATCTTCAAGTAAACTGTGAATGGAAATGTATTAGTCCATTTTCATACTGCTATAAAGAAATACGCAAGATTGGGTAATTTATAAAGAAAAAGAGGTCTAACGAACTCACAGTTCCACCTGGCTGGGGAGGCCTCACAATCATGACAGATGGTGAAAGAGGAACAAAGGCACATCTTACATGGCAGCAGGCAAGAGAGAATGAGCAGGGGAACTGCCCTTAATACAACCATCAGATCTTGTGATACTTATTCACTGTCACAAGAACAGCATGGGGAAAAACCTGCTCCCATGATTCAATTGCCTTCCACTGGATCCCTCCCATGACACGTGGGGATTATGGCAGCTACAATTCAAGATGAGATTTGGGTGGGGACACAGCCAAACCATATCAGAAAATATGCTACATCTCTGTATTTTAAAATATATTCACAGATGTGTTGAGGGGGGAAAAAAGCAGTGTAGGAAAATGAGTAACTGTCAGCAAAATGATTTAAATATATTAGAGTAGGGAAAAATAAACAGAAAGGAGAAAGAAAAAAATCCTATCCTCCTTGAAAGCATTATGGTTGTTTTCAGCCACATGTGCCACTGGTGGAGAATGAGGTTAAAAATAAGCACAGAGAAACTGAGGATTTTCTTCTGGGGCTAGTTGCAGGATGACATATGTCCTTTAACGGTAGATCTGATAGGTGGTTGGTCCAGGGGATCCCGGTAGTCCGTGTGATGCTTACGTGAAGGTGTCCTGGGAGAGAAGTAGTAATCTCACCTTTTGACTAAAGGAGTGCCCAGTGTTGGAGGAAATTGGAATTCAGGTCGGGAAGGCAAAGAGAATGAATGCATAGGAAAGTATGCTCTGAAGCCTTGCAAATATTAACCTGGAAAAATAAATGTTTGCAGTGCTGAAGTGAGATGCTTTGCAAACCAGTTTGATTGGTAACTTCCACGACATATACAACATGTATAAAAAGGAAGCTTTAGACATATTTTTATTAACTTCATAACACTGCATAACTTGGCCTCCCAAAGTGCTGGGATTACAGGCATGAGCCACCACGCCCAGCCAAAATGCATCTTTTGTAGCTAGCAGATTGTTGAACTATGTTTTTATCCATTCTGCTGATCTCTGCTTTTTGATGTTGTTTTTAGTTTATTTACATTTTTAACAGTTCTATTAAATATAAGTGATATACAAATAATGGCATATATTTAATATGCATAATTTGATAATTTTGGACATAGGCAAACACTTGTAATATCTTCACCACAATCAAAATAATAGGCATAGCCATTACCTCCAAAAGTTTCCTTATGTCCTTTGTATGCATGTATGTTTTGTAAGTTTGACAAAATTGTCAAGAATACACAATGGGGAAAGGATAGTCTCTTCAATGAGTGATGTTGGGAAACGTTAATGTTCACATGCAAAAAAAAAAATGAAACCGGACCCCTTCCTTACACAACAATCAACTCAAACTGGATTAAAGACTGGTCAATTTGCATTTAATATAATTATTGATAAGGCAGAATTTACATCTGCCATTTTCTATACGTCTTATGTGTTTTTGCTTCTTTCGTCCCCCCCTCACAGCCTTCTTGTGTGTTAAGTGAATGTTTAATAGTGTACTAACTTGTTATCTTTGTTTTTCCTATTTTTTTTTTGAGTAATTTTATTACTGTTTGCCTTGGAATTACACCTAACAATTTAACTTATAATAATCCAGTTTGAATTACCGCCAACTAAATTTTATTAGTATACAAAACCTGAGCTCCTACGTGGCTCAATTCCCTCTAACCTCCTTTATGTTATTGTTATACTAATTATGTTCTTGTACACTGAATTCCATCAACACAGCTTTATTGTTATTGTTTTATGTGGTAGTATTTTAAATCAGGTAGGAGAAAAAAGTGTTACCATAAAACAAAATACATTTAAATCTCTGTTATTTTTACCTATGTAATTATTTTCACCATTGCTCATCATTTCATGTGGATTTGAGTTCCTTTTGGCATTCTACTACTTCTGTCTGAAGAACTATCTTTGGTATTTCTTATACAACAGAGTGTGCAAGAGGCAAATCCTCTTTTATTTTTTTTGGTTTAACTGAATGTGTTCTAATCTCTTTTTTATTTCTAAAGGTCTGTTCTGCAGGATATAGAATTCTTAGTTGACTAGTGTTTTTCTT
Organism: Homo sapiens; assembly: GCF_000001405.40. NCBI lineage: Eukaryota > Metazoa > Chordata > Mammalia > Primates > Hominidae > Homo > Homo sapiens. The sequence continues at coordinate 2,738,179 of NC_000008.11, read as the reverse complement.
TCAGTTCTTTGAATATGCCATTCCATTTTCTTATGGCCCCTATTGCTTCTGGTGAGAAATCAGCTGTTTATCTTTTGACTCTCTCTCATACATGATGAGTTGCGTCTCACTTGTTGATTTCGCTACTCTTTGTTTTTGTCTTTGGACAATTTTACGATGCATCTAGGTGTGGATCTCTTTAAATTTATCCACTTGGAGTTCACTGTGCTTCTTACATGTAAGATTAATATTTTGTATTTTATTTTCAAGGTTTTGGCCATTTTTAAAAGATATTTATTCTTCCCCTCTTCTCTCTCTTCTCTTCTTTTGGGGAATCTATTATGCATATGTTGGTACGTTGGATGTTGTTGTATAGGCCCCTGAGGCTCTGCTCATTTCTCGTTTTAGTATTATTTTTTGTTCCTCAGACTGGATAATCAATACCAAAAAACCTACCTCCAAACTCATGGATTTTTTTGTCTTCTGCGAGCTCAAGTTTGCTGTCAAGCTCTCATAGTGAAATTTGCATTTCACATATTATACTTTTTAACACTAGAATTTATATTTGGCTTTTTTATAAAAATAAAATTTATGTTTCTTTATTGATATTCTCTTTTTGATGAGATATTTTTGACATATGTTTTTTTACTTTCTTAGACATGATTTCCTTTAGTTGTTTAAAGAAATGAAAAACAGCTGATTTAAAATTGGTGCTTTATGAATCCAAAGTAGGGGCTTTTTTGTAGACACTTTCTACATATTCCTTTTTTCCTTGTATATACACATTTTTTTCTGTTTATTGTCTCAAAATTTTCTGTTGAAAAGAGACATAAATAATATGATAGGAAAATTTAGTTGATAGGATTCACTTCCTCTCCTTCAAGTTTGCTGTTCTTGAAGTTTGTTTAGTGAATTTTCCGAAATAATTCTGTGCAGCCTGTACTCTTTGTTGTATGTAGCCACTGAAGACTGCTAGAGTAGCTTAAAGTCAGCTTATGATAGGGTAGATTTCCTCAAATACCTGAAAACATTAAGTGTCCCAGTCTTTGCCACAGAGTTCTGCATGAATGTTGAGGCATGCCTTCAACTCCTTGTTGGACAGTTTACAACTTACCTTCACCTTTCCTTTCTTCTTGCGCTGAGCCTCAAGTTCAGCCAGAGGTGAGAGACTTCTCAGGTCTTTCCTGACCACGCACACAACATTTTGCATAGACATGTGTTTACATTACCAAATATGTCAGAGCTTTTCTAAGTTCCCATGAAAATTTCATTTTCCAGCTTTTCCTTTTAAGTTTTTCATTTATGTTGCATTTTTGCTCTCAACTGTTTTCTCTGTCTCAGGCAGATGTAATGTTAAATAATTGCCACTAATTGTTTTCACAAATTCCTTTAAAGAGAGGGTCTTCATACTTGGAGACACTGAGTCAGGTCAACTAATTGACAAGGCCTGCAGTGGGTTTTCCAGAGAACTATCAGGCAAAAGAGTTTCAACTCTGTTCTCACTCTTTTTGAGGCAATGTAGCTCCTAGTTTTCACCATCATTGGAGAGTTTGTTGAGGATACCATGGAGATGGAGGAGGTGATGGAATACAGCATGAAAATGTTGGTTTTCTCAAGCTTTATCAGTATTCTCATGATTTTATGGGGGAGAGAATTTTCTATGGGTCCTTATTCTACCACTTATAATACTATTATTTAATAAGTAAAATCTGAATATCTCTGTTCACAAATTAGCTCCTGAAACAAGCAATTTCTAATATAAAATAAAATATAATTTCAAATAGGTCCCTAAATTTGAACACAAATATGAGGAGTTGGCAAATAAAAGAAAGATTTTCTCCTGATAGTAAATAATAATGAGACACTTTCCTTTACAAAACTATTTTTTTATAGAACTGTCTGTATTTTAGCAGCACAGTTACCAAGGTTAAATTTCTAGGAAAGGCTTTGTTGAAGCAGCTCTCAACTGTTAGTCACATTGAACATATAAATATTTCAAGATTACATTCTACTCAAGTATTTAGTTTAAACTTCTACCCAGGAAGCCATGAATAAATCTAGATAACACATGGTAGCTGAGTAATTGCGTCTTAAAATGAGAATGATTTCAATAACAGCATCTTCTATTTAACCTGAATATCTTACTTTTCCCAAGGACATACTCCTCCATGAAAATGCCCTGCTGAATATATTTACTTGACTTGATTTCACTTCCAATTTCACAGTCACATCACTGCTTCAAGTTATTTAACAACAATGGCAATATTTGGACAATACAGGCATCACTTTAAGATACTTGAACCTTGTCCTACACTCCTGAATTTTGTTAGTTTCCACATTACATCAACCTTATTCTCTAATTCCTCTGCATATGCATTCTAAAATAATTTTCTCATGATGTGCTGACAGAGTTTGAGATTTTATATTGTGTTCGGTTTAAGTAGTTCATATTCCCTGGAACCACTTTGAGCTGTATTGCTCTCATTGTCCTTCTTATCAGCCAGCTGCAGACTTGGTGCTAGTATTTCTGTTGAATATTATATTCTCTGGTAAAGAAATAGTCTATCTCCTTTCGAAATTTAGAGGATACCTGTGAGGTTTTGGACTGTTTTTTTTTTTTTAAAAAACACTCTACAATATCTTAGTTGTTAAGGTCAGAAACTAGATGTCATAAAATTTTAATTACAGCCTAAAAATATGTTCTTTTTTTCTTTCAGTTACTCTATTGAAAACTGACAATTTAAAATAATTATTTTAACATTGTCATTTTGTAATTAATTTTTATATTTCTGTATTACAAGATTGCATACATAAAATAATTGGACTCTCTTAACCTTTAGGATATGTCTATGAAATTTTAAGGAAGACAGAAACATTTAATTGTTAATTCTTTCTTATAGGAATCTATAAGACTTGCAGACTATGTGAAATGTAGTGATAGTTGTACTAGGTGAATATAGGTTACAGAGCGTTTTACTGCAGACTACAATTTGTTATGCATTATTCTCTTCTGTAATCTCTACTTTTTCCCCATTCTTTTCTTTGGATCTTTTTAATCAGGTGTTAAACAGATTCAACTCTGTCTCATCCTTGAAGTAACCAAACTTTTTAAAATTGTCAATATTCAGTGTCTTCATGTATTAATTTCCCACAATTACTAAGAAACTAAAAACTGGCAGCAAGGTGTAGTGGCTCACACCTGTAATCCCAGCACTTTGGGGGGCCAAGGCAGATCACTCAAGGCCAGGAGTTCAAGTCCAGCCTGGCCAACATGGTGAAATCCCATCTCTACTAAAAATACAAAAAATAGCCAGGTGTAGTGGCACGCACCTGTAGTCCCAGCTACTCTGGAGGCTGAGGCAGAAGAATCGCTTGAACCCAGGAAGCAGAGGTTGTAGTGGGCTGAGCTCATGCCATTGCAGTCCAGCCTGGGTGACAGGGTGAGACCCTATCTTAAAAAATAATAATAAAACAAACGAAAAACTGAATATCCTTACCATTTCATAGAAATTGCTCTTACCAAGGTTATCACTGATCTCCCTTAATCACCCCAACCTTCTTAGAGCAATCTTCCACGCTGGCTTCTAGCAGAACAACTTTATGGCCCTGTCCAGCTTCTTCAAGCACTCCTACCTCACCTACTTTGTGACATTCTCTTCTGTTCACCATGTGTCATGGAACAATCACCCTCAGAGCTGTGTCTCAAGTGATCTTTGTAGACCCGACATTTCACAGAAAACCCTGGCTACCTTGATGGCTATTTATATGATGCTAGAAACAAAGACCATAGTGTGGCCCTACCCACACCGGCTGAGGATAGAGATCTATGTCTCAGTACAGTGTTTAAATAGGAGATAAGCCTGCATATCTCTGACTTAATTTGTGAACTAAAATATGAAAAAATATTACATTTACTTGATTTTATTCTGGGGCTCTTAACTTCTTTGAACAAATTCAAACATCCGGAGTCTTCACTTGTACATTTTGACTGAGAATCTAGCTGTCTTGTAAACATATATTTTTATATGTATTGTATTATTAGTGTTAGATTAGGCAGACAGCCACACATGAGCAGGAGAGGGCGACCCCTGAGAAAAGGGAGGTCTGGAAAACTTCATACCCCAGGGACTACCTGAAGTCTGCACGCTGGGTATGAGAGGGAGGAAGGGAAATACCTAGGCAGGAAGGAATGTCCCTTGAGAGGCCCAGTGATCACTCACTCTGCAGGTAACCTGTCAAAATATCGCCAGATGCACGCTGATAAGCGGAAAACGGCAAAGAAGAACTTCCTAGGAGATAACGCTGGTGCAGTTCCTGTCCGATACCCGGCCACGCATGCGCACTGACTGACAGTAAAGGCGGGTCCCACAAGCCTGGGGTGGGGAATAGGCAGGAAAAAGGAGGGGACTTAAGGCCATAACTGTAAAACTAGACAAAGAACAAAGGTGGAGACTTAAGGCAGAGGCGGGAACTTCAAGGAAGCGTTAGTTCCACGTCATCAACACCCGACGCAGAAAACGCAGCGCTCTGGGGGGCTGCGGGCTCACGCCCCTCAGCAGCCCTCTCTGCCTCACCCTTGCAGAGCGCGCTGGGGCTCCCTATTTTCCTTCAATCAATTCTCTTTTTTTGGCTAAATCAGTCGCTTGGCAGAAAGCTTTCTCCAAGTAAGACTAATAACCAAAGACTCCTGCAGTTCCCAGTAACATTTATGTAATAGTTAAAAAAAACAACAACTTATTTCATTTTAAATTCATCAATTAAAGCCTTACTTTGAATATGCCAGTTGACATTGTCTCAAATAATAATAATAAGTCACTTGCAAATAGGTAACGTCAAGGAGATCATTTTAAACAATTAAGGTTGTTATTTGAGAGGCTTGTTTTATGTTTTCTAAGGTTTATCTTATATATACCTGATAAAGAAAAAAGAGAAAAAAGACTATTTTTTTCTCTCAGCATGTGATTTATCCCAGATATCTGTAATTTTTTTTTAAATTAGCATGATAATTTTTTGCATCTCTGGAAACGACAGTTATGAAAAAAATAATATTATTAGAAACGCTAAATTAAAAGTTATTTTCCATATGTACAGAGACAACTTATTACCTTCTGCCTCCGTTTCTACTGTTCTTTTCTACAGTCTCCTTCAAGGTCAGGCCTTCCCTAAAGATTTGCTTCTTTCAGTTTCCCCTTTCTTACAGTCATTCATACATCTCAGAATATTGCATTCAACATCTCCTCATCTAGACCATGGTCCACAGTGCCAATAGAGTCATCTTGCAACCAAAGTTAAACCGTGAAATCCCTCCACTTGAATTTGCTTAGGGACCTCTTCCTCCATTTGACTAAACTCCCAGTGCCGTGCAATGGGGTCACTTCTTGTCTTTCCACGGTCATCCTATGCACTCCTTCACCTCATCGGAGTCTGATTCCTTATCTCATGCTCAGCCTTGTGGCGGGCACGTGACAAGCATCACCTCCTGAATTTCTCATGGCACCGGCGCAAGGTACAGGCTCTTGACAACCCTGTGTTATGTGTCAGGAAACTGAAATTGAAATGAATTATCCATGGCTAAATGCATTATCCATGGCTACCAGCAGGGAAATGGAAAATATTTGAACCCCAGAACTGTTGATCGAGAATTCTTTCAAGTTTTATATTTGGCCTCTTCTCCTTAATTTAGATATTCAGTCCTATTTCCCTGATGCCTACAATGTGCCAAAGTCGCTTATACTTCTTTGCCTTTCGAGTTGCTGTTTTCTTGTCTCAAAACATCCTACTCTTGAGTTCTTTGTGCGGTTAATATTTTGTCATCCTTTAGTTCTCAGCTGAAGTGTCATATTCTCAGGTAGGAATTTTCTACCCACTTTTCCATAAGCAGAATATCCTTAGTTTCTGTCTGCTTTCACAGAGTGCTTACTGCCTATTTTTAAATTTACTACACTCTATAATTATGTTACTGATCTGGTTACTGTCACCTGATATAATTATTTAATGTGCCTGGCTTAGTGTATGTAGTTGTGCAGTAAATATTCATTGAATGAATAAACGTTAAAGGTTATGAAACTGTGACGTAAAAATCTTATGAATAAAAAATGGAAGATGGGAAAAGTCAGAAACAGCTTCATTACATGTGTAAAACACAAACCAATTATGTCCAAAGAAAAGCAAATATTATTTCCACAGAATTAATAATTTAATATTATGTGAAGTCGGGGTCATTGAATACTTGTAAATTGGCAATTGATTCTCGATATATTCCTTTAAAGTTATAATCTTCTTGAAGTTTAAGGGAAGAAAGGTGCTATGAGAGGGCACAATGGATGTTGAATAATAAATTTTTAAAAACACTTTATTCTTAGAAGTTTCACTTTGGTTTATCTTCCTTAGTTAAATTTCCTTTGTAGCAAATGTGTGTACCCTTGATCACACTGAAGAAAATTTGGATGTTGACAGCACATGGAAGCATTGTTTTCAGATATCTTCAACTTAGCAACTTTTGGATGTCAGGCTCCAAAAACATCACAGGAGGGAAAATACCCTGACTTTATTGTTTGATGAAAATTTGTGGATTGTGCAATTATTTTGGGTTTGTATGATTTGCTTTTATTTACTTTATATATTACATACAGTATAAAATGTACACTTTATCTACTTTTTATAAGTCACAATTTTATGGGTTTTGCTTTACTTATAGCGTTTTCCTCAAGCAATTCTTCAGATACTGAGCATCAGAAACCAAGTATTTGGAAACTGAGAAATGTGAGCTGAACAGCTGAGTGAATCAGACAGGGCCCTAATGAAAACATATAAAAACACTGAGATAATTCTCCTCCCAACATGAGTGTAATCCCTTTACCATAGGAAACCTTAGATTAGCCTTTGTTTTCTCTCCAGCACCTATCATAGTGTGACACATGGAGGGTGATAGCATTTTACTGGCTCAGTGAAGAAATAAAATTCCTTACCTAATTTGTTTCCCCTGTACTTAGTATTCCATAGATCTTAAATATAAATACAAATAGAAAATACCCACATATAGCCAGGTGTGGTGGCTCATGCCTGTAATCCCAGCATTTTTGGAGGCGTAGGCGTGTGGATTACTTAAGGTCAGGAGTTCAAGACCAGCCTGGCCAACATGGTGAAACCCCGTCTCTACTAAAAATAAACAAATTAGCCGGGCATGGTGGCGTGTGCCTGTAATCCCAGCTACTCAGGAGGCTGAGGCAGGAGAATCGCTTGAACCCAGGATGCAGAGGTTGCAGTGAGCCCAGATCGTGCCACTGCAATCTAGCCTGGGTGACAGAGTGAGACTCAGCTCACTGCAACACCCGCCTTCTGGGTTCAAGCGATTCTCCTGTCTCAGCCTCCCGAGGAGCTGGAATTACAGGCTCATGCCACTGTGCCCATCTAATTTTTTTTTCTTTTTGTATTTTTAGTACAGACAGGGTTTTACCATGTTGGCCAAGCTGGTCTTGAACTCCTGGCCTCAAGTGATCTGCCTGCCTTGGCTTCCCAAAGTGCTGGGATTACAGGCATGAGCCACTGCACCTGACCTCTTAGTCAAATTTCTGAGGAAATTTCTATCATTTGAAGCTGGGTTTCTAAAATTATGAAACAGCAAAAAAAAAAAAAAAAAAAAAAAAAAAAAAAAAAGTAGAACAGAAGAATACAACTCTTCCTCTCATTAATTCCCAACTTTACTCCATAGAAACAACTGCTGTCAAGCATTGTTTGTGCTCTTCAGAAATTATCTGTATTCTTCTCTCTCACTGTCTCTCTCTGCCCCTCTCTCTCTTCCCTCCTTCCTGGCTTTTTCTTCTCCTCCTCTCCCCATTCTTTCTCTTTATCCTCCTTTTTCTTCTTATTATTCTTCCTCTTTTCCCCTCTCCTAAACATCTTTTGTTTCTAATTTTCTGCATATAAGAAGCCTCCTCATTTGAACGCCTTTATCCACCTTTTAAATTAAAACTGAACTACATTCCAACATATTTGCAGTTGTTCACTTTTCTGTTTTCTCCTTTCTATTTCAAAATTATTTTTCCATTGTTGCTATGATCATACTGACTTCGTTGAACAAATTATTCTGTGTTCTATGCATTTATTTCATAATTTGAGACACACAACTTGAAATATTTATTTTTTTAATTGAGCCAAAACATATATAAGGGATCTTCAAAAAGCTGTTGGAAAATGAATGTTACGAAAACCTATGCATGAATTTTACACTTTTTCAAAATAAACTTGAACTAACTTGTTATGATATATGTGAAAAAGATCTAGATTGAGGCACTAAGAAAAGCAAGGTATCAGTTTAAAAAGAGCCCCTGTCGGAGCAATATGAATTCTGGTAAAACTGAAGCAAAAACTAACATCAAGTTTATAGTAAAACTTTGGTAGAGAAATAGTGAAATCATTGATGGTTTACAACAAGTTTATGGAAACAATGCCCCAAATAAACCAGCCATTTACAAATGGATAACTTGTTATAAGGAGGCATGAAATGTTGCTGAAGTGAAGACTGAAGCAGCAGTCTTCAGTCTTGTGAAGAAAACCTTATTCACTTGTGAGAAAAATCTTAGTTTTGTTTGTACACTAATGAATGGGACAGATGATTAACAGCACAAACAATAGCCAACATCATAGACATCTCAACTGGCTCAGCTTTCACAATTCTTTTAAAAACTAAAGTATGCTCAACTCTTCGCTTGAGTGCCAAAACCACTGTGCCAAGATCCGTTGCAGATGAGGGCAGAACTTTCGATGGAAATTTAAAAGAAGTGAAATCAAGATCCTGAAGCACAGCTTTCAAGAACTGTAACAGGATACGAAGCACGGCTTTACCAGTAAGATCCTGAAGATAAAGCACAATCAAAGCAATGGCTACCCACAGGTGGAAGTGGTCCAGCCAAAGCAAAAGTGGGTGGGTCCAGAGCAGAGGTCATGGCAACAGTTTTTGGGGATGCCCAAGGCATTTTGATTGTTGATTTTCTGGAGGGCCAAAGAATGGTAACATCTGCTTATTATGAGAGTGTTTTAAAAAAGTTAGCCAAAGCTCTTGCAGACAAACATGCCAGAAAGCTTCCCCACAGATTCCTTCTCCACCAAGGTAGTGATTCTGCTCATTCCTCTCATTAAACAAGGGCAATTTGGTGAACGTTTCAGAGGGAAATCATTAGGCATCCATCTTAGAGAACTGACGTGGCTCCTTCTGGGCTCTTTTTGTTTCCTACTCTTAAAAAATATTTAAATGGCACCCATTTTTCTTTAGATGATCATGTAAAAAAGACTGCATTGATTTGGTTAAATTCTCAGGACCCTCATTTCTTTACGAATAGACTAAATAGTGGTATCACAAGATACAAAAGTGTCTTGAGCTTGATGGAGTTTACGTTGATAAATACAGTTTATTTTTAAATACTTTTATCTTTACATTACGTTTTTCATGCATCTTTTGAAATCTCCTCAGATGCATTTTCCAAAGTGACATATTTCTTTCACTGTTTGCTTACAACGTTGCATAAGGTGCAAAGGCTGTTAAATAGCTCAAAATAAGATCTGATGGAGCTTACAAAATGGCAAATACACTTTAAGGTGCTAACAGGAAGTCCAAGAGGGAGTTTGATCTGGGCTTGGCAGAAACTGTGTCCGGAATTGGTGGGCTCTTGGTCTCACTGACTTCAAGAATGAAGCCCCAGACCCTCGCGGTGTGTTACAGTTCTTAAAGGGGGCGGGTCCGGTGAGTGTTACAGTTCTTAACGGCCGCGCGTCCAGAGTCTGTTCCTTCTGATGTTCGGATGTGTTCGGAGTTTCTTCCTTCTGGTGGGTTCGTGGTCTCGCTGGCTCGGGAGTGAAGCTGCAGACGTTTGCGGTGAGTGTTACAGCTCGTAAAGGCCGTGTGGACCCAAAGAGTGAGCAGCAGCAACATTTATTGCAAAGAGTGAAAGAACAAAGCTTCCACAGTGTGGAAGGTGACCCAAGCGGGTTGCCACTGCCGGCCAGTCCCGCGTCGTGCGCGCGCACTCCTCAGTCCTTGGGCGGTCGGCGGGACTGGGCGCCGAGGAGCAGGCAGCCGCGCTCGTGGGGGAGGCTCGGGCTGCGCAGGAGCCCACAGCCGGGAGGGGGCGGGGGAGGCTCAGGCGTGGCGGGCTGCAGGTCGGAGCCCTGCCCTGAGGGGAGGCAGCTCAGGCCCGGCGAGAAATCGAGCACAGCAGCTGCTGGCCCAGGTGCCAAGCCCTTCACTGCCCGGGGCTTGCGGGCCGGCCTGCCGCTCCGAGTGGGGCGCCCACCGAGCCCACGCCCACCGGGAACTCGCGCTGGCTGGGAAACGGCGCGCGCAACCCCGGTTCCCGCCCGCGCCTCTCCCTCCATACCTCCCCGCAAGCCGAGGGAGCCGGCTCCGGCCTTGACCAGCCCAGAAAGGGGCTCCCACAGTGCAGCGACGGGCTGAAGGGATGCTCAAGCGCGGCCAGAATGGGCGCCAAGGCCGAGGAGGCGCGGAGAGCGAGCCAGGCCTGCCAGGCCTGCCAGCACGCTGTCACCTCTCAGAACCACCTCAACAACGTGCATTTTTATTCATGATGCTGGTGACCTACTTATCTATATGATCACTACAACAGTATGGAAAGAGTCTGAGTTTTCAAAATTCCCCGAAGCAATTTCGAATACTGAAGTTATTTTGAATATACATATATAAATTTTACTCACTGTGCAGGAGATTTGTGTCCTCCCCCGAGTTCTGGCCAGGAGACTTCTCACGCTGTTCGAATTGTTACAAAGTTCAGCTAGAGATTTCCTTCTCTCCGTGTAGTTTTACCCTCTGTTCCTCTCCCGTTGGATCCCTGTGGTGCCAGGCAGGAATGGGCTGCCCGGGGACCCATTCAGCTCCCAGGGCCTTGCTGCTGCCTCCTCTATCCCTGTATTTCAGTCAGCTCTCCAGACTGACTCAGCTCCAGGTAAAGTCGGAAACTTCTCCCACAAATAGACTTCTCAGGGGGTGTCTGTTCCGGAGAGGAGGGTTTCCCTTTCCCACTTCGGCAGCTGGACACTCACAGTTTTGGGGGTCTCCCGGGTCCTGCAGGAGCAGCCCACTTCCTTCAGAGGGTCTGTGGGTCCTCTGGGGATTGCTGGTTTGTTTTTGCCGTCCATCTGGAGCTAAAGTTTACAATGCGAGCTCCCACTCGCTGCTCTGTCCAGAGCTGCAGGCTAGTCTTGCCTCCCGTCCGCCATGATCTCTCCTTCCTCTTTTTAATGGACAGAAATACACATCTGTCGGCCACTTGAAGATTTTCTATTGCCCGCTAATGCTCTTTTTATTTTAAAAATTCTCTGATCTGCATTTTATTTGGCATAGTTTCTTTTGCTGTATATTCCCATTCAATAATATATTCCTCTTCAATATCTAATGTTTCACAAATGCTAACCACCATATTTTCATATCAGACTTTTTAGTTTTTACCTCCTGAAATGTGACTTGGGTTTTTTGTTGTATAATTTTTATGTCCGTCTTTTTAAATAAATGAGGAAAAATCATAATAAATATTTTAATTTCCTTTTTGTTGTAAAGCACATCATTGCGAATTTTGGATTAGTTTTGATGGGTCAATTTTTCTTCTCTTTCTGGATTGTATTTCCTGCTTCTTTTCCTGCCTAGTAATCTTTGATTGCATGCCAATCATTGTGATTTTTACTTTGTTGTTTGGTGCATATTTTGGTATTTCTATTAAAATGTTGAGCTTTATTGTAAGATTCACTTAAAGATTGTAATAAGTTTGATCCCCTGGGTATTTCTTTTAACATTTTTAAGGTGTGATCAGAGAAAAAAGAGTCTAGGGATAATTATTTTCCAGTACTGAGCTAAGACTATTTTTTATATTCTACCTAATGCTCCTTAAATTGTTTTCAAATTTGGCTGAAGGGAACAGACACCATTTGCAGCCCTATATAAGTATCATATATTGTGCCCATATATTTCAGATGATTTTTTTTTTTTGGGCTTTTGGAATTTTCTTTACACAAATGTTCTGCTCAATATTCTGCTAAAGATGCCAAAGGATCGCTATGCAGAACTCCAGATTTTTTCTCTCCATGAAGCCCTCCATTACTCTGTCCTGTTAATTTTAGCTGCACTGTTTCCTGCAAACCCTCAGCCTTGCCTGGTTCTGCTTCCCTTTGTCACAGGTTGGAGACTCACTCAAGACAGTTACCTGGGAAAATCATACAGCCCACCTGATTTGTGTGGCAACATAAGGCGACTTATATTGCCTGGTATCAGTGTCTTGAAAAGTTTTATTTCAATTATTTTATAGTACACTATCTTGGCTGATCTGATTTTTGTCTGGGGTGACAGACAAAATTATCCCTCCTTCATAGTCTTTATATACCAAATTTAATATGATTCATGCTACTGACTCATCTCTTGTTTCTAAGGACACCATATTTTATAAGTCATCCCATAACTACTTGTTATAACTACTTGTTTCTAAGGACACCATATTTTATAAATCACCCTGTAACTACCTTGCTCAGGTTCGCTGGAAGTAGCAGAAAAAGTTGAGCTGCTACCCAGAAAAAATAACAACCCAAGGAAATTTAGAATATTATAATGGCCTTTTAGAATTGTTTTATGTTTGCCATAATAGCCAGACCTTTATATTTTCATATTGATCAACAGCAGGTGTAAACTGCTTTCAGAAGACAGCTCTTGACAGTTCAGGCAATATCTGCAGGATTTGACAGCTAAGAGATATCTGCTGCAGGTACTCCAGAGAAGGGCACCAAGTCCTTCAGAAAAGGGGAATTCAGATGGAACATCACAGGTTGTGCCGCGTCATGTCCTGTGAAGAAAGGTTTAGGATTTAGAGATATTGAGCTTCCAGAAGGCACTGCCAAAGGAGTAGGGAACATTTGAGAGTCAGTTTCAAACCTTTGGAGATTTGTCATGTAGCAGAAGGAGTATGTTTTTCTATTAATTAAAAGTTATATCTCAAGTCTTAGGTCTAGGAAATACAATTCTAAACCAAAATGTTCTGCATGTCAGTAATGAAGCTTAGATTCAGGCACCTGGCAAGATCCATTAATGAAATGTGGACCTCCAGCAGGAACGTGGCCTGCAGGATGTCTGAGTCCCCTTGCAAATGTAACATCCCTCTGGCCTTACATTCCCTCAACTCCTGTGCCACATTCTTTCCAGGATCTTGTAAACTTTACATGGCAAATACATAAAGATTTATGTGCATAAATAAAAATGTGCCCACTTGTTAGTTTGCTCACCTGAACTAAGGCAGGTCTGTGTATCTTTTATTGTTCCATGAGCAACATTAAATATTTCTTACCTGTGTTTCTTACCCAATCATTAATACTCTTTTGGTAAACATGTCTGGGAGCAGTGTTGAATCCCCTTGCAATTAAATCTCTCTCAGTGTGGATTCTTTTATTTCCATCTGCTTTGTTTTGACATGTATATTTCCCTTTGGGAGCTATTTTCAGGAAAAACTAGAAAATCCTAGATTAAGAAAAATATTGCATCAACTCCCTCTCTGCAATGGTGCCTGCTTTTCACTCTATATTTCAGGGTAAATTTATAATATGTCTAATGATTTTCATTGGGCTCTGGTACACTTGAAAGAAAGCAGCACTGAGGCATAAATCTAACATGTACGTAATATATTTTTTCTGTATGTAAAGAAGCAAATCTCATCAAAGATCTCGGTTGAATAATAAATGTCCAGTTGTTCTTCATTTGTGTCTAATGAAACAACTGGCGGTGTGTTATACAAGATGACAGGAGTTATCCAGCAAAACCTTAGGTTTCACAGTGTATGTGGGCATATTTTAATACTGAAGGATTCTTGATAATTTACATCGTTTTTTTTTTTTTGAGACGGAGTCTCAATGTCGCCCAGGCTGGAGTGCAGTGGCGCGATCTCGGCTCACTGCAGGCTCCGTCCCCCGGGGTTCACACCATTCTCCTGCCTCAGCCTCCCGAGTAGCTGGGACTACAGGCGCCCGCTACCTTGCCCAGCTAATTTTTTGTATTTTTAGTAGAGACGGGGTTTCACCATGTTAGCCAGGACGGTCTCGATCTCCTGACCTCGTGATCCGCCCGCCTCGGCCTCCCAAAGTGCTGGGATTACACGCGGGAGCCACCGCGCCCGGCCACGTAATTTACATCTTAACCTTTGTGCAACAGAAATATTATTTTGTATGCCTTTATATACATTTTTTCTGCTGAATACTGATGAGTTGTAACTTTGATTCACAAAATGACTTGTTCCTGAAACTGTCAGAAAAAAATAAAGCCAAACTTCTTGTTCGAAAGCAAAGATGACACTCATGTGAATCACCATTAAATTGGCTCATTGGGATAAGAGCCGACATGAGATAAGTTGTGAGGGTTTATGTGAAAATGTACAAGACCTCTTCCCAGAAAAGTAGTAAGTAAAGCTTTCCCAGGTTTTACAAACATATGTGTTTTATAAAAAATTGTAGTATGAAGGCATCTCTTTGGAATACAATCTTCCATTTTCTTCTGCTCCCATAGTTTTTCCAGTAGCAACATATTTTGCATTCATGTTTATTTACTTGTTAGAGGACATATCTGCTAGTTCTTGGGAAAAATGATACTTAAATGTTTATAGTTTCATAACGGAATGCTCTTCCCCATAAAGAAATTCCCTGCAGAATGTAATGCAGATTTCTGTAATATGGGTGGGTCTCATCCAAACAGTTGAAAGTCTTCAAAGCAAATAATGAGGTTCCCCAAAATTAGAGGAAATTCTGCCTTCAGACTGTACTATAGAAATTCTGCCTAAGATTCCAGCCTTCATACTAAAGACTGTCACCTCAACTGTCACCTAAATAAATAGCCAGCCCACTGGCCTGCCCAGTAAACTGAGCCATTTTCTCAAAATATAATAAATATCAATCTCTCCTCTCTCTCTCTGTCTCTCTATATGTCTATGTAAATATATGCAAATATATATACATATATACATATATATACATATATACACATATATACATATATACATATATATACATATATATACACATATATATATATATATGAGTTTTAGACAAACTTTATAATGACTTTTTCATAGAGTGGCTTACCAAATATGTATATTGTGGTTAAAAATTAGCTGGTCCCTATCCAGAAATAATTCAGAGCACAGATGAATGAACTATGATGCTTTTATATGAACAAGAATGACAAAGATAAAAAGTAATATATTATTACCATCAACATTGATATTAAATAAAAATCCATCTTGGTTAAAAAAATTTGCATGACTATATATATATATAGTTTTGTATTCATTCATCTCTTTCTCTCTCCCATTGGTTCAGTTTCTCTGGAGAACCTTGACTAATACAGTGCCTCTTATGTCTGTCCGTGTTCCGGAAGCACTCTGGTCCATGCTTGAACACTTTTCTTCAATCCATACAGCTGCCAAAGGCTGCCAGCATTGACTGGGGCTCAGAGCAAGAAAGAGCCCTCAGCAGTCCCAGGGTTAGGTTTAAAGAACAGAGCTGCTAGCCATCACCGCTTCTCAGACCTTGGCTGCTGCACTCATCCACTTGCCATGGTGTTTTGGAAACTAAGTCCCGAGGAGCATCCATATGCATGACCTGCATGCCCCTATGTGACAATAGCCCTAACTCCTCCTGATGATTTGGGGTGCTTATTACCTCTGCAAGAATAATGTCTTTTATTCTTGCCTGCTGGTCCTTAGCACAAGGTTATAGAGTAAAATTTCAGCTTCTCTATCCTTGAATAAAGTCTTTCCCTTTGAGAATAAGGACCTCCAAACTGCAAGCCCAGGGTTTCAAGAAAAAGAATCACAGCTTTGTCGAGTAGGTCACCGGCAGTAAAAACAGGAGAGGCCACTCCTGCTTCTCGATGTCTTCCTCTTAGAGACTTAGCATCCACCCTGCCGAAGTGTCTACTTCAACCTGGAGAATAATATCTCATTTTTGTAAAGTCTGGTCTCTTGCCAGCTCATCACCTGTGCAAAGGTCATCTCAATGCTGTAATAGGCACCTGTTTTTGTGCTGCTGGAGTCTGTGATAAGAACATTGTATCCCGGAGCACGAGACCCATTTCCCATTTACTTTGCTGTAAAGTGGGTCCTCGTTCTGAGGGGCTGCTCTGTGAGATCTCCTATGATGGATCAAATCCTCAGAGGGCAGTGATGGCCGAGTGCCTGAAGCCATAAAGATCACACATTCAGAATGTGTGCCAATTCCAATCAAGATGAACCACTGCCGATTCTCACATAGAAGGAGACTAATTTAATCAACTTTCTACCACGATAGATTTTTATTTAATATCAATACTGATGGTAATAATATATTACTTTTCATCTTTGTCAGCCTTCTTCATATAAAAGCAGCATAATTCATTCATTTGTGCTCTGAATTACTTCTGTACAGGGACCAGGTAATTTTTAGCCACAATATACATATATGGGAAGCCACTCTATGAAAACGTCTTTATAAAGTTTGTCTAAACCTCTATAGTAACAAATTCAACCCTTTCAAATATGATAAGTGTAAAGAGGGTGAAATCAGAGGCCTCTCTAATGTACAGGTTTATCCCCACAGAGAAATCTAAATACATGACCACAGTTTGAGCTCCTGTCTGAAGAGATTTTTTAAAGGCTGTTTTCTCATTAAAGCTGGGATTTTCATCATGCTGAGTTCAGAGGTATGTTCCTAATGATCACATGTGCATGGTCATCTTCCCTTTGTGCTTTAATAAAATTCGTTATTTAAATACCAATATATCAAAAGGGAGCATTTCACTTTTGCTTTTTGTCGTATAATATATCTAATTTACAATACTCATATCCAAGACCTTCTGTTAAAATTACAAGTATAATAGTGAGTCCATTAGGGCTGAGCTTCATCTCCTAAGGTCTCTCAGGATAAGCATAATAATGGCAGAATTAGAGACACACAGTCCTAATGAAATCTACTGGATAACCCCTGAGCTAGTCTTGCAATGTTTTGACAAAAAGGAATTACTTTCTTTATTTTGCCCGAGGGCTATATTTCCAGCCAAAAAAAGTAAAAAATAAAAGTTACAGAATACATGTTGAATTAAATGTGTAAATGGATGGGAAAGCCTGACTACTAAACAGTCACATAAACTCAAACTGAGATTAATGGCTCAGTTATTGCTGAAATGAAGAATAAAGAGAAGTGTTTCCTTAACGTCTAAATTGCTGCTTTAAATTATCACAAACATGCCAAAACATTATGCTGTTTTAAGAATTATGAATAATTCAGTTTGACTCACAATGATTAAAGATTTGACATAAAAACAGGGAGAGAGAAGTTATATTTGCTTATAAGAAGGTTTTTATTGTAGCAAATGTTATTGTCTGAAATAAAACTGCACACCATGCATGGGCTTTCTAGGAGTTTATTTTTAAAAAGTGTTTGTTTGGGGATGTGGCACACGTGTCTATTGCCTGTCTGCAGCCCTGTTGAGCCAGACCGAAGCAGTCCTCACAGACACAGAGGGAGGGAAGAGCAGAGGTGTGTTTAACTCCATTTGCCCCAGTAGGCATTGCTGTCAGAAAGTTAGGGTCCAGGGGTCTCACCTGCATTACTCCGAGCTCTCTATATTCTGACGGGGAGAAATGTCACACAACTGGAGAATGTCATCCGCTACAGTCTAGGACCTTGCAGCCAGGAGAGAGACTCTGAGCCTGGAATTGATCTCCTAGGAAATGAGTAGAGATGGAAGAGCTCTGAGGAATGCTCTCTGGGACACGTCACCATCTAGAAATTGGAAAAAGGTGTCAAAGCCATGAAAATGCACAAGAAGAAATAGCCGGTGAGAGAAGAAAACCAGGTGTGTGCGTGCTCCTAAGAGCCAAGGCGGGAGGGAGTTTTAGGAAGGGGGAAGCCTCAGAAGTGGTCAATGCTGTTATAATGTTGACGCAAGTTTTGGTGGGAGAAAGACCAACTGACTGTTTGCAATTGGATGGCATGAACCATGGAGATTATTCACGCTCACCACTGGCTAAAATGTGTGATTGCTGTGATGGGGATGAAAGTGTGATTGGAAAAGTTTTGAAGAAAGTGAAAAGTGAGGATGTGGAGACAGAGATAGATAACTCCCGAGGATTTTTGCAGAACGGAGATTTCTGGAGACGGATGAATCCATTGGTGCACATTCCCTCTTGTGTAAGGAAAGGGTTCCCACAGAGAGGAAAACTAAACATACCATAAAAATGAAAGACTTCTAGAACAATCTGAAGCAGGTGACAGAGAGAGCATGAGATCTTGTGGAAAAAAAATTCCCAAAGAGGGATTACTAACAGTTTATTGTGAGAAGAGAGAAGACAATGTGGGTGGATTGTAAGTGTGATGATGAGAACTTAAGAGCGTTCTCTTGTCTGAGTCAACTCAGAAGCAAATTCAACTTCTGAGAGTAAAAAGGAGGAGTCAAATATCCTCATTTTAAAAAGTGTGAATTAATATGAGGAATCGATGAGGCAAAAATAATGAGGATTGCCAGGCAACGCAGGGAGCCAAACACACTCTGTGTTTCCCATGTTTACTCAGCACTTCTCAGTGTGTATGCCCAGAAAACCAAGTGTGGCTTCTGCTCAGATCTAGCCGCAGAATACAGAACTGGAATAAGCTGGATGTCTTTGCATAGATAAATGCAAAAATATTTGCATATTTGCTCACATACATATTATTTTCTATTGGTGAGCTTATTCTATGCATCCTATTTGCAATCTGCTTTGTAGTCACTCAAAAATATATCCTGAACATATTTCTACATAAAGTGAAGAAATAGAGTACAGCATTACTTTAAATGGTTGCAGTGTATTCCACAATATGTCTATAACTAACCTGTTATGTTGGGTAGTTATTTATATTTCCCTTTTCCCATTATCGAAATAAACTATCGGTGAACAGCTTTGTGCATGTATCAGACTTTTTTATATAATCAATATATAAAATTTTTATATGTTTATTATATAAAAGCATGTGTTATTTCATAGTCTACTAAAATTTCAAAAACTATCAATTAGTAATACTACTATTTTTCCTATTTTACAAATTAAGAAACTGAGGCATGAAAGGTTGACTTAACTTGGTCCAGATCACACAGATATTCAGAATTATACTTTGAATCCACAGTAGTCTCTGGAGCCCATGATCCAAACCAGAACTCTCTTTCCTCCAAATTTTATAGTACATTCTCCTATAAGTACACTAGTTCTTCCTGAAATCAGTGTTTTTCAAATATATGCATTCTCTTTACTTATGGTCACATGCATGGCATAGCTACAGAATTCTATTGATTTAGAATCATACTGAAATGAGGGGATGGGAATGCGTATTAACAGAGTTAATATTTCTGCAGAAAAGTGAACCTCTGAGAAAACATAAAGAAACAACTTGGTAAAAGTAATCTGCTAGATAAATAGATCATTTATTTTAGAGCTTTTTCAAAATGTGTTTTATCTCATGTATTTCTAAGGAATTACATTTTTTACCTTTTTATTAATTTAAAAAGTTATAAAAAGCCTTTATCACTACAGTTACTGGTTAGCGTAAATACGGTAGACTTTTACATGCTTGCAATTAAAATAGATTATTTTTGCTCTCAACATATCTATTTAAAGGGTTTTGTACTCTGCTGTTGTCCAAAAAAAATTATTTGTGACAGAATCATATTGAAAGGGTTGATAAAAATCCATTTTGGTTCAGAGTTTAAAACTACCATATATTTGTGTATGGTAAAACGTATTGGCACTCAGAATAACTTGTCTTAGAGAAAAATGGCTGTTGCCCACAAAATCAATCTCTTGTGCAATCAATTTTTTTAATATTATGATTTACTGAAAGCTATGGTGTCCTGACTTCAATACCCACAGCAACTTAAATTTAGTTTCTTGGAGACTTAGACAAACAAAAAGTTCAACTCAATTTAAAGAAAAAGCCCAACTCTGTTTTACTCACAAAGAAAATCTTGCTATGATGGAATGACCTAATGTAATTAAGTATGAAGTAATATAATTACAGGATAGTGTATAGTGTATATATTTGTGTATATGCACACACAGACACACACACACACACTGAAGATGCTTCCTTTCAATGCTGCGTTTTTAGTGTCTAGTCTCATAATGATAAGAGCTAGCTTTAATAAACATCTATGTTTATTAAAACTATAATAAACTGTAAATTAAAACTATAATAAACATCCGTGTTTATTAAAACTATGACTTCTGAAAGTACTTTTCAAAATTAAGATTTTTTCATGGGTATTTTTAAAAGATTAAATTGGTGATGTAAAGTTTCAGGGTGGTTTTTCCTTTCTCAGTTTGAATATTATCAACTGTGATTTTTCTGTGTTTGGAGAGTCCCTTTCTCCTACACGAGGAGACTGAGTTTCTCAAGGGCAAGCTGCTTATTTTCTTCATCTCTCTACTGTGAGCCTATCACCATAGCTGGTTTATAACAGGGGCTCAATGATCTATCAACTAAGTAATTGATTGACAGTTTCTAGAGAACGTCTTCCTTGTTTCCATTTTTGTTGTTGTTGCTGTCAAAACTTTAAATTTTTGTTCTTTTCCATTAACGGCTTGACAATAATGTTTTAAATTATGATCCAATCTTTTCATTTATCAAATTGTTTTTAAAGTCAGGGTGATTATTGCTATTCTTCCATAAAAGGTGAAAGGTCAGACACTATAATTTGTCTTTTAAGAGATAAGGTATTTACCTGATGTCCAATTCAGGTAAAGTGGGTACAGGAGGGGAGGAGAGAGCTTGCATCCAGGATCTTAATGGCCCAGGTTCCAATGCAGGAGTGGAAAGCGTTTGGCAGTTATTACCATGGTGTGTTTCTTGGCAGTTACCCAACTCAATGCCCTATATCCCTCACAAAGCAGCTGTATCTGTGAATCTTTATCCAAATTATAAAAAGAAAGAGGGTGATCCAGGATGCAAAGCCTGTTACATTAGCAAGCAAAGTAAACTAATGATTGGCATTATAAAATTCAAAATGGTGGCAAGAGAAGCCCGGGGGAATTTCCTGAGGCGGAGTTGCTGGTGGTGTTTGGATGTTTACGAAGAGGCTTTCCTTCACCCCTGATATCATGTGTGTGTCAGTTTTCGGGGCTGGGTTATACGTTAGGAACACACACACAAGGAGCAGTCGGGAAAAAATGGACCAAATATTTTCAGGGACTTAGAAATAAGGAAATCAAGTGGTCCGCGGTCCACTTTATTGGTTAACAGACTCAGCCGAAGTGAACAAATTGAGTGAGTTGAATATTTGTGTAGTTAGTAGTTTTCCAGTTTCACTTGGATAATTTGGGAGCAAAATCAGTGTGAAACGCTTCATAACTCCTCCAGAATTTGAGAGGGGTAATTTTTATTCTCTGTGTAAGATAACTGAAGAGTGCCTGACACTTGTAGCTATTCCATCTGTGTTGAAGGTGGAAAATGCATGAACGCCGTGACGAGAATTTTGCGATGCAAACATCAGTCAACAGTCATGTACCAATACCATGGTATTAAGCAGCAATATATATAAGGCTTTATATCACAAATATTAAACACCAGAATCAGTTAGTGGATAACCAGCAGATAACAATACTTATTGGAAGGAGCTGTGATAAACAGACAATAACAACAACAAAACCGCCAAGGATAAAAGCCCTGGCCAGGTGAAGAGCAAAAGTACTCAAGGAATCCAGATGAGAAGACCTACTGAGTGTGTTTGTCCATTAGGATAGCGGATAAGTTACTGACAACCAGTTTTAGTCCATGATGACACTTTATTTTCAAGTTAAATGTCAGGAAAAGAAGGACTGATTGGCTGAACTAAAATTAGGTGCCAACCACTTTTCAAAGGAGGAAGGGCATCTGGAATAGTGACTGTAACAAGATTGCCTACCAAAGGGCAGGGACAACTCCCTAAGGCAAACTCACCTGCTGCAGTGAAAAGCATGAGACCCAGAAACCTGGAGATAAAATGGAGTGACAACCCTTAAAATATCACGATTCCTAACTCTTGGAAAGTTTAATTCAGAAACCATCAAAATGTCCATTTAACAACGAAAAAAAAAAGTAACCATTATTTTGCTAATTCTTAGCATTATTTTATTGTTTTTGGATATTCACATTGAGATGATATATCATAGTTAAATTGCAAAATAACAAGACAAGAAGATCCTAAAATTAGAGAAAAAATAACTGAATAGGACTTAAAAAAACAAACACATGTACTATTGATTTTATACTATATAGTGATATGGTTTGGCTGTGTCCCCACCCAAATCTCACCTTGAATTGTAATAATTGTAATAATCCCCACATGTCAAGGGTGGGACCAGGTGGAGATAATTGAATCGTGGGGGTGGTTTCCCCCCATACTGTTCACGTGATAGTAAGTCTCATGAGATCTGATGATTTTATAAGTGGGAGTTCCACTGCACAGACTCTCTTTACCTGCTGTCATGTAAGATGTGACTTTGCTCCTCATCTTCCTTCTGCCATGATTGTGAGGCCTCCCCAACCACGTGGAACTGTGAGTCCATTAAAACTCTTTGCTTTATAATTACCCAGTCTCGGGTATGTCTTTATTAGCAGTGTGAGAACATACTAATACAGAACAAATTTCCAGAAAATATTTTGCAGAAAACACTTTTTGATCAAATTAGGAGATCCTAATTTTGTGGACACTTTGATCAGTGAAGGACTTCCGGGCTCAGCTGAAATATGTAAAATGCTTGGAGGCTGGTGCTTATTTCCTGGCAACAAGAAACAGCTGGACACATTGAAACCACTGTCTTTTCTTTCATCCATCAGGGAACTTAGAGCACAAAGTGCACAGCCATCATAGAATCTGGAGACAGAGGAGAATCCAGAGTCACAGCCCAGATCTGCTTCCATGGGACCGTTAACTGGTTGGGTCACTTGAATGGCAACTCTGATGAACCAGGAAGACTGGGTATAGATGTGGATGAGTGACAAACTCTTGAAAGTGGCCGTTATGGGGCTTGCACACGTTTCTGGGCTTTACCAGAGAAACACCACAGTACATTTTCATGGTGAAGATCTGAGAACGATTCTCTGCTGCCTCTGGCAAGGGCCAGAGAGAGAAATGAGCTCCGGGCCCCCTCCATTAGGAAGGCCTACTTTCCAGGAGAAGACTGGCCCAGAGCCTTGTCCAGAGCCACGTGGAATGGCATCTTCTCCAGACCATGTCCCCAGCCTTTCTGTCTCACACAAGGGGCAGGGAAAGTGGAAGAAAGCCACACAGGACCCTCAGGCTAAGGTCATCACAGGCCCTCTGAGATAAATAGATTAAACTGGGGTATCATAGCGTGACCCCTCCTCCTCTCCTCACCATCACATAAACAGAGCTCCCTTGCAATCAAAATATATAGCGCGTTTCAGTGAAAAGAGCTGCAGGTCAGACACTCAGAGAGGGCCAGCTCAAGAGCAGAGACACAAACAAGGCCACTAGAGGAGCTTGCAGTTTCTTCAGCAAACACAGAGCAAAGCCTGGCAACTACTCAGATTAACATACCTCTTGATAGTAGAAGCCGATTCTCCTCAGTTCCTATTACCTGATCCGTGAGTTCTTCCAGTAAAAATTGGGCCAAAGCAAAGGACAAGAAAAAATAAAAACAGTCTGAAGAAACGAAACCTCAGAAACAAAGTCAGGTATGACACAGATGTTGGAATTATCAGAAGGGAATTAAAACAACTGGTAAATATGTAAACGTTCTCATGAAATAAGTAAACAACGTGCAAACACAGATGGATAATGTAAGCAGTGTAAAAGGAAAATGAATCTTGGGGTCCCAAAATCACAAAGCCAAAAGGAAAGTCAAGCTGGGAACTGCTTAGGGCAAACCTGCCTCCCATTCTACTCCTAAAAACGATAGCTACTAAGGTGTTTTTGTTTTTGTTTTTGTTTTTGTTTTTGTTTTTAACAAAAGCTACATACTTCCCTCACAATTTGTCCACAAGGAAATCCCTTGTGGACAAAGGACAGACAGATCCAAGTCATCCCTCTGCTCACTGAGATAAATGCATATCTGATTGCTTCCTTTGGAAAGCTTAACCAGAAACTCAAAAGAATGCAACCGTTTTTGTCTTATCTACCTATGACCTGGAAACCCCGTCCCCACCTCGAGTTGCCCGGCCTTGCTGGATGGAGCCAATGTATGGCTTACATACATTGATTGGTGCCTCATGTCTCCTTGAAATGTATGAAAGCAAGCTGTTCCCTGACCACCTGGGGCACATGTCGTCAGGACCTCCTGAGGCTGTGTCACGGATGTGTGTCCTTAACTTTGGCAAAAATAAACGTTCCAAATTGACTGAGACTGTCTCAGGTATTTGGGATTCACAGCAGAGATAACGAACTTCTAAGAAAGGCAGAAAATGCTAGAACATATAAAACAGAAATAAAGAGTACCTTGGACACGCTTATCACTAGACTTCACACATCTGAAGAAAGAATTACTGAGTTTGAAGATGGGTAAAGGGCAAGTTCTCAAAGTGAAATGATGAGTGAAGAAAGAATGGGGAAGGTGTGGGGAATCAGAACAGAATATACCAGAACTCTGGGACAATTTCAGAATGTGTAACGTATACGTAATTGGAACACTAGAAGAAGGAAAAGAGAAAATAGGGCCAAATAAATATTTGAAGTAATACTGATAATTTTTTTATTAATGGAAGGCAGAATCTAAGAGAACTGAAATGAAGACTAGATAATACAATACTAAGAGTTGGAGAATTTAACATGCCTCTTTAAGATGAAGCAGACAGAAAATCAATAAGGACGCAGTTGGAGTAAACAGCATGAACAATTGACCTGATAGCTTGACATTTATAAAATACTCCATCTACAACAGCAGGATACACATGGGTTTCAAGCTCCCATGGAACATTCACCAAGAAAGACCACATTCTGACCCACAAAACACACATGAACAAATTAACAATAATGGCAATTGTACAGAGTAATGTTCTCAGAGGACAATGGAGTTAAATTAGAAATCAGTAACAGGAAGGTAGCTAAAAAATTCCCAAATATTTGGGAATTTAGAAACTTACTTCTAAATAGCATATGGGTAAAAAATGGAAATCTCCAAATAAATTTAAAGATATTTTGAACTAAATGAAAACAAAAAATAAAACCTCGACATCTGTGGGATGCAGAAAAAGCAGTGCTTTTAGAGGACGATTTATAGCATTGGAGAGATGAAAAAAGAAAAATCTATTATTAATAATCTAAGCTTTCACTTTAAAGAATTGGGTAAAAATAAATTTAATATTAAATCAAGCAGAAGAAAAGAAATAAGAAAAAATAATACCAAAATCAATGAAAATGAATACAGAAAAATACTAGAGAAAATCAATAAACAAAACGTTGGTTGTTTGAAAATATTAATGAAGTTGATAAAAACTAACCAGGGTAAAAAATTATAAAAAGAATAAATAAATTAGCTGCATTTCCCTGGGGAGTCTGCCACCTGGAGGTGGGATCATCAATACTAATCATACTGACACAAAACAGATCATTTAAAAAATATTACAAACAACTCATGACCACATAATTGATAATTTAGATGAAATGGACTGATTCTTTGAATTGCACTAACTACCAGATCTTTCCCTGTGTAGTTTCTAATCTGCTGTTAATCTTACTCCGTGGCTTTCAGTTTCAGGTACTATCATTTTTATCTCCGTAGATTGGATTTTAAAATATTTTCCATTTCTTTTGTTTGTTTTCCTTAAACTAATTGCTGATGATATGCTTTTGAGTGTCTGAATTTTCACGTCCTCTAGTGAAGACTGTTGGACTTTGACCTGATGGGGAGTTATGTTTCTTTCTGGACGTGTTAACATTTTAGATGTTGTTAGCTTGGTTCTGAATTAAAGAAGTGTAGCCCTTCTAGAGCTTCTTTGGCTACACAAAGGATCAACGCAGGGCTCCATTCAGGCTGGGGGAAACTCAAATAATTTCAGGCATGGGTGATTTCTGGAAACCATTCATGTCACACCTACCCAACTGGTCTTTGCCGCCACGGAGTTTCACTATACAAGTGTCTGTCTTTATATGCAATAAACATCCAGTGAGACACCTTTGCAGATTTCTGGAGCTTTTTTATCCGCAAAATTCCTTTTGCCCCAGAACTCTGCCTTGCGATCTCTAGCTACCTTAGAGTTCTTGACCTTCAAACTGTCTCCTAAACTTGGTATATTTGCTTTGCTCAGAGTTATTTAATACATCTTCCTCTCTGTCTCTGTTTCACCGTCTGTGCTGTGCTTTCTGGCAGAATGCCAGAGTGAATGCAGAGCTTTCCTGGGGATCACAGCCAGAGTTGTCTATTGACCACCGTCTGAAAATACGTATCTCATATATTTAGTCTCACATAAATATACGTATATATATATTTATGATATATATATCATTATGGCTGGCTAATATAAGTGAAAATAATTGGTTTATAAAGACCAAACTACGTATCATTTTAAAAATATATCACATTTCATAAACATATGAAATTGTTTATATATCATTGTGACTGGCTAAAATAAGTGAAAAAGTTGGTTTATAAAAACAATATATATCAAATTTTTTAAACCTGTGAAATTTGATATATTAAAAATATATATATAAAACATCATAAATATATATGATACATATTTAAAAATATATATCATATTAAATTCAAATTTTAAAATATATTTTATATAATATATGATATATTAAAATATACATATTGAAATACATATATTTTTAAATATATATTATATATGTATTTTTAAGTAGCCTTATTCTGTTTAAATGTAATGTGATTTTTTCCTTCTCAATCTGACTACGAATGCAGGGTGCCAATGAAAGGAGACACACAAAATAATACACTGCTTCTCTTCTAATCAATTTAAATACTCACAGGTTTATCAGTCTTTTGTGTATCCCCAAATTGTCAAATCAGATGGTGTATTTATCAATATGTGTAGTTATCACGTATTGGGACCAGAGCAATGATTAAGAATGTGACATTTTACCTGACTATGGTCAGATGATTTGGTCAGACAACTCTCTGCCAGTCACCATTAAGGTTATTTTTTCAGATGTAGTGTCTTTACGCTTGTACTCTTGGAGTGTACTATACAATACTGGAGCCGACGTGCAAGGGTGAACTGCATGTATTTGCTTACACTGGGAAGAACAACCCAGTTGTTGCTGTTGTTGTGAAGGAAAAACAGCAATGAAAGAAGGACCATGGCCAGGTGCTCTGAGGTGGCACGCAGGAAATCATTCTTCCTAGGGCAGTGTGGGGCGGGGGTTGAGGCTGAGACACTTGCCTCTTGATCCCCCCTCACCTGGTGCAACCACCACCCCACTCATCAAAGAGGTGATGGATCGGGCTCCTTATTCTCTTCTGAAACTCTGCGGAAAATAATTCAAAGAAAATGGCTATTCATTCTGTGGTTTATTTTAAATCAGTGAGAATGGAAGGAATTGCTCAGGAGTATGTGAGTTCCAGAACCAGAAGGCCCATCCCCATGGACATGATGGATTTACCAAGAAAGCTGACAAAGTAATTTTTGAAAGCTCTTGAAAATTAAAAATCTGGAGGTCGAGCAAAATGAATACTGCTCTCAGGATTTTGTTATCACCCCAATTATTAAGTTTTACTCATTGCCATGTCGCTGATTATAGAAGATGGAGGTGCGTCAATTACTGCTCAGCTGGAGTTCACAGCTACGTTACATATTAGAAAGTACAACACATCTGCTTCTACGCTTCCATCTATGTATAATGATACTTTCTATATCTGTGAATTTAAATTTTTAGCATTTTTGATTAAACATTTACAAATTTGATGTTGCATAGCCAGCTCATAAAAGAGCTCTGAGCTCAGATAATGTTCAACATAACAGCTCATGCAGTCAACTGACATAATGCTTAATTGCAAATCTCAAAAAAAGGTAAACATGATTAAATCCAGTGTTTAATAGAATTTTGTTTCTAAATTATTCATAGTATTCTGTTCCTTTAAATAAAACTACACTATTCACATAGATCTTACTATCTAGGTAGAATATGTATGAGTGTGTGTGGATGTGTGGATGTGTTTATGATGTGTATGTGCGGGTGGTACATATGTGGTGTGTGTGGTGTGTATGTGGTTTTGTACTTATGTGTAATGTATGTGGTATGTGTGATTGGTTTGCGTGTGGTGTGCAGTGTGTGTGGTGTGTTTGGTGTACATGTGTGCATTTTGTGTGTATGTGTGTGGTGTGCATGTATGTGTGGTGTGTGTACGTGTTTTAACGTGTGTGTGGTATGTATGTGTTTGGCGTGTAGACGGGCATGTGTTATGTGTGTGTATGTGGTATGTGTGTACAAATAGTAACATTAAAACAGTTTGTAGATCTACCTCTGAAGGTAAAGCAGTAAAGCTCTAGATTTTTTCACAGTGAAATATCTTTATGACTTGAAATAGGGAGATATTTTACAACAGGATTGAAAAGCATTAGCCACAAAGGAAATTATTGATAAATTGGATTTAACTAATATTAATTTCATTGATCAAAATACGTGCTAAGGAAAATTGAAAAAAAAAAAAAAGACACAGGCCAGGTGTGGTGGCTCATGCCTGTAATCCCAGCACTTTGGGAGGCTTAGGCATGGGCATGTGGATCACCTGAGGTCAGGAGTTCGAGACCAGCCTGGCCAACATAGTAAAACCCCATCTCTATTAAAAATACAAATATTAGATGGGTGTGTAACACACACCTGTAATCCCAGCTACTTAGGAGGCTAAGGCAGGAGAATCACTTGAACCTGGGAGGCTGAGGTTGCAGTGAGCTGAGATCCCACCACCGCATTCCAGCCTGGGTGACAGAGCAAGATTCTATCTCAAAAAATAAAATAAAATAAAATAAGAAGACACAGGGAGGTCATAGCTATCTCCAGAATTTATGAAGATCTCCTAGACTCCTGAGTCAATGATAAAATTGATGATTAAATGATGGACGGGCCGGGTGCATTGGCTCACTCCTGTAATCCCAGCACTTTAGGAGGCTGAGGCGGACAGATTGTCTGAGATCAGGAGTTCGAGACCAGCCTGGCCAACATTGTGAAACTCCATCTCTACTCAGACAACAAAAATTAGCTGGGCGTGGTGGCAGGTGCCTGTAATCCCAGCTACTTGGGAGGCTAAGGTGGGAGAATCGCTTGAACCTGGGAGGCAGAGGTTGCAGTGAGCTGAGATTGCGCTACTGCACTCCAGCCTGGGAAACAAAGCAAGACTCTTTCTCAAAAATAAATAATAAATAAATAAGATGAGCAAAATTGTTGAACAGGCAAACAGGCACTTTACAAATGTATAGGATCTACAAATGACCAATTGTCATGAAAAGATATTAAAAATACAAATATTAGTTGGGTGTGGTAGTGCACACCTGTAATCCCCAAATAGCTATCAAGGACTTTTAAATTAACACAATAGATATCACACTACATACACACACAAAGACGGTCTCTCTTTCACACACACACACACACACACACACACACACTTTCACAGAACAGCTGAAATTTGAAAGCTGGAATTATCAAGCATTACTGAGAATGTGAGGTAACTGGAACTCTCATATGCTGTTCTTGGGAAAATGGAGAGATTGGAATACGTTGGACATTAACTTTGTCGATTTTCACTAAAGCTTATTGTTAACTGTGTCCTGTTATTCAACAGGAGGGCTCCTAAGTGTATGCAACAGAAATGTGCACACCCACCCACCAAAATGTATGTAATAAAAGGTTCATAGCAGCATTACTCATAACAGACAAAATCTGAAAACCACCAAACTGTTCCTCAGTGGCGGAATGGATATGCCAATCCTGACCCATTCATGATGATGGCAGGCTATTCAGCAGTCAACAGGTTGAAGCACTGCTCCTCATAGCACAGGGTGACCTCATCAACCCAATGCCCAGTGAAAGAATCCTGAGGAAAAAGAGTGCCTGCTTACTCTGTGATGACATCCTGTGAAATACAAAAGCAGGCAAAAACAATCTATGATCTTAGAAAACCGGTCTATGATCTTGGAGAGCGAAGATCCTGAGAAAGGAAGAAGGGCGTGCATGTAGAGGGAATAGAGCAGCGAGAGCCGGGGTGGTTTGATACAAATGCCTTGTTCTTTGGGGTGGTTATGTGAATGTTTACTTTCTGGTACTTCGATCAAGCTAAGGAACATGGCGTGTATACGTTTTGTAGGAATATTTTATTAAAGATTATGGAAAGAATGAAAAATGCCAAGAAACAGATTAATCTAGCAATCTATTTTTATGGGAACACACACACACACACACGTGCAGGCGATTTGTTGTTTTGGTGTTTGTTGTGTACTCCACCTTACATGATCCATCAACTTGAGAATTAACTTGAATCAACTTGAGAGTTAACTTGAGAATATTTTCTCAGGATTACTTACTATGGTGCTAAAACTCAATACCAAGCCCTCTTCGTTAATCATTATCTGCTTTTATTTTCCTCCTCGATTGAAATTTACATGCAAGAATAGACTGAATAGGATGTCCCAGTCTAAACTAAAGGAAATTAAACTACAGGTACTAGAAATTAAACCACAGTACTAAAAAACTACTAGATTTTTACCCAACAGATCCTATGACTCTTTTGTCTAGTTAGGTAAAACTTAAAATGCATAAAGAATTATTGCAACTTTCTCCGTAGAATCAAATCATTCTGACATATGTTTTCTCACCTACTCCAGCAGGGAGAATATATGTAATTAAATTGTTCACTCCCTTCTACTCAAATTAAAATCTTTCTACTCAATGTGAGACCAGCTGATGTAGAAACAGATTAAACTTAAAATACATGTGTGGGATTTTTTTTTGCTTGTTTTTATAAAACATTTTGAAAAAACATTATAAATACTGTGATAATGTAATAATGGTAAAATACCCCTAATTAATAAATGATACAGTACACTGTATTTAACTTGAGTTTAGGTTAAACAGAAAGAAGGCTTTGTGTGGGTTTAGTTGGCTGTAGGTACACTTTACATACTTCTAAGGAATAAGCTTGGCAAATTCAGTTATATACACACATTCAGCTTCTATGACTCAGAGAAATTCTATGAATTTGAAGTTGTATATTTTACTTTATATTTTACACCCTAACCCATCACTTGAATTTTGAATGATAACCATTTTCTGCTTTATGAATAGCTTTTGCAAACATTAATGCTACAATAAATATTCATGACATGATTCCCTCATTTCAATCTGTCTAAATCATGAATTCTCATTTTCAAAGTGAAATGTTTCCTGTCTTGTAAAAACAAACTTAGTTTTCATTAAACAGTCAAGATCTCAAAGGATGCTGGGCCTTATTTTTTCACATAGTTGGAAGATGGAATGTAAAACTTAGTCAACTTTTTTCTTACCACTTCAACAAACTCATAAATTATATCATTGAGTTTTGAAAGTTGAGAGGGGACAAGATTAAAATGAGACAAAATTAAAACACCAGGGACCTGGGAGTCTATATGATTATCTCCCAAATTTATGAACTTATTGTGGCTATTGTAAATTTAAAAAGAAGTCATGTTGTATATTTTCCTCAATTTATTGCTGCCAGTAGTAGCCCAGTTTATAATCGAACTACCTTGTCAGCAAAGAGGAAAAGAGGAAGCCATTGCCTCTTGTCTTATGAATGATGCTAATGAGTAAACAAGAATGTCATTTCTGTAAAGTAGCCATGTGTAATTCAGAGTGTTTTTCACAGCTTTTCATTCTTTTCAAATATTGAGCTTCGACAAAGCAGTCTTTGGCCTTTATATTTTTTTGTTTCCAATCAAAGATTTTACCTTTCTTCCAAATGAGATTTATGTTGTCTTTTCACGTCTCAACTTTTGTCTCCTGCAGCACTTGTTTATTTACAAAGGACTACCGCCTGGATTTATGGTGACTTCATTTTGATATTTTCTATAAATATGTTTTTCTACGTTTTATTAATATCAATGAAACCTCTCAATTTTCAATTGTAAAACATAATCTATGATAATAATAAATTATTGGTCAGGTACAGTGGCTCATGCCTGTAATCCCATTAATATCAATGAAGCCTCTCAATTTTCAATTCTAAAAAATAATCTATGATAATAATAAATTATTGGTCAAGTATGGTGACTCATGCCTGTAATCCCATTAATATCAATGAAACCTCTCAATTTTCAATTCTAAAAAAAATCTATGGTAATAATAAATTATTGGTCAGGTACAGTGGCTCATGGCTATAATCCCATTAATATCAATAAAGCCTCTCAATTTTCAATTCTAAAAAATAATCTATGATAATAATAAATTATTGGTCAGGTACAGTGGCTCATGCCTGTAATCCCATTAATATCAATGAAATCTGTCAATTTTCAATTCTAAAAAATAATCTATAATAATCATAAATTATTGGTCAGGTATGGCGACTCACGCCTGTAATCCCAGCACTTTGGAAAACCAAGGCAGGAAGGTGGTTTGAGCCCAGGAGTTTGAGACAAGCTTGGGCAACATGGTGAAACCCTATCTCTACAAAAAACACAAAAATAAGCTGGGTGTAGTCATTAGCGCCCATAGTCCCAGCTACTCGGGAAGCTGAGGCAAGAGGATCACTTGAACCCAGGAGGTAGAGGCTGCAGTGAACTGTGATCGTGCCACTGCACTCCAGCCTGGGTGACAGAGAGAGACCCCATCTCTTAAAAAAAAAGAAAGAAAAAAGAAATAGTAAAAATAATAATAAATATTATTTACAGAGAATGTACGTTTTTAGAAAACATTTTCAAATTTGATCCAATTTGTTATTCATAGGAACTCGTGAGTTATGACAAAAAGATATTATGACTCCCATGCAGCGGATGAAGACATTGATGCCCATGAAAGGTAATTATATCCCTAAGGCTGCATAGACTAATAAGAGACAAAGTAAAAACTTTAAGAGTCATCTCTTGCCCTTCACGATTAAAATGTTGGTTAATGCATCTAAAGGTCATTCTTGTACTTATAATCTTGATTTACCTTTGGTCCTACATAATTGTAAGGCTTTGTTTGTAAAGGACAAAGAGAATGAAAAACATCTCTGTAGTCAGCCTAGTCGCTCGGTGTGGGCAAATTTTGATAGCAAGCGGAATCACTTGAATGTGTTCACTGATTTCAATTTTTAATTTTCAATTATCTACTACAGGTCATGAGGGGAAAATAAAATCAGTACACTTTAAAGATTAGTGACCATAATATCTGCTTGAGATACATGATATTGTTTAATTGCATTGCTTTCATGCATGATACATTGAGTTGTCTTAGTTGTCTGTTCCGTTGGCATGAGGTTGAGAAATGTTCTGAACTGTGTCTGTTGCAAACCGAAACATATAAATCCTTGGGCTTTTGAACTGAAATTGGTTTGTTTTAACCTGTTGCTTTCAGATTTCAAGTCTTTAATTTTTTTCCTAATTTAGTTATTACTCATTCATAAAGCTACTATCATAGAAAACCAACATATAAATGTTTTGCTTAGCATGTATGGTTGTTCTAAAGTAGGATTTAACTTGTTAGAATATGTTGTTAGCGTATCAGGCAAGCATTCCTTGTTCTAGAGAAGAAAAATCACATAGTTAAAAAACCTACACTTTAAATTGAAGAATTCAAATATATTACCATATGTTTTTGGCTTTTTATTGAATAGCGGATTCAAAAATTACTTAATTGTTTAAAACTATTGTGACGTTGCAAATAGCAAAAATACGCTTTCTCTAGTCAAGAAAATTTACAAAAAGAATAAAGAGAAACTGAAAACAAAAGGTAATATGCTTTTCAAAATCTTGCTTACAGAATTTTATTTGAGTGGACATCTGAAATGTAAAAGGTATTCTCATATAATTGCATAAGTTTTGCATACATTTACTGAGATAAATTATGTAACATAATTGAATAACTTTATGGCTAATTAATATGTTTTCGATAAGAGGAAAACATCTAGACTTAATTTTTTTAAAATTTTTATGGAAGATATAAGACAGATGTGATTAGTGATTACTACATTTAACTACAAATGACAGCATGAATAAATAAAGAGCAAGGCCAGGTGCAGTGGCTCACACATGTAATCCCAGAAGTTTGGGAGGCTGAGGTGGAAAGGCAGCATGGGCCCAGGGGGTTGAGAACAGCCTGAGCAACAAATCAAGGCCCTATCTCTAAAAATAAATAATAAATAAATAAATGTGTATGGTGGTGCACAGCTGTAGTCCAAGCTACGAAAGAGGCTGAGTCAGGAGGATCACTTGAACCCAGCCCATCTCTAAAAATAAATAATAAATAAATAAATGGGTATGGTGTTGTACACCTGCACCTGTAGTCTAAGCTACTAAAGACGCTGAGTCAGGAGGATCGCTTGAGCCCAGGAGGTTGAGGCTGCAGTGAGCCATGACTGCACCACTGCATTCTAGCCTAGGTGACAGAATGAGACCTTATCCAAAAAAAAAAAAAACAGAAAAAAGAAAAGAAAAGAAGTAAAGAAAGGAAAAAAAGAGAGAGAGAAAAAAAACCACTGACATGACCAGATAATTTTAATGACTTTAAAAAAGTAAAGTTCTGCATTATTGTTCTCTTTCCAAAGTATCCAAAGTTCAAATAGAACCTCTACCCTGTTCAATCATTCAGATAGGTCTTTGATGATAGAAAATGTGACTTTACTGAAATGAATTGAAGAGAGTTTAAATTAAACTTATGTATTGGCATTGTGCAATTTTTTAATTGTTTCCTCACTCACAAATTTAAAAATGATGAATTTTTTTACTAACCATAATTTTAGGGAAAACGGAACTTAAAAAATAATTCTAGAAGTAGGGTGGTGAACTCTCATTGTACAGTGAATTGTGCAGACTCTCTGTATATTATTCAGGGTTCTCCAGAGAAACAGAACATATGCATATATATATATATATATATTATATATATAATATATATATACATACATACACATACACATATTTATTTATTATATATTATGTGTGTGTGTAAAATACAGGTGCATATATATATATGCACATTAGGAGATATATGGATTTACAAATAGATGAGATAGAGATACAGATAGAGAGACAGAGAGATTAATTATAAGGAATTGGCTCACAGGATTATGGAAACAGACAGATCTCAAGATGTGCAATCCACAAGCTGGAGACCCAGGAAAACTGACGCTGTAGTTTTCATCTGAGTCCGAAGGGCTGAGAACCAGGACGTCTGAGGGTGTAAATTCCCGTTCCAATGCCAGCATTCTTGAAACCCAGAAAAAGCCAGTGGGTCAGTTTGAATCAGCAGGTAGAACATAACCTGCATCCCAGCTTATGGCGCTCAGGCCGGAGGAGTTCCCGCTAGCTCCTGGGAGGGCCGTCCTTTTGTTCTATTCAAGTCTCTAGTTGGTGGCATGAGGCCGAGCCAGCATGGGTAGGGCACTCCGCTGGCTCTGTCTCAGGATCCACGTGTTCATCTCATGCAGAAACACCCTTATAGCCAAGCTAAATGTGTAGCCACATGCCTGGGCACCCCATACCCCAGTCAAGTTAACACATAAGATTATTGATTACATTCTGCAACTTAGAACTGGTGTTTGATTTCCAGTTTTAGGTAACATCGTAGCCACTGCTACAGCTTGACACCCCATACCCCAGTCAAGTTGACACGTAAGATTATCCATTACATTCTGCAACTTAGAACTTGTGTTTGATTTCCAGTTTCAGGGCTATGTGTAACATCGTAGCTGCTGCTACAATGCGTTCATTAAAATAAAGATTTAAAGGTGGCTGCTCCAAGTGTGGGAATATTGGTATCCTGAAATTCCTGGGAGTTTCCTTGAGAATGTTTTCACCATAGAAGCTGCATGATAGATAATTTTAGGAAAATTCTCAACTTATACGTTAAGCATATGTTTCAGCCACATATATGTAACAACAAATGGGTGCCCGAGAGGCCTTTGGTTGTGACAATTCATTCCTCATTGCTTTCACAGGCTGAGGATTCCCTGTCACTTTTTTCCTTTGTCTCCTTGGATGAATGCCTACTAAATTCAGTTAAGAGTTTCTTTCACCTCCTCCACCCCCGACCAGTCCCTTTTCTAACCGTGTTCTAAAGAATATTCATGGCAATGGCCAGGGACAGAGGGATGGTCAAGTTGGCATCAAAAACTTTCCCTTCCTTGTTCTCCACAGGGCTCCAGGTTTCCACGGTGCTTTCAAGACCGCATTTAAAACCGACTCTTGGGTTCGAAATGGCTGGAGAGACTGAATTAGGCTTACAGTTGAAATGTAGAGGGATGTGATTTTAATCTTTTGGGTACCAAGGGCTGTTATTATCAGTGAGTAATAATTATGTTGAGAGTGTCTAAGCAAAAATAGAGGATATATGCATGTAACAGAGAGGAATGAGTAAGAAAAAGCATTTTGCCCGTTTGTCTGTCATTGTTAATTCATTAAGTGGATATAGCAGTGATCTAATTTTATGTCAAACTACGTGTATAATATATACTAATTGTGTTAAAATTCATGTTTTAGAAAATCCTGAAAAATCTGACGCTTGTTTCAGAAACAGATTTATATTTATTTATTTATTTATGTTTTCTTTTGAACCCTGGACCAAAGTTAGAAACGAAATTTATTTTAAAGCAGTAGATGGTGGTGGTCAAAATAGTAATGAATAGTGATCAGCACCCAAGATTTTCAAAATTATGTCAAACACAGTGTCCAAGCAGTAATATGGGATTTAAAAAAATACATTTATGGGGGATGAAATGAGCATAAGGACTTGGTCATCCACACATAACTACTCCACTGAGTAAGAAGTTCCGTCTCTCCCACGGCTGGTTTGTCCCCACTTCCGGACCTGTCTTCTTTCTCTGTTGCAGTTGGCAAGGTGGAAGGTTTAAGGAGGAAAGACTTACACAATATTGTTGTCATGCAACAGAGCCCGTGCATGTAAATGTATTATGTGCAGAAAACAAACCCGCTTGTGATTGCGATGGGGACTGTTTCCATAAACTTTTTTTTTTTTTTACAAGAAAGGAAAGTCTATTGAATTTTAAAGAGCCAGAAAACTGCCGGATGTGCTGACAGCTAGAGGTGTCTTGGGTACAAAACACGTCAAATGAGCCTTCCCTGCATTCACTCTAATATCCTTCATCCAAAAGCAGGTCTTTCTTCTTAAAGTTCAGTTTTCATTATGACATAGAGATGCATCTTGGTAACAAACAGTTAGCGTACGTAATCTTATTAATCTTACTGTGTCCGTCAGTTGCATTTTTAAAATAGTGGTAGGCGTATCTGCAAACGTACACCCAACGTCTCTGAGAAGGATATGGGCTCATCCAGTCTTCATCACGAGATCCACATACATCTCTTCATCTGAGTACTATCACACAGAAAAGACTGACGGCTTGTGACAATTGTACAACATTGCTCTTTACCCGTACATAGCTAAGCAATGTTGATATCCATGTTAGTAAGGACTCAACATTCATTTTCAGGTGTCGTTTCACTTTTGATTCATTTTCTCTCTGTGTTTATTTATTTATTTATTTAGAGTCTTGTTCTGTTCATTCATTCACTTTTTAAAACTAAATTATAAGAAAAAAGTGTATATATCGGAAATGAGAAATATAAAATAAATATCATTACTACTGAGAAAATTGTACTGTAATTGAGGAGGGAGAAGTTGTTTGTTTCCCTTTGATCTCCCCCAGCACTTAGCAAAAAGCCTTTTACAGAAAAATGAAGATAAACATTAATAAACAGGTTGATCAGTTAAATGGTTTAATGAAACAAATTAGTACATCTATGGAACTCTTTTTCCATCCGTGTTTGCTAAATCAGAGGAATGACTAATTACAGAGTGCTCAGGCTAATTAAGAGGGGACTGGTAATGTCCTAGGAGAACTGCAGATAAGGTTAAAATCATGTCCAACATAAACTTCTGTTCCCTTCCTATAAGCAAAGAGATTAAATGTGTTTGGGTTCTCAAAAATCCCAGGCTCACATCTTTACATTTCTGTGGACAACCAAAAAGGGAAGCAATCAAGGGTAATAGATACTGTGTAAACTGGGTTAAAAAATCCGTACAGTGCTAGGGATGTAATAAAGATGGTCTTTCATTCTGTGAAAATATAATGAACTTCCTCAAGGCAAATTACATAATATCATAGAACTCAATGTTTCTGCTACTATCGGGTAAGGTGACCATACACAGTCGGGAGGCTGTGGTTGCATGCGAGGTGTATGCTTCGTTCCTCAGGGTTATTGCTGCTTCCCTCATCTCAGCTGAGCAGAAATATTACCTAGCTAAAAAAGACACTCTGGGCTCAAACAGATGTGAAAAACACAGCAAAACTAGGACGTGATGCTCATCTTTCTTTTCTTTCCTTTCTCCTTTGGAGTGACACATAAACCAAGCAGTCAACATTTTTTTTTTTTTGGTGTGTTTATTCAAGTAAGCAAAGCCTTTTTCGTATGAGAAATGAGAAATGAGAAATGTGCCTGCTTCTCATGACTGATAGAAACAATTCCGCATGTAGTCATAAGAGCCCCAGTTCAAGGACGTGCCTATTTTAGTACAGGCCTTTGCAGAACGAGAGATAAATGACCCACTCAGAACAAGAACTCAGGACCAGAAAAAAAAAAACCTAGGCAGAACCAAAATTGAAATTACATTATTAGGGCCAGGCATGGTGGCTCACATGTGTAATCCCAGCACTTTGAGAGGCCAAGGTGGGTGAATCACTTGAGGTCAGGAGTTCGAGACCAGCCTGGCCAACATGGTGAAACCCTATCTCTACCAAAAATACAAAAATTAGCTGAGCGTGGTGGTGCATGACTGTAATCCCAGCTACTCGGGAGGCTGAGGCACAAGAATAGCTTGAACCTGGGAGATGGTGGTTGCAGTGAGGTGGAATTGTACCACGGCACTCCAGCCTGGGCAACAGAGTGAAAGTCCACCTCAGAAAGAAAGAAAAAATTATTAGATAAGGCTATTACTACTTCTGCATTTTCTTTGATATAGAAATTTATATCAGAACCCTACTAAGCCATATTCAACAATTTATACTCAAGATCCATGTATTAAAGCACTTCATGCACTTATTTTAATAGATAGTTTAATTGCTCTTGCTTGAAAATTTGAAACTCAGTGGAGCAATCACTTTTACCATTGTATCTTCTGTACTTCCTCTAAGACGTAGGAGGAATTTGGTAAATATTTACTAAATTACTGTGGACCTCCCTTCACACATCAATTCATGCCACCTATCTCTCAGAGTTCAGTGATAGTTCAATGGCAAAATGTATATAAAAATGTCAGCCCAGGGTACCGCACATAGAAGGTCATTTTGCACAGGAAAGCTCATGGAATCTGAAGTTAAGTGTCAGGTATGATAGGATAGAGGATGTCAGATAAATGCACGGGGCCCTCTCCTCGATCTGCCACGAATTAGCTCCAAGGAACTTTTTATGCATTGCTGGAGCTGTTTGTCTTCCGTTCCGCATATCTGAAACACGTTGGCTGTTTGTGAAGAAGAGCAAGGTAGCCTGTGTGAAAGCTCAGAGAGCAGCAGGACAGCCTCCACGAGGCGCAGCCTCGTCATTTAAAGCATGTGGGAAATTAGCACATGTTCCTTCTCCAACTTTAGAAGTCTCTTCTCGGTGACTTCTAAGAGCAGCACTTATTTGATGCAAGGAAAAGGGACTTAGTCCTCATGGGATATTAAGTATTCATGCCAGGCACACTTTCTCATGCAAGTCAGTTAAAATCTTTGCTGCTTATTATCTCGTTGACTTCAAAATGACTACATTTCTTTATGCGTTCATCGTACATGTCAATGCATGTTTGCTTTTTCATAAGAAAAGTCTTCTTTTGTCAAGGAAGGTATATTTGTCATGTTTCATTGAATGTTTCCTTCCATGAATAAAATATTACTTTGTTCTCATTTAAACTGAAGAAATGGCTTCAGGGAAGTTGTATCAAAGCAAGTGAGAGAACCTGACACTTGAAAGACAAGTTCTAACTAGGACAAAAGTGTATTATATATTATGAGAAAGGGGTGGGAGATCAATCCAAGACATTCTCCAGGAAACAGCATGCACATCATTCTGGGATGGGAAGCAGCAGAACTCGTTCAGGAAACCAGGAAAAGTTGTGTAATGAGGGCAAAGAGTAGCAGATCCTCATGAGACTAGGAAGGGATGGAGTAGACTTCGGCGTCGAAGGACATCTTAAACATTTTAGTATTAATTTTGTGATCAGTCAGAGTGAACGAAGGATAAAAGAAAGGAAAAGTAACATAAGATTTTCATTTTGTAAAGAGAATTGGCCGACATAGAGCAGAGCAAGAGTGACCTGGAAACTTAGTCCCAGGGTTATGCTGTCATCCTGCAGAGACAGACGTGCTTAGTAGTTTGCTGATTAGGTTGTGAAAATGGAGAGAAAAGAATGCATTACAAATTTAGAAGAATCAATGGAAAGTCACTGGTAATGAATCAGGTATTGTGATGGGCGCAAAGGAGGATGACTTTTTGCGGCTGATAGCCAGGATCTGGTCTGCATGGAAACGACTCAATAAAACAGTTAACCCTGCGGAAGACCAAATGGGGAGGGAAATCCAAGAGCTTGGTTAGGGACACAGCGCATCAGAGTTAAAATCTGTCATTGACAAGCTACTGCAGCGAATGGATTTGCTTTTCCTAATTCAGTTTGAGTTATGTGTTCTCGGTACTATTTCTGTGTAACATACCTCCCCAAAATTAGTGGCATGAAGCAGCAACCTTTTGGTTATGCCAGGGACCATGGGGGTCAGGAATTTCAAAAGGGCCCAGCGGAGTGGCTTCTTTCTGCCCACAATGTCTAGGGTTTGCAGTGGGAAGACCCCAAGGCTGGAGCTGGCCTCATCCACAGGCTGGTGCATGCCTATGTCTGGCACTTGGGCTGGAGGCATGGAAGGAACACTTTTCAGCCTTTACACTCAGCCCTGCTCCCTCACACTGCAATGCTCTCAGGGCCTGGGTGCTACGACTCCTGAGAACAGGTAGCAGGTGTGTCACCTTCTCAAAAATAATGTCAACAGTCATGCAGTCCACACTTTACTCATTTCAGGAGATTCACAAGCCTCCCTCCCAGATTCAGGGAAGGAGATGCAGCCCCCACCCCTTGACTGGAGGAGGACCAAGGTCACCTTGCAGAGCACCGTGAGATGTGGAAGATGCCAGAACTGTCTGTGGGAAATGGGATTTGTACTTGGCTTGTCTGCCTCTTGCAACCAGAGTCCTGGTTCTCAGGGCCTCACCTGTGCATCTCTTGTTGAGCACAGAGGAGGCACTCGGCATAAATGAAGAGGATGCTTGCTGAGCTGGCTGGCCCATCCTCTCTTCTTTCCCTTGTTTTTCTATTTTATCTTTCAAAGCAGTGTTTCAAGTGTTTATAAACTAATCTATGTATAAAATATTATGTGGCATAAGATTTGCAAAATATTAAAGATTTAAAGAATCAAATAAAATATTTGTATGATACCACAGTCCAGAGGCAGCCACTGTTAATGATTTCATATCAGATGCTTGAGAAAAACCATCCCAGACTTCCTCTAATCAGTTTCCTTAAGTGGGATATTTAACTATATAACCCGAATAACAATATATTTTTTATTTCCTCTTTTAGCACTATGTATTCATTCATATCATTAAAAGCTTTTTATGAATTTTAAAATAATACTTGGCCAAAAACATAAAACACTGTTTTTAACATAGAATCAAGATCTAGATAGAAAATAAAGATGTGAATAGTTGAATACAGATAAAAGCATGAAACATTTGATTTGTAGAGGAGAGAGGTGTCCACTTTAGGTGGTTTGGAAAAGAGATCATGGAGAGAATGGGAATTACACTTGCTTCCTTTCACATGGATACAAAGAAATTGTCACGCTGCTTCTACATGCCTGCGGTGGATTGTGGCTATGTGAAGTAAGCCATTGAATTATTTCTATTTCTCTAACTTAATACCCACATTTAGTGCCTTTATTTTCAGAATGGAGCTGGAAAGTGAACATGTACAAGTTATTAAAAGTCACTCTTAATAATGCAATAGTTTCGGGAGCCCAAGATATTCAGTGGATGTGCTTTTGTTACATGTGAATAGTCTTCTGGGTTTTACCCTGAATGTAGTACAGAAACAATCTCTGAGTTGTAAAGTTGTTGAAGCCCACATAGCCTCAAGGTGAAATCTGGTGGATGCTGTCAGGGGTGTATTTTTCATCTTGCTGTAAAAAACAAACATTACATTTTTCAAATCCTTAGGAAATACATTAAATTAAAAATACATTTCTAAATACAAAGGAAGGAAAGAGTTCTTGATCTTCCACAGGAAGTTGCTTTTGAGAAATAAGGGGAATTTCTTTTCACTCAAAGAAGATAAACTATTTTCTTAGAAAAAAGAAGGAGTATTCATTTTAGGTAAGTGAAATATTTCTCATACTATTTAATGACATACTAAAAACAAGGAGACAGAGTAATTTAATGATTTTAATGTATATGGTTGTTATGAATTGAACTGTGTCCCCACCACACAATTCAGATGCTGAAATCCTAATCTCTAGTACTCCAGAATATGACCTCACTTGGAAATAGAGTTGTTTCCAATATAATTAGTTAAGATGAGGTCATATTGGAGCAGGGTGGGCCCCTGACGACTGCTGTCATTTTGAAAAAGAAAGTTTGGAGAGACATGTGTATACAGAGAGAATGGCACCTGAAGAAGAAGGCAGAGGTTGGCCATTTACAAGCCCAGGGACGCCAAAGATCACCAAAAATCCCAGTAGTTCGGAGAAAAACCTGCATTCTTCCTCACAGCCTACTCTGTTGACACCTTGATCTTTCAGTCTCCAGGACTGTAAGAGAATACAGTTCTGTGATTTAAGACACTCAGTTTAGCGACTTCCACAAGAGCCCTAGCAAACTAATACACTAGTCAGCTGTAATTTTATTTTGTTTTTTTCCTAAATGTCTTTTCCTTGATAAGAATCAGCTATCTTATAGAGAAAAGTGCACTATTAAAATCGTATTCCAGAGTGGAGAAAATGGAAACATAATTAAGGGATTTAGGAACTTGGGACTGAAGAGAGACAACCTGGGCCAGATGAGTCTTGATGTTGGGTTTTCAAAAAATGTCCCTACTGTGAACATTTTCCAAGTAAGAGGCAGCAGTGTCAATGGTAAGAGAAACACAGAAGATTTAGGGATATAATTCCCTTCAATCTAGTCTTGGGCAATTTGTCCTGTTCCTCACTCCTTCTCAGCCTCTGCATCTTTTCTTGGGAGGATTAGAGTGAATTACTTGCTATCATTAGGCAAAACCACTCTGTGAAAATCACAGGAAGAGAACTGAGTGAGACTTTTGGTAAGGAGCATAATTCCCAATATTTTTTCTTTTCTTTTCTTTTTTTTTTTTGAGACAGAGTTTTACTCTTGTTGCCCAGGCTGGAGTACAATGGCATGATCTCGGCTCACCACAACCTCCGCTTCCAGGGTTCAAGCAATTCTCCTGCCTCTGCCTCCCAAGTAGCTGGGATTACAGGAACTCGTCACCACGCCTGTCTAATTTTTTGTATGTTTTTAGTAGAGACGGGGTTTCCCTATGTTGGTCAGGCTGGTCTCGAACTCCCTACCTCAGGTGATCTGCCTGCCTCAGCCTCCCAAAGTGCTGGGATTACGGGCATGAGCCACCGTGCCTGGCCAATTCCCAAGTGAATTGTTTTGATTGAGAGTATAAATGAGTGTTCGTAGGATCCACTTTTTTTTTTTAGAAAGCCTCTTTTATTTGGAAGAATATCTGTAATCTGTCAAATCCTGAGCAGGGTAATCCCACACCACAACCCAACTCTTAGTGGTGCCAGCTACTGTACAGCCAGCCTCC
Organism: Homo sapiens; assembly: GCF_000001405.40. Taxonomy (NCBI): domain Eukaryota; kingdom Metazoa; phylum Chordata; class Mammalia; order Primates; family Hominidae; genus Homo; species Homo sapiens. The sequence goes on along the minus strand of NC_000008.11, from coordinate 2,694,162 downwards.
TTTTCTCCCAGGGCTCTGCGTTTACCCTTCGGGAAAACCCCACAGACGGTGCCCATTATCACTGCCCCTGTTCCTCCGTAACTGTCCCTTTTCTCCCAGGTAATCTCAAGTATTTATTTGTAGACTTCATGCAACAAAGTCAATCTGGTCTTGCTCCTATGCCTTCAATGACACAGAATTTGATAACCTAGGAATTTACAGCCTAAAGGTATTTGAAACTGACCTCAAACACTTTCCATCTCTGCTTAAAGCAGAAAATCAACCAGAATAGGCAATCATTACGTTGTCCGCAGTCCCAGGTGTGAGTACAGAAAGAATAAATTACAGCCGGGCTCTGGGGTGCACACGTGTAGTCCCAGCTGCTCTGGAGGCTGAGAAGGGAGGACCTCTTCAGTCCAGGAGTTGAAGGCTGTGGTGATCTATGATCCTGCTTGTGAATAGCCACTGCACTCCAACCTGGGCAACATAATGAGACCCCCTTCTCTAAAAATAATAAATAATTTTTAAAAGAAATAATGAATTACTAAATGCTATGTAGTACTAACTGTGATTAAAGGTATCTCTTAGTACAGAGCAAATTACGTGGGTGATTGGGAAGCCATTGAGACCAAACAATAACTAAAGAAAAATAATAATGATAATATTAATTATAACATAACCTGGCACGGTGGCTCACGCCTGTAATCCTAGCACTTTGGGAGGCTGAGGCTGGTGGTTCACTTGAGGCCGGGAGGTCTAGACCAGCCTGGCCAACATGGTGAAACCCCGTCTCTATTAAAAATACAAAAATTAGCTGGTGCATGTGTGCCTGTCTTCCCAGCTACTTGGGAGGCTGAGGCAGGAGAATCGCTTGAACCTAGGAGGCTGAGGTTGCAGTGAGCCAAGATTGTGCCACTGCACTCCAGCCTGGGTGACGGAGTCAGACTCTGTCTCAAAATAATAATAATAACAACAACAATAATAAAATACAGTAACTCTCAGTACTTAGCCCATATATCTACAGGGTGAGTTTTTAATGTCAACAACCTTTAAGGTAATTTGGGAGCATCCCAATGTAGAATCATGGAAATATTATTCATGGAATTTAGTTATTTTAAAAATGATTAAGCTTAATCGTTGGCCAAATTTCATCATTAAACAACCAGCTTTTAGGGATTTTACTCCTTACTGATGTTTTGATTTGCACAGTATTATAAAAGAGTCAGACAAATCTTTATTAAATGTAGTATTATAAAAGAGCCAGATAAGTCTTTATTAAAAAATAGTTTTTCCAAACACATCCTTACTTTCTTCCTGCCTGAAACCCAGGTGAAATTTACTGGAGCCCAGTAAATTCTAGCACTGTCTAACAAACTTAATTTAGGTCCCTGTTTACTTTTTAGCTAAACACTAATTAAACTACACTAATTAATGATGATGCATGTAAAAAATTAGTTTTTTTTTCTTAACGGGAAATGTGAACACTGAAAAAAGTAGTTCAAATATTTAAGGGCTGCAATTTCTTTATAGTAAGAATAGCCTTAGATTCACTATATAAATATTTTATTATGTTGAGTATTATTAAAGCAAAACAAAAACTACAGCTTTCCACTGTAAAGGAATATGTGGGGCAATGCATAGCACAAGTAACACAGGAGTACTCCTAAGCATAAGGAGAATGGAGAAGAAAATGAAAATCCAAGCTCGTAAGGTCCAGTCAGCACCATCACCAGTGCTGTGTGCCAAGCATCACCTCGGTCCACTCCTGTATACATCAATAATAAATCACAAAATTTCTCCCAAGGATTGGCTGACCTTTTCAAGGACCAGATCAATTTTCTATGAAATAAAGGTGCAATGCAAGGAGAGCTCTGAGATAAAATAAATAAAATCATTTATTTGGAGGTCATTTTCATGCTAGTGAAGGGAAATGGGAATGTGAGAAATTTCTATTAAATACTCGAGTTTCAATCCTATTTCAATGCATTTTAGAAAACTGCAATTGCCCGTCTCCAGAGGAGGTCCACACGGGCATTAGCGGTTCCCATCAAAGCTACTGGGATGTCAACAGGGTAGGAATTGTTAGAGCTGCCAGGGAAGCAAGCATTATACTAACTGTGTTTAGAGATTAGGTCTGCTAACAGAAGAGCAAGAGAAAGGAAGTATTAGGGTTAGTATCCAGTGTGTTTCCAGCAAGTCATTTGCATTTTCCCAGGGGTTAATTCTGTGAAGTCCAGTTTGATGTAACACAGCTTCGTTCCACCGTGGTGCTCTGTCAGCCCCTGCTTCTTGTTCCTGTCTTCACGGTCACGGCTGCGCGGCTGCCATCTAAATTCCTGCATGTGGGAAAGGGAGGAAACCAAAATGCCCAGAAGAGCCCACGCCCCACGTGGAAAGACAACCTCTGGAGGGAGCGCCACTCAGTTCCCCTTGGCTATGACGTAGGCGCGTGGCCACGGTGAACTGCAAGGACATCTGGAATTCCATCATGAGGGTTCAAGTGGAGAAAAACCTAAGGAATAAGCAGCCATCTGTGAAACACTCCTTATAAACTGTGTGTAGCTTCATTTTCACACGTGGAGCACATTCATTCCCTCTCGAGGGCGACTACATTAAACTCCATCCTCTCACATCATCACCCCAAGATCTAAGATCCCTGGGGGTGGCTGCGTCCTCTGGGTCATGCTTGGATGCCTGTGGTCTGCTACAAACACACATTGCTGGGCAAGATGCCTGTCCACCAAGTGCCCAGCGCACATTGATGGGTCGTGAAAAGTGGACACCGTTAACTGTGTTTCAGAAAGAGGGTGGGGATTGGAAGCACGCAACAGTCTGTGCTCCACAACGATAATCAGATATTGCTGAGCAGGCTTGGTGAAGATTCTCCGCCCTGGCGATGGTCACGGGAGAAGGTTCTCTGACTTTTCTTTCTTCTTTTCTTTCTTTTTTTTTTTTTTTTTTTTTTTTGAGACGGAGCCTCTCTCCATCGTCCAGGCTGGAATGATGCAGTGGCGCGATCTCAGCTCGCTGCAAGCTCCGCCTCCCAGGTTCACGCCATTCTCCTGCCTCAGCCTCAGGAGTAGCTGGGACTACAGGTGCCCGCCACCACGCCCGGCTAATTTTTTGTCCCTCTCCAGTGTGCTTCATGGAACATGACTCTGCTTCCTTGGAGGTTATTTCTGTGCCTGTTTTCTTTTAAAGCCACCTAACTACTGGGTGTTGGGGAGGAAGCCTTTGTTACGGGCTGCAAGGGTCTTTGCAGGTGGCTTCTCCCTGCACCCTTGGCTACGAAAAGTGAGGGGATTTGCACCAGGCTTGTTAGGTTTGGCAATAGAATTCTCTTTAAAACTGACTCAAATTCTAGTCTTTTTCCTTCTATGCAATTGCATGTTGATTTTTTTTCTAAAGTTATTTTTAATCCTTTTTTTAATTGACCTTTGCCCACCATCTCTCTCTTTCCTCAATTGTAACAAAATTTAGAAAAAGAACCTGTAGCAATGCCACACTTTCAACTACATTCTTACCGTTAAATCATGATAATTTTTATATTTTATCTGTGCAGCTATTCTATGTATCTACTGATCTAACTCTATGTAATCTATCACCTATCATCTCTCTAGCTCTATTTACATATGTATCTATCTCTCTATCTAAATATAATGGTTGAGAAATAGTCATGTAAATCATGTTGTGGCCTCACTGGTTGAAGTGGAATAATATATACACATTACTTATCTGAAAAATAATGAGACATTGTTTAGTTACATAATTAGTTGAATCCTACAAAGCATGTCCCTCAATCACCCTTCCCTTCCTTTGGAAATAGACAACTTTCCCACAGCATCACAGAGAAGCCTCTGCTCCAGGGCCCTCTCCCTCTGCAGACCACCTTTTCTCTCCTGAAAAAGGGGCTGTTGGTCTCTATGCCAGTGCTGGGGTCTTGCTGTTTTATGAGCTGGCCTCCTCCTTGAGGCACAGCTCCTATCCCAGCTCCATAGAGAACACGTCCCCATTGGCTTCAGCCCATGGTCATTTGTTTGCTAAATATGTTTTGCTAATTTTTTTTGTAGAGAAGAGGTCTCATTTATATTTCTCAGGCTGGTCTTGAGCTCCTTCCCTCAACCAATCCCCCTGCCTCTGCCTCCCAAAGTGCTGGGATTACGAGTGTGAGCTGCCGCGCCTGGCCTGCTTGCTAAGTCATTATTGTACACGATCACGCTGCTCTGAGTGGGCAGCGCACACGCTGTCTTTTCTTTATCTCCCCCTTCACCCAACACTCCCAATAGGAAACCATCTCTTTTATGCTTCAGTCTCATAGAGTGTTGAATGTGGCACTCAGCACCTGTTCTTGATTTATTAAATAATGTCGGAGAGATCATTAAACAGGCTGAGGCTTACTATTTGAGAATTCCGGCAGGGCGTGGTGGCTCACGCCTGTAATCCCAGCACTTTGGGAGGCCGAGGCGGGTGGTTCACGAGGTCAGGAGTTTGAGACCATCCTGGCTAACACGGTGAAACCCCGTCTCTACTAAAAATACAAAAAAACTAGCTGGGCCTGGTGGCGGGCGCCTGTAATCCCAGCTACACAAGAGGCTGAGGCAGGAGAATTGCTGGAACCCGGGAGGCGGAGTTTGCAGTGAGCCAAGATCATGCCATTGCACTCCAGCCCGGGTGACAGGGCAAGATTCCGTCTCAAAACAAAAAAAAAAAAAAAAAAAGAGAGAGAGAGAATTCCTTGTTTCTTTCATATACATGATTCACTCAACATCAAAATTACTTCCATAGTAAGAATGACCCACTCTTCACAAAACGTCTGAAAATAAGCACATGTGCCTAATGTTTATGAATTTTCTTACATACAAAAGAAAACCATCCTTGTAGAGTGTGTTCATGGCAAAAAAAAAATAGCATTTATGACAACTTTATGGGCCCAATTAATATAATTATTAGATCTCTGTTTTAAGGTTTCATTAATTATGTTAATTTTATTTTATTTTACTACATAAAGTAGCTTGTGTAAACTGGCGCTGGTTGTCATACTCAATTTAATGATTTGCTCCAGCTTTTCACAGCCTCGTTAAGCATTTTATGTTTATCCAATTAATTAAAAAATATTTGTTTTGTGCTAGTATGTGCCAGGTGCTTTTCTAGATCTGGGAACAGAGGAATAAGTAAAACGGGAAAATTCATTTTGCGGGAGAGACAGATGATAACAAATACATTGGTACATTTTGTAGATATTAGAAAGTTGCATGATTATAAGTACTATGTGTAAAAATAAAGAAGAGAGTAGGAGAGCAGCGGCTAGAGTGCCGGGTTTCTGTGTTATCCAGGGAGCTCTGGACCTGCCTGGAAAGCGGGGTGAGACCCGCAGCAGAGAATCTCGGGCAGAAGGGCCAGGAGGGCCAGGCCGGGGGGAATGTGCTCTCTGACCCTGGGAGCAGTGGTAAGGGGCCAGGAGCAGGGAGTGCCACCATGGCAGGGTTCAAAGGGCCTCGCGTTCGAGCCCTCAGATACCTGTTGAAATCCTAACACGGAAGTGTTGGTATTAGGAGGCTGGGCTTTGGGAGGTGATGGCGTTGTGAAGGTGGAGTCCTCACAAATGGGACTAGGGTCCTTCCGAAGGGCCCTCAGAGAGCTCCCTCACCCCTCCGGATGGATATGAGGATTCAGTGACAGGCGCCATCTAGGAAGCGGGAAGGGGGCCTCACCAGACACCAAATCTGCCTGGATCTTGGACTTTCAGCCTCCGGAACTGCGAGAAACAAATCTCTGTGGTTCACAGGATTCTCAGTTGATTATGTGTCTGAGACTCTGTGTCTCAGAGTGAGGCTGAGATCTACCCAGGAAGGGAGGGCTTGGGGGAGAACTTCTGGGGACACAGCCAAGAATCTCGCTTGTATCACGAGAGAGATTGGAAGGTGTTGTAGAGTTTTCAATACGAGAGGTGAAAGTTGCTATGTTTATGTTTCTAAAGCAAAGATGTCCAGTGGTACCCCTTGGGAAGAAATTATGAACATAAAATGGGGAAGAAAGTCACCAATGTGAACTGAAATTCTGGGTAAGAATAAACCAAATAATCCTAGCAGAAACTGTATAAACCTAATAAGTGGTTTAGTCATACAAACAAACGAGCAAGTATTTTTTGAGTGATCGTTACTCATTAGGCACACGGGGATAAGGAAGAACTTTACGACCTCTAAATATTTACAGACGACTTGGAGATTCTGGCCCATATATATTTTAAAAGAATAAGCAGTATTTTAAAGAATAAACAGCACAGACATAAGGATCAATGGTGCTCACTGGGGATGTAAGGGCATCGGTAATGTTGCGTTTTGTGATCTGGTTTCTGGCTTCATGGATGTTTATTTTAATATCATTATTGTATCTCACAGCCACTGTTCACACACATGTTAAATATGTATTTATTTATGGAATGGTTCATATTATAAATATGCAATAGTCTGGCAAAAAACAATCCATAGTTTCTAATTTAGCAAAGTGAAAACAGAACAACGTCCAAAAGAAATGGGAAAAGTTTCTTGGAGACAGCGGCTTTGATGTGTGAGAGAAAGCAAACACCTGCCTCTGACCAGCCACAGGGTTGGCGTCTGCCATGAAGCCACCCAGGCACATTTTGCCCTTCTGCATAACTTCATAAACCCCTGACGCAGTGACTGAGCACAGCCCTCCGGAAGAATGTCCCACGGGCAATAAGGGAAGAGCGTTGGTCCCCATGGCTCTTTTGCCTAAATCAATGCATTTTTAGAAAAGATAAGTCCAGGCCGGTCATGGTGGCTTAAGCCTGTAATCCTGGAACTTTGGGAGGCCGAGGCAGGTGGATCATCTGGGGTCAGCAGTTCGAGACCAGCCTGACCAACATGGTGAAACCCCATGTCTACTAACTAAAATAAATTAGCGGGGCGTTGTGGCACATGCCTGTAATCCCAACTAGTTGGGAGGCTGAGGCAAGAGAATTGCTTGAACCCAGGAGATGAAGGTTGCAGTGAGCAAAGATAGTGCTATTGCACTTCAGCCTGGGCAACAAGAGCAAAACTCCATCTCAAAAAAAAAAAAAAAAAAAAAAAAAAAAAAAAAAAAGTAGATATAAGTCCAATGATCCTAGACCTGGCCTTTTTCTGTACATAAGACAACATCCACCAGGATTAGAGATTATGCCTCTGCCATCTATAACCGATGGACTCTTGCACCCAAACATTGATGAGCTTTGCTCTAAAGGAAACCCTGAGCATCTGCAGAACCCCCACCGCCAGCAGAGAAGCTGCGGGCTGAAATTCTGCTTTGGAGCAATCCGACAGAAACTCTCTAAAAGACTTGCCTGGATCGCAGTCATCAGTAGGACTCTGAATAGGACTAATTTTCTTTTTTTTTTCAGATGGAGTCTCGCTCTTTCACCAGGCTGGAGTGCACTAGCACAATCTCAGCTCACTGCAACCTCCACCTCCCAGGTTCAGCCTCCTGAGTAGCTGGGACTATAGGCATGCACTACCATGCCCAGCTAATTTTTTAATTTTTAGTAGAGATGGGGTTTCACCATGTTGACCAGGATGGTCTCGATCTCTTGACCTTGTGATCTGCCTGCCTCAGCCTCCCCACATGCTGGGATTACAGGTGTGAGCCACCACACCCAGCCAAAACTAATTTTAATTATTTAAAAGGCTGATTTTTTTCATTAGTTGACAAATGGAAGGAATGATCAAACTTAACAAAATGTGACCTGGGAGGATTGGAAATTTTGCCCCTGCAGAGTGACAGATTCTTTAAGTAGCAGCCCTTGACTGTGGGGCTGAGGATGGCACAGGTGAGTCTAGAGTCCACCTCAGGGAGGAGGACAGCAGAGAGAGGCACCTGCAAGGATTAAAGTCTGAGTGACAGCTTGGATCTGGTCCTCTTGTCACTGTGTTGCTACCTGTAAAGGTCTTTGAAGTTAGGCAACCACAGGTCTAAAATAAAAACGCTAGAAGAAGCTTTCAGAGGTATTCAATGTGTCTATCATCTGGATTGCGTTGATGGTTTCACGGGTGTTGGCATCTGTCCAGACCCATCAAATGGCATACATTAAATATATGCAGGTTTTTGTATACCAATTATACCTCCATAAAAGCACATTCTGAGCCCAGCTTCTGATGTGTAAAAACACTGACCACTTCAAAACAGACAACGTTTGTCAATATTCAGATACTGATGGGAATAGAAAAAAATATCTTGGTGAATATTTTCCATTTGAATGGACTATAATTATTTTGTCAGTGTTTAGGAGGGAAAAGTATTTTATCCTATGCATTTCTGATTTTAAATGGGTTTGTTCTACATAAAACTTTAGGTAATAATTACACTGGAAATACGTAATAAATTTGGAGCAAATGGTACATTTACTTTATTTCAATGAAAAACAAACCTGCCCCACAACAATAACAACAAAACTCTGGAATACACTTCAAAATATGTAACAGACAATCTGAAGTCTCCCTGGATAACTGAATGATTGTAGCAATGAGGATTCACATTGCTAGCAACAGGGTAGCATCTGATCAGAAATAATTATCAACATGTTTTTCTCATATGATGCCTCTTATTAAAATGCAATTTGTCAAATTGGAGAATTTCTAATGTGTTAGATTTAGTTTCATTGCGAAAGTTTTTTTTTTAATCAGATTCCCTCCTGTCATGTCAACAACAAGAAAATCCATATTTTTGTCGAATTATCTCAGTGAGAACTACCAGATATCTGCTGAAAGCATAATGTAAATATTTGTGGTCTTACTTTGTACTGTTAATTAATACTGATCATATTTTATGTTGAATTCAATGGGCACCATTCAGAGACACTTCACTTTTACTGTCTAGATATTCAAAATTAGTTAATTGGCCTTTTGCTGATAACACAGCTTTAAAAGTTTCTGAAGACTTTGATTATTGCAAGCATCAGTCTTCTTTCTAAGTCGGCCTAAACCATACTTAAAGAAGCAATACTTGTCACGCACAGGCTAAGAAAATGAACTAATATCAGTAAAACACTCAATGTCTTTAGCCAAGTATTATGGTTTATGTTCTGGGTTGGTAGAAATAGGAAACAAATAGAAACACTTCACCTAAATCTCTCTATTCAAAAACTCTAGTAAATGTCTTTGGGCTGAAATGTCTGATATAAGTGATGAGAACACTTGTCTCATGGCATGAAGAGGTGTTGACCGATGCTGCTGTCTGTCAGGAACAGCGTCTGAGCCCCGCCACAAAAATCGCTTAAAGTTTGAATACAAGTTCCATGAAGTGCACTGAGACTGCTACGCAGCAGTCATTTCAGAGACGTGGCCATACCTGCTGGATGACTTGTGTTGCCAACCTGCCCTGTCTGCAGTCACTCAGCAGGCATGGCTTTCAACATGTATCCTCTGTCCTCTCCAGCCGTGGTAAAGGTCTCAGACAATGTGAAGCTCGTCCCAAGCCAATGAGACCTCACAACATACTTTTCCCTTCAAACATTTACCAAGAGCAGAATTGCATAGCCACAAGATAAGGGGAAAAGGAGATTCAGGAGCACGGGAAGAGATGAGGCACAGGTTCGAATTGCAGCTATCTCATGGCAACAATGATCAGGGCATTGCCAAATTGTTCAGGCAAAGCTCATGCCAGGTAGGTGAAGGCAAGGGCAAAGGACGAGGGAGCACCAGTCAACAGGTGGGACAGGGACACTGGATGAGGACACAAGGAGGAGAAAATGAGGTCCTCCCAGAACTCCGCTGCTCCCACTACACAATTCTAATGATGCCCTCGGTTCTAAGAATGACCTTGACAAAGAGAATTCAACATGGCAGCCCCCAGGTTACTCAGGACAAATGGACTTAACCCTTTTTATACGGAGGGCCACCACAAAAATGTATCTGAGGTGGTGTATACAAAGAAAGAACTGAAAAACCAGCAGTTTATTTGAGAGATGATTCTAGAGGCATCTATAGGGAAGTTGAGGATGGAATGAAGAAGGGAAGGCATTCAGAGAAGGGTGGATTGTTGAGCACTTTTATCTGTGGGCAACAGCTTCTGCCCCATCTTCTCCATCGAACACACTGTGATTTTACTTTCACTAAGATTTTTCTTCAGCTTAATAAAAAACTATTTGCTTATATCAAAATGAATCTTGTTTACAGTTGCCCTGTACTCATCAAGACCTCGGGCTCTTCACTCTTTTCTTGGCAATTATTATCTCTGGGAATAGGTCTTACTATTGATTAATAATTAATATCTAAAATGAGAATCACTTTCCTAGTTGCTCCCCACATTGTATTGTAAGAGGCTAGATGGCAAGATAATGTCTTATTTCAAACAATTAGCATAATGTCAAATGCGTATTACATGTTCAGTGTTTATGGGATGCACAGATTCGTACATTGCATATTCTTGGAGTAGGCGTGTGTATTTTTCCAGAAGCACACCAGACCCTTCCATAGACAAAATCTCTTGACTTTTGTAACTGTGTTTCATTGTCAGAAAGGACTTTGAGGTTTCTTTTGTCTTTGAAAAGTCCAGGGTCACTGACTGGTTCATGACGCCACTGCAGGTAGACAAGGAGTCTATAATTCTTTCATTTTTCTTATTTGTCCAGGGCTTCAGTTAGGTGCTGTTTTTCAGATAAAGAAATCAATACAGAGAGACCAAACCTATATGAATTGAATTTCATCAAAGAAGAGCTCTCACAGGAACTAACATTGAGTCCACGTAGAAAAGTGGAAATTCCCCCAGCGAGGAGTTTGGAGTTTTCACACTTGTGTTCTATGTTTAGAATCTCTACCAGAATAATTAAGCTACAAGTTGTTTATTGCAGCTTGTCTGAGACAAGCCAATAAGCCAAGACTGTATTTAGAAGTAGGTTATAAAATATACTCTCTCTATTTATCTGACCTACCTGCCTTTAAAATGAAGGTAGAATCTTGCTTATTGTTGAGTAAAGAAACAAATACCCTGTTATATAACAGTAGACATCAAAATATCTTTCTTTTTAATGCTTCTTGTATAATTTTCTTAACTGTTTTTTGTAGTTGTTGTTGTTTTGGTTTGGTTTTAATTGAGACAAGGTCTGGCTCTGTCACACAGGCTGGAGTCCAGTGGCACAATTTTGGACCACTGCAACCTCTGCCTCCTGGGCTCAAGCCATCCCCCACCTCAGCCTCCCAAGGAGCTAGGACCACAGGCATGTGCCACCATGCTTGGCTAATGTTTGTCATTTTTTGTGGCAATGAGGTTTGGCTATGTTGCCCAGGCTGGTCTTGAACTCCTGAGCTCAAGCAATCCACCTGCCTCAGCCTCTCAAAGTGCTGGGATTACAGGTGGGAGCCACTGTGCCCGGCCTTAGTAGTATATTTCTCTGAACACTGAAATATCAAACTACTCTAAAATATTCCCATCTTCTAACTCCTCTTAAAGAATCACTTTCTTATGTTAAAAAATCCAATTTATCTCACTATGAGTCCAACTGGATAATGTATTTCTTAAGTTTGTTTTAATTTGTTTGTTTTAGATCAGAAATAGTTTATGAAGATTACTTGTCACAAATATTTCTAAGGGGAATAACTGCTGCTATTCATGAGTCATTTCAAGTTCGCTTGACTTGACACGGAGTTTCTATGACACAAGTGTTCTTTTCAGGAATAATGATCTGTAATGTAGAACATTTTATGTTTTGCAAAATACAACTTACTTAATATATATACTATGTGAAAGATAGACTTATTGTACAGCATGATGCTTCGGAAAAACATCTACTTTCTATGCCACATTCTTTTAGCCGAGATAAATTGTTTTATGTTGGATGACTTCATAGTTTATTGCCACTGAAGAATCTCATTTTATTTTATGCCGCAGAAACAAAGACAAACACGGACTTCCAGAGATTATGTACCATTGCAAAAGCAATCCCTGAAGAAAGGTCATTCCATAAAGGGTGATCAGAAATGATGGTTTAAGCCGTCTGTTTAGATAACCAAAGATATTTTTCCCATTATTAATGTACATTACAAAGATAAGCAAGAATTAATTGAAAAGAACTGAACTGGTAAACATATAATTAACTATACAAATATTAAGCATGCATAGTAAAAAGCAAGAATGTAGTTTTATAATAAAAAGGTGTGTTCAAGGTAAATCGATAGTCCCTCTGCATGACTATGAATGAAACACGCAGTTAGGAAGGGAAGGGAAGGGAAACATCACTGAGAATCCGCGACCTGCCAGAGAGTGTAGAGATAAGTTCATTGGATTTTCCAAACAGCCTTAGCTGTATGCATTATCACCGTAATTGAGCAGATGAGAAAACCTCCATTTAAAGAGATTTTCTAGTTCGTTACATAAAACACAAAACACAGTGTAATAAAGTCAGTGGATCAAATGGTAGAAAAATCTGGCTATGTAATATGCTGCTTACCCAGCAAAACACTTGAAACCGTAATTCAAAGTGGCATTAGAAGAAGTTTTGATCAAAAATTTTAAAGTATTGACCTTATAAAAACATAATCGAATGCATTTTCCTCATTTTGGAGCTTTGAAAAACTCATTCAAGGTTATTTTGCATTTTAAGCAGAAAAGATTAAATAAAGAAGGTGTTTTGTCCTTGGTAGAATCAGAAATGAGGTAAGTGAAAACACAGTTTATTAATACATGATATTGCCTAATGCCTGGGAGGTGTTAGATCAATATTTGTTCCATGGTTTTGGGAGTACATAAAGTAACAGTTCAATAAAGAAAATTAGGTGTTAATAAGTGACAAACGAGGTATAATGCTGACTGAAAATTAAAGAAATCCTGTTATAATCATTATTATAGTTACGCCTCTGTCATCTATTTCCTTCCCAAACTCTTTTATGTAAAGTTATAATTTATGTTTAATTTTGTTTTCAGCATACTCCGGTGCCTGATGCAAAAACTGAAGATTAATCCTACACTATTCCCCTAAAATGTTTTGATTCTGAAAGCAAAGCATGGCTTTTCTCTGGGTAGTATGTACATACTTGTTGAGTCTATTCCTGAACAAATCAATGGAAAGTTGCTTTTCTCAGCAATATTTGTTCTATCGACTTTTACACTGTAGAGCTAACTCAATTATTAGGAAAGGAAGCTATTTTATTTTGAAGTCATGTCAATGCTATGCAAGTCAAATTGCAGGATTTTCACTCTGAAGATAACATAAATATGTTTTAGGCAGGAAGCTTCAAAACAGTCTCATCATGTTTCAGTAGGATGAGATGTCCACGGGATAATTTGCTGCTGGCCCTGTTTGCTCGTTGGATGCCTGGGCAGTTAGAAATAGCCGCGGGGAAGGCAGAGGCTCCAGTGGTCTTTACGGACGCTCGAGCACAATCGAGTTTCTGAAAGGCCCTAATAACCCACTCACACGGGCATCCCGCGATCCATGCACGAACCCTGCAGTCAGGAATCAGAATGAGGATTGGCAATCCTGCCCACGCAAGAAAGATCGGAGCCCTTCCGGGACATGGGCCAGTGTGTGGAGAGAATTTAGAAGAGCTCAAATTGCTTTCAAAAATGACAACTGCCCACAAAGGGCATGCACACCACAGTGCCTGGTACCCGATCTCCTCTCAGTGGCAAAAGCGGTGAACACGAAGCAGTTTAGAGAAGCTGGTTATGACATCTTCTCAGGCCTCAGAAGAAAAAAAATGGAATTATGATGAAATGGTCTAAAAATCTTCCTACACCTATTTAAGAGTTGCAGTCTCTATTCCAGCTACTCAAGTATTGTATAAAATGGACCCATTTGTATAACTGCCAATTTCAAACAACTGTCCTGGCAGAAAACCATTCTACATAAGGAAGCTGGTTCACTCATTTTTTAAGTGTACTTTCAGTGGACAGCAGCTGCCACATGATGGGGTGATGGGTGCCTGAGCCACTGCATCCCATAGAACAGTTGACCAGCCATGGCTCCAGGAAGCAGGTGGGGGAGCTGGGCTGCAGTTATAAAGGCCACTAGATGACACTATTTCCATACTAAGGAGACAAGATGGGCAGTCCAGGTCCGTGGACCACCGGGGACAAAAATCTCTACAATATTCTTACAAAAAAATGGGCGGATTGGACAGGCGCCGTGGCTCACGCCTGTGATCCTAGCACTCTGAAAGGCCGAGGTGGGCAGATCGCCTGAGGTCAGGAGTTTTAGACCAGCCTGGCCAACATGGTGAAACCCCATCTCTAATAAAAATACAAAAATTAGACAGGCGCGGTGGTGGACACCTATAATCCCAGCTACTCGGTAGCCTGAGGAAGGGGAATCGCTTGAACCCGGGAGGCGGAGCTTGCAGTGAGCTGACGTCACATCACTGCACTCCAGCCTGTGTGACAGAGCAAGACTCCATCTCAAAAAAAAAAAAAAAAAAAGGGGGTGGATAATGGACAGATGGATGAATGAAGAGATGGAATGAAGTATAAACAAAATTTTTACATTTTGTTAGTACCCAACTGATGACAAGGATTACAATGTTTTGTGCAAATGCCACATTAGTTTACGAGGAAGCCTTAGCATATGAAAGCTGATTTGGGTGTGCTGTTTTCCCTGCTTCTTACCACTCTTCACAGGTTCTGCTCAAAGCTACTTCACTAGGTGAGTCCAGCTGCTGGTTTCCTTCCTAGCTAGTGCACCAGTTCTGAGGGGGATCAAATGCATTTCTCTCTGTTGTGGTGTGTATGTACGTGTATGCGTACATGTCCATATATACGTATATATATATACATATATATACACACATATATACATATATATATACGTATATATATACATATATATACGTATATACACATATATATACATATATACATATATATACATATATATATGTTTTAGCATTCTTTGAAAAATCAGCAAATACAATCATTTCTTAAACTGCCTTGAGTGTACATTTTCCAATGACACAATCCTTGTGTCTTTGTGATTCAACTCTCCCCCATTTTCTTCTCTGCGGATGAATTGGGATCACGGTCCTTGAAGGACCTTATCTGAGCGGGTCAGCGACAAGCCCCCCAACGATTGGCTCCTCGTCGGTGTCTTCCTGGGACCTGGGAGTGCATCCCCAGCTGGAAAAATCTATCTGAAATAGGCTAAGAAAACCATCACCTCGCAGAACTCAAAATTGCTAGCCATATGTATTTTAACTGAATTCCTTAGATATGAGGAATCTTAAAAATCATAAACAAATAGGCATATCTCTTTTTTCCCTAGACCAAAAGTAACAAAACAACAACAGAAAACCAGGGGGGGCGCGGTGGCTCACGCCTGTAATCCCGGCACTTTGGGAGGCCAAGGTGAGTGGATCAGGAGGTCAGGAGATCAAGACCATCCTGGCTAACACGGTGAAACCCCGTCCCCAGTAAAAATACAAAAAATTATCCAGGTGTGGTGGCGGGTGCCTGTAGTCCCAGCTACTCAGGAGGATGAGGCAAGAGAATGGCGTGAACCTGGGAGGCAGAGCTTGCAGTGAGCCGAGATCGCGCCACTGCACGCCAGCCTGGGCAACAGAGGGAGACTCCGTTTCAAACAAACAAAACAAACAACAACAAAAAATAAAAAATCTTTCAGATTAAGCTACTCAGTTAAAAATGTAAAGCTGGAAATGCTCTTCCATCGACAATTTCTAATCGAAGCATCCTTATTCTGTAGTAATTTTCACTGTGTCTTGTCATAACGGAAACATCAAATATTTTATGTAATGATTAACAAAAAATCATAATATATGTTAATAACTAAAATTATGTAAAAATAGGTATTTTTCACTCAGGATCAGAAATATTTGAACTATTTAATTCAATGATTCCAAGTTATAAAAACCTTAAATGACTTTCTTTTTGAAAATGTCACTTTGATTTTCATACGAACTAAATTTTATTTCT
Source organism: Homo sapiens (assembly GCF_000001405.40). Classification (NCBI taxonomy): domain Eukaryota; kingdom Metazoa; phylum Chordata; class Mammalia; order Primates; family Hominidae; genus Homo; species Homo sapiens. The sequence continues at coordinate 2,678,271 of NC_000008.11, read as the reverse complement.
CATTACAGTGTTAAGTCCAAAATGTTGAATTAACATTAATTTATTGGCCTATTATGATGAATATGCAACAGATACAAGCAGCTATAACCATTCCTTTATAGCTTTTAATTATGTACACAAAAATGATAAAATAGTTATACATGTATTATATTTGTGTGTGTATACATATATACACACATATGTGTGTGTGTATACATATATATATATATATATATATATGAAGGGCCTTATGTATTCATATGTGTGCTTCTATCATATATGAGCCACTTGCAAAGTTTATAATTTAAAACAACCTATTCCAGATTAATAATTTAATAATCTTTGTTCTTTCTTCACCAAAGCCTATTCGATACTTTCTTGTCTAAAGTGCCTCAAGGTTTAGATGTCCACAGTAGCTGTGCATGAGCATTTTGAATACACGGTGGTCAGAAAAGACATGAGAATAGCCAGAATTAAAATGAGAAAAATCCAGAATTGAAATGAGAACAATCAACATAAAACAGATTAATCAACACCGCATTTGAACCCAAATTACACACCCGTCATCTCACACATATTCTGCTTTCTCACGTTCAAAGACTGATGTACATGGCAAAGTCATCTCGAGGAATTCATTATATTTTTATTACAAGAAGAAAAGTGCATTTGGAGAATTTCAGCTTCTAAGAATTATTTGTATATGGCAGAATTTACCCTTTTAATTAGAATCGTACACTTATTCCCTATTTAAAAATGCAAAATAAGAAAAATAAATGAGGTTTATGAGGTTTTAAAAAGTGGGCTAAATTAAGATCCATCCTAAATATATTTTTTAAGTTGGAGATTTTAGGATTTATGAGTAACACATTGAGTCAGACTCTAAATATTCCTTTATTCAGACAGAAGATACTGAAGAAGCAGATCAGTGTTTAGTCAGAAACCAGTCAAACAAGAACATCCGGCCAGGGTCCTGCTTGCTGGGTGGTTTCTGCGTAAGCCTCAACACGGGCAGAACATTTTCTAAAATCTTCATGTCTGGATTAAAATAAAGAGGATTAGAAAAATGAAAATTCCATTGTTAGAGTAAAGCTTCATACATCAAACACATGAGTTTGAAAATTAAGTGCATTACATTTTTAAGTGCTTTCTTGGTGTGTCTGGAAAATGTAGAATGAGTTCTTGAAAATGAATGAGAGTAAAAAATGTTTCTTTGTTTCTTTTAGTTTTTTTTAACTGAAAAAAGTTTAATTTTTGAGAGGGGGAGAAAGATGACTACTAGTATGCATCAGCAGAATAAAGTTTAAAGGAAGCATACAGTTGTTGAGCAAAATCTTGTGCCCTAAGGATGAATGACAGTGATAGCAAATACCTGTGGCCTGCTGTGGGCTACGTAAAGGCTTCTACAACTCCATTGTTTTCAATCAAGGCAAGGCCGGGCACGGTGGCTCATGCCTGTAATCCCAGGAGTTTGGGAGGCTGAGGTGGGCATCGCTTGAGCCCAGGAGTTTAAGACCAGCCTGCGCAACACAGCAAAACCCCGTGTCTACAAAAAATATAAAAATTAGCCAGGTGTGGTGGCACGCACCTGTAGTCCCAGCTACTATGGAGGCTGAGGTGGGAGGATGGCTTGAACTTCAGGAGATTGAGGCTGCAGTGAGCCCTGTTCACACCACTGCACTCTGGCCTGGGCAACAGAGCAAGACCCTACCTCCTAAAAAATAAAATAAAATAATAGTTGAAGGCAAGATTGTGTGGATGGCACAAGAAGAGTTGGAGAAGTCGAGAGAGATCTTCTGTCTGCTGAGGGCAGGATGCATGAGCAGGGCACCTCCTGGTAACGGAGGAGAGGCAGAGCTATGAGACCCCTGGGGAGGACCCCTGAATGCGGGGCGGAGGATGGAGAGGCAGTTACACTCTAAGGGCTAGCTGAGAGCTTAAACATCATGCACTCGTGTGATGCTTTCTTTCTAAGAGCCTCCTTCATGTAAATCATCTTTGTTGTTGGTTCCCGCACTCACACGTTTTCCTTTCTACATTTCCCTTTGTAATTTTAGTGGAAAGCCACAGTTGGAAAAGTAATGCAATCTCCAATGGTCATCACCAATCTCCAGGCCAACTTTAAAAACACAGGGGAGGCCAGGCGCGGTGGCTCACGCCTGTAATCCCAGCACTTTGGGAGGCCGAGGCGGGCGGATCACGAGGTCAGGAGATCGAGACCATCCTGGCTAACACTGTGAAACCCCGTCTCTACTAAAAATACAGAAAATTAGCCGGGCGTGGTGGCGGGCGCCTGTAGTCCCAGCTACTCGGGAGGCTGAGGCAGGAGAATGGCGTGAACCCGGGAGGCGGAGCTTGCAGTGAGCCGAGATCGCGCCACTGCAGTCCAGCCTGGGCGACAGAGCGAGACTCTGTCTCAAAACAACAACAAAAAACCCCACAAAAAACCAAAACAACAACAACAACAACAACAACATCAAAAAACACGGGGGGGGGGCGGGGAGGAGACTGTTACGCCATGCTCTGACGAGAAGTCTGCCATCCTCCAACTTTTCTTCTGTTTTAGATTGTTTGGTTGGCTGGTTGGTTTTTGTGTGGCTATGAAGATTTTTTTTTAATACTCAGTAATACTCGGTAATGTTACTGTAATATCTTCAGGGGTAGATGTTTTTGTAAAACACCTTTTAAAAACACTTTGTAAAATTTTAATATGAGGACGTATTTCCTTTCTCCGTATCTGAGTAATTGCCATGAAGTATACCTTGGAATATTACATTTTTCCCAAATCTTCCATTAATTTTTATGATATACATATAGGATTTTCTTGTTCTATTATTTCTATGCCTTTAGATCATTTCAATATTTTCCATATTTTTTCTCGACTGTATTTTTTTCTGCTCTATTTAATGAATCACTGGGCTTTATTTGGCTTTTTTGGTTCCTACTTCAAACCGTCCATTGAGCTATTAACTTCAATGATTGTATTTCTCATTCCAAAAGTCATTTTTCTAATAATTTTAGACAATTTTGATTTTGCTTTACTGTTGTTTTTTTTTTAATCGTTTTGAACATTTGAAGATGTTTATTTTGGTTTCTCACTCATAATTGCTTTATTTGGGAGGATAGTTATTTTCTGGTGTTCCTCACACTGTTTGTAACTTGTGTCATGGGGAATCTGTGTCAGGCTCACCTGCTATGCCCCCACAACCTCTGGAAGCTGTGAGGGAATGGCTCCAGGGAAGGTTTCAGCAGCGCAGCATGTGCGTGGGAGAAATCAGGGCCCCCAGTGTCAATAGTTGTTTCTTTTTCCACTCATGGCCCTGCCCATTTGACAGGCTGTCCTATTTTTTTAAGACTTAGTAGGAGAGATTCTTCTTGCTTTTGTCCTCTGTATTTCCTACTCACTTCACAGACGATGAGGAGAACATTATAATTTTTGTTTTCTTGCAGGTAATTCAGTTCCAACCCCTTCAGTGACAGCAGAGAGACCCAGGCCACCTTCCTTGAGGATTTCGGAGCTGCAGCCCACAGCCAGGGCCAGAGTGGACTCAGCTCTCCAACCCACGGTGATATTACAATTCTTGTTGTGTTCCTAGCTGTGGGCTTGTTCACCTCGGGATGGCAAGGGCGTGGCACAAACACCCCCACATTTCCATTCTGTGTTACGAAGTCCGCGTAACTTTTCAATGTGTGTGACAGACAGGTGAACAAATGGCTTCTCATTGTCTTCATCTGCCATTTAAAAGGGGTACTCCCTCTTAATCTGAGGCTGTAATCATTTATTCTGATTCTGATTCTACATCGATGCCGATGTCTTGTCCAGGGATTGCCCTGCGTGTGTGGTGAACCTGGGGGTAGGTCTCTGTTACTGCGTAGCCTGCGCCCAAGAGGACTTCCCTCTGTCCTGCTGTCTGTCTCGGGGTTTTTGGCGGCTGGTCAACCTTGGACCATCCTCTGTGTCATCATTTTAGTCCTTCCCATGTAGGTCATCTGATGTAACATTGTCCCGTTTGCATTTGAAATTGATGCATTTAAATTTATTTGGAGTAAATCGCTGATACAATTCCACCAGAAACCAACTGCTATAGCTAAAATAGTATTTGCAAGCACAATGACACCCTCTCAGTAGCTTAAAAGCATAACTGTTAGTCAGGCTGATAAATAATTAGCATGCTTTGGCTCTGCCTCATATAATCAGTTCTTAAAATAAGATTTCTCTGTGTTAACACAGGACATCATAGTTGAAAGTTCTAGCCCCAAAAGTCCATCTTCCGATTTTGTAGAAAATTTCTTGTTTAAAATATGTACAGAACAGCAAAAATGGTTAACTTTCTGCCAATTTTATACAATTCCCAATGTGATTTATTTTCAAGCAAAAGATCATTTCTGATCCACAAGAAATAATCAACACCTAAGAAAATTTAATGAAATACATTATTTTCTGTCATGATGTGATAATTGACAAATTAACTGGTATTACCACTGAAATCATTTTCTTCATGTCGTTTATACCTATTTTTGTGGCTGATACTTGTTGAGACTTGACAATTTATAAGTCAGATTAAAAATCTCAGGAATTAGCTGACAGAAATTCCATTTGAGTTTAAAATAGTTCCCGCTGAGCTTATTATATATTATCGTGGCAGTAAAGATTATGAAGTCAGGTCCCAAACTTATTTGACCTACAAAATGGTTTATACCATCATGTGAATTATAAATAATAGAGTTTGGGGGAAAAGCCTCTATAAATCAAAGGGTGGAATAGGTTTTAATAAAATCACATTGACATGTACAGTACTGTGAGAGAAAAAATGTTTTTTACAGAGACTAATATATCCTTGAGAAAATAACTTTACATGCTGCATCTTGTTACTAGTTCACAGAGAGGTATAGAGCCAGAGCTACATCTAGAGAGATAGGAATATATAGAGAGAAACCGTGAGAAAGACAGAGGAAAGACAGAGAGAGAGAGGAGAGACCAAACAGAAATAGAGAAAGGGGGAAAGGCAGGAGAGAAGGAGAGGTAGGCAGAGACAGTGGGGGGAAGAGAAAGAGAACAGCAGAAAGCAAGAGAAACAGGGAAGGTGGAGAATTAGAGAAGGAGAGAAACAGAGACACAGAGGCAGAGAAAGGGAGAGAGGGTGGGAGAGACACAAAGTGGCTTCGTTTTCATTCAGAAACTAGGACTCCCTGGGTAGCCCAGGGGCCTTCTCCCTTCCTCACTGTACACACGGACTCCCGGTGCCTGCGTGCCCTGGCTCTGTGCAGCTTTGTGTTTCTCTTGCTCATGGTAAGTGGCATCAGGTTGAACGCTGGTCTCAGCCTTTGCTGGAGCAAGACCTCTGTCAAAGCAGGTAGGTAGCTGTGCCTGAATCCCAGTCTTGTTTATTTCCAAGTCTGCTCCTTCGGGCTTTAAAATATCTTGTCCCCTTCCCTATATCTCTATGAATATACAATCTCTTGCCTTTCCATGTCTCCATTTTGCTCCTCAACCTCTCCCTTTTTCCTTTCCACTTTCCTAGTCCCCCCAGCACATCACCCGAGCCCTATTTACATGTCCTCTGGGTGGAACTGAGGGTGGCTCCCTTCTCCTGACGGAATGCTTTCAGGTGCAGTGATTTGTGGCAGTAACGGTCTCAGGGTTGGGCCTGGGGCCCTTGTTTACCCCTCCATGACAGTACGTAATGCCTGGCTCAGTGGCCTCGTAACCATGTAGCTTTCCTTGCGGTTGCTTGGTTGGAGTGGCCCGTGAAGGGACCCCAGGGGTGCTGAGTGTTTCTAACTCAGGTCTGTGGAGGGAACGCTTGTGTCCAACTGCACTGGACACCTAGACACGGAAAATGAGAAACTTGAACTCTCAGCTCAAAGCACAGTCAGACAGGAGTTTTTATGGAGGAGCCAAAGGGATTTCTTGTTTCTTTTAACTATAGAGTTTTTATACGGATAAAAAAAGACTCTAAATCTAATTGTGTTTTGCAAAATTGTGATGTACATTGAACCCCCGGGGTCTCGAGGATGTCATGTGCTAATTACAACACTGAGACGTAGTGGGCTACCAAGCTTTAGAATGGAGCTGTGGGGAAAATTCGGAAGATTTTTAGACATGTGTGTTCCGAATTCCCTCCCACGTCTCCCTTGCCAGTGAAGCTGCTCTCCATCTTCTCCTGAGGGAGACAAGCCTCCCTTGGCTGGAAGACTGCAGTCGTTTGGGTGAATGGTCAGGGAATTGAAGAAAAAAAAAGTGTAGAACTCACCCCAAAGAGAAACGTGAACAGATGACTTGCGGTGGGCGTTGTGGCTCATGTTGAATATTCGTCCGAGGACACCAGTGGTGGAGGAGCTCTCGAGTCAGGTGGACAAGGGAAATCATCTCTGGGTACTTCTTTGTCTCTTTGGGTTTAGTTTGTTTTGATTTGTTTTTGACTTTATCTTGTTCCCATAGTTAGGTTTTGCCGCCATAAAATGAACCAGGGAGCTGTCCAACATCCTACCATATAAAACAATCCACTCCTAAGTTGTACTTCAGTAACAAAACGAATCTCTCTTTAACGATGTCTCCTTCATCAACTTTCCAAAAATGTACGTGGTACTTTCAGTGATTGATTCAAATGTTCTATTCAATTTTGAGTCAACACTGGTAATATATATTCTGTGTACAAAATCAGCCTAATTGTCCAGGCTTCTGAATTAGAAGATATAATACTACAGTTGCATGCATTATTAGCCTATAATACTTCATCTCTTCTATATCTGTGGTTATATGATGTTTTCATCATTTCTAATTATATTTTCTGTTTTGGCATTACTGTGCTCAATACCTTTTTTGTTTCATTTTTACAAAGAACCAGGGTTTCTAGTTACTTATTATTTATGCTTTTTGTTTCTTGCTTTATTAATTTAAACTTTTTTCTTATTATTTTGTAGTTTGTGTTTCCATTTGGTTTATTCTGGTGAAGTTGTTCAAATATGATACAATGACAGGAAAAATTTCCTTTTTATTAAACTGCACAACCATTGATATCTAAGCATTATTTTAGTCAGTGGTACTCTGTTTTTCATTGAATTCTATGCAATTTACAATTGCATCTTTTGATGTAAGGATATCTTGGAGAGACTTTATTAAACCTCACAGATGCTAAGGTTGTTTTTTATTTTTATATTTGTATTTTTATTAGATTTTTTAAAAATGTAATCTCCAGCATTTCAAAATTACTTTGTACAGTACTTGAAAAAATGTTGGAACTTCTCCGTGGACATAAATATTGATTTTAGTTATGTATAGGCTATATCATTTTGCAGACATTTGTTAAACCACATGTGTTTATTATATATTTTTGTTTCTCTATATTCTCACTAATTTTTACTTTATTATGTCTGCTATATTCTAAAAGAGATGTATGATTATCATCTACCAAGATTATAAATTATAAAGTTCTCCCAAATTTAGAACCATCTTTGCTTTGTAAATTGAACAGCTATATTCTTTGGTCTAGAATGGTTAATGTTTGCTATACCCCCTTCATTATGCCATTTCATACCATATGAAATTTTATTTAATGTTTGTCTTCAACTTATTTCACGAATTCATGTTTTAATCTTAAATTTCACTTTGACGGATATTGGGTTTGTTCAACTTCTATCATTTAACTTTCAAACTTATTTTTATGGAACAAACAAAAAAGTAATATCCTTTAAGTATATCCTGTACAATATCTGAGATAGATATACTTATATAATATATGTCTCAGCATCTGAGATATATAATGCATGCCCATTATAGATACATAATACATATTTTTATATATTGGTTGGTGCAAAAGTGTGCGGTTTTTGCCATTCCTTTTAATGACAAAAACTGCAATTACTTTGCACCAACCTAATAAAAATATGTAATATATATTATTCTTTGGAAATTGAAAAACAACTTGTGTTCTGTAGTTTATCTGGCACCGCTAACTACTGCTAGTCTCATTCAGTTTTTCTCTTTTGTGTAACTTTTTTTACTCATGGAGATCGTATCAGTTATTGTTTAGCTTCAGAGGTGTTAACTTTTATCATAATATCCCTGTATGTGATGTGTGCGGTTTGTTTTATTTTTCTTTTTGTTTTGTGGTTGCTATTGTTTTGTTTTAATCATTGATCCTGAGAATTACTGAAGAAATCTGTTAATAAGAGGGCTAGCCATTGTTTTCTGGCTCCAAAACTCAAAGTGTGCCACACCCAGGGATCTGGAGAAGGAGCCTTGTGGAGACACTCACTTAGGTGTATGCACCCTCTCCCTCCCAGCCCATGAATCTCTGCGACTAAAGATTTCCCCAGACGCTCCCAGGTTCCTCCTGATCTGCAGCATTGTCGTCCCTGCCACTGACCAGGAAGCCCTCTGTGCTCCCATAGCCCCTTCAGAAACCTGTGACTTCCTGAGTCCTAAGTCTTCAGCAGAAACAGCAGCTGCCCCACGCCTTGAGCGGCAGCAGGACCCTTTCTGCCCTGATCTCCACTCAGCGCTGGAAGCCTGGTGAGTCTGGTGGTAAAAGGGATGGCAGCGGATTCCAAGGTGACCTGGGAGACTTCGGTCATTCCCAAGCCCCACCATCACTTGTGCTTAATTGCGGGAGACCAAAGGTGTGACATCCTTTCAGCTTCAGCTTTGTCAGTATGGAGGGACTAGACTCTCCATGTGGACCCATGTCAAGTCACTCGTGATCATCAACCTGCATATTGTTTTTTTTTCTTACTGTATCACTTAGAGTAGCATCAGGAAATGAAGGGTTCATTTGAAATTGGGTTGCTCAAGAAGAGTTAATTTTCAAAACGACTTGTACAGCAATCTTTTGTTTTTTTCTCATACTCTTCTGATCATCTCCCTACTTCAGTTGGGACAACACCTAAATGGGGTGGCCCCTCGACCTCCAAACGTGGATGCAGCACCACACAGGATAGCTGCTTTCGGTGCAAATGCCGGGCCAGAGAGCAGGTGTGTGGAATTAGCCGCGGACCCATGGTGCAAACTGGGAGAATGGGATACTAGTGAGATTTAGTCAGATACATTTCCCATCCTTTCCTCTCTTGGAGACCGAGGTGTGGTTCTCCTTGCATCCCCTCAGGATAATTCCTGAACACCAAGACAGCAGAGCTGGAAGAGGGACCTTCTACCTCTGTTTGGCTCTCTCACTCCCCAGTCCCTCTAACTCACAGCTGGGTGCTTCTCCCTCCCAGTTAAGCTGATTCCTTGACATTTTAGCCTTGGGCTGTGCCTTCTCCAGAACTTTGGCAGGAAAGGGACTATTTACAAAGGCATGGGTTAGGCTGTGGGAGATGTTCAAGAAATAATTCTGAGATTAGCAGCAGGAAGGCCATTCTCTCAAATCTCACTTACTCCACACCTGATAAGGGGGAGAGTTTGGGTTGAAGAAAACGCAAGTAGATGTTCCTATTGTCTGGCTGCAATGAGGAGAACAGTTACCTTTAATCCAGGGACGTGGCCATCCTGAGAGGGCCTGGCTGGGTGTTACGGGAAATAAATACCCTGGCCTCACTATGTTGCTTCCCTTTAGTTTCTTCCGCCAAACCGGGTCTCCTTGTTGAACAAACCCAACTGGAGCCAATGGCAAGGAGGATTGTTCTTGTTGTTGTTTTAATTTTGACCCAGATCACATTAGAAAAGAATAAAACCTATATCTAGCAGGGTAAATAGAACATAAGAGTCCGAGTTAAAAAAAATCAAGCAAAGCTTTAGTTTTCAGCCTCCCTTTTACACTCCTATGGATACCATAATCAATTAGCGGCAGCTCCCTGCAGGTCAAACCATCCCAATTGTTATCCCAACCTTACTATTCACTACAGTAACCAAGTCCACCTTCTCTCTTGTTAGTGAGCTCCAGCTCTGTGTGTCAGCCCTCTGGGGAGCCATCATGGCTGCCCCCACCTTCTGATACCATCACGCCCTGCTCCCGGTCCTCTGGGACCATCACACCTCCCCCCATCACCGCCCTCTGGTGCCATCATGCCAGCTCCTGTCCTGTCCTCTGGTGCCATCAGCTCCCCCCCCCCCCCGCCTTCTGGTGCCATCAGGCCACCCCCGCCCCTGCCACCCTCTGGGACCATCACGCCCGCCCCATCCTCTGGTGCATTGTCATGCTTATTGACATCCAGGACCTCATTTTGGTGGTGTCATTTCCACTCCTTTATCACTGGCCTTCAAAATCAGTTACTACTGTGCTCTTTAAGGATGTTGGAGTTCCCGTCATTCATGCACCTTAATGACCTGAGTGGTCCCCTGGACTGTCCTAGAGATGTAAGCAGAGGAGGCAGGTGGGAGCCATTCATGGTCGTTTATCCCAGCATTTCCATGCAAGCCTTTCAGTCCTTCTCTCTGCCTTATACCAGGGATGCTCGAGTATTGCACACATATTTGATACAGGTCACCAGTTAGACCCGAATTTATGCAACTACTAGACACTAAATTGGATCACCCTTCAGCTATGGAAGCTAATATATTTATTTCAGAAAATCTGACAAGATCAGTTAAATATTCCATACCTGTATGCCTTCTCTTGCACCCTGAGAATCCACACCTATCTCTATGTCTCTACTTCTGTTTTGACTTCCTAATCCCTCAGAAGAATGTCTCATATGAAAATTGAAGCTGTATCCATAATCCAGACAGCCAGGAATTTGGCGAAATGTGATTTTTTACATACATCAGAATCCTCTGACAGACAGAGCACACAGAAAGAAGAGGAGGGACAGAGAGTGAGCAGAAATATTGAGCACAGCCTCGGCTTCCAGAGCTCAGCCCTTCAGATAGGACACCCTCTCCGGAAATGGACACTCTGCCACTAGGAGAAATCTCACAGTTCAATGAGTTGGTGTTGCATAAACACCTGTTCAACGAGCAGGTGTTTTGCACGCTATCTTATAAACAGCAAGCAAAGATAATTTCCTACATATCTTATAAATCACATGCCACTATCTACACGTGCCCTTCTTATGCTGTAAATTTATATAATTAGTCACATGTTTATTAGCACAAGACATGTCTCAGGCTCTGAGTCAGGTATTTGAGAGTCAATGTTTACAAGATGTGTTTGAGCATCACCCTTACTGTGATTCTATTCTAGAGAAATCTGATAGGCAAATACACGTACACAACGGAGGACTGTGGTTTGTATTATTGTGTGTGGAATACAGCACATGATTGAGAAGGACGCAGGGCTCATAATTTAGATTAGAACGGTAAGAACAATTTGAAATGTTTAGGGCATGAAGTCTGAAAACAACATAATTTTCTGTTCCCAGGTTAAACAATTATGAGACTTGGAATAATTTTCTCTCCCTGAAGATGTAATTTCCTATTCCTGTGTTTAAAAACAACAGAAAAAAAAAAAAAAAAAACTGAGGCCAGGCAAAATTAAACATAGCTGCGTTCACCACAAAATATTTCATACAGAAAGATAAGAGTATGAAGGAAAAAAATAAAGAGCAAAAACCACCTAAAGCAGCTTAGATAGAGCTTGTTCAGCAAGATTTGATCTTGAAATGGTAGGAGGAATGGAAAGACAAAATCCAAATCGGAAGTTGCTCAGGTTTAGTTAATTAGTTAATTGATTTAATTAATTGGCTGTGATATTTGACTGTACGTTTACAGTGAAGATGGGAATAGCAACGTCTTTTATACTTCGCACATCAGCCTGTGTTGAATGCAATATGCTCTCACTGGGAAATGGCTGGATGGCCCTAGTGGGGATTCCATGAAGAGTTTCATTTTTCAAGTAGATTTGTCCCTGATGGTGCAAGTGGCATTTCCATTTTTAATTTTTCCCAGATTTCTAGCTTAAACAAGCTATGTTTATCATTGAGTTTTATCTGCCTGAATAGTAGCAGTGGTTTTTTCTTTTATTCGAGGACTTGGAATTCTGCAAAGACAGGCTTTCATGGCATAGACAAAAAACAAAAGTGATAACTGCTGTTCCTGAGTTCAACTTATTACAAAACAGCTGTATTTTTCGGCAAGTTTTAGTTGTGCAATTTAAAAATCACTTTAAGAATTACTTTAAACCACTTCAAAGCATTTTACCTCATTAAATTCTCCACTGATTTATTCCCAGGCTCACATTCTCTCTACTCACATCAGCCTGATGTCTTCAAGCCAGGATTTCTTGGGGTTTATCTCACCAGATGCAATCAACTCAAGTTCCCTCTGTGGCGCCTTCTCATTCCCTTATGCCAAGTCACACTAAAATACTTGAGAACAGTATCCATAAAACGTTCTGATATGATTTTCTTGTTCTAATTTACATACTGTGAATCTGTAAACACAAGACGGAGATTTGCATGTGTTGACATTGTTTGTGACTAAAGGGATCGTGGCCTCAGAACACACACATTACGTGGGTGACACGGACATTACTCATTTTTGTACATTTGGATGCTAATTGAATTGGGTGCTTGCCTCCAATAAGAATGGAACTTGTTGGCCTCACTGTTATAGATCTGGTTTTTCTGTATGGAGTTTTGTTGCACTTCAGGTCATTCCAACAGGTGGTGACGATGCTCCGTACGTATGCGCAGATGAGGGAGACAGACAAGCTAAAGATACTGGCTTTGTCTATACAAAAATTGTGATAATGTAAAATACAGACAGGAATAATCCATTGCTCTCTCTAAGACTTAGAGAAATTGACTGAGAACAGTTTCCACAACATTCATTATGCCTACCAGGCATTGCATGTACACATTTTGTGATAAGGGCTTTTTTAGCTTTATGCAAACCAACATCCTTCAGTCACGAGTCCTTAATGTGTGTGCCTGACGGGAGGTGCCTTTCAGTGGTTCCACCTTGTCCACCAGGTCTCAGGGCAACAGACGAGATTCCTCCTCACCTGGCCTCTGCCTGACCAGTCTCCTGTCCTGCCGCACCCACTTCGTTCTTCAGGGTCATGGAACCGTTCACACGATCACTTGGCTCGGGCTGTTCCATCTCTGAACGTTCTAGCCTTAGTCTCATCTCAGGTCAAGAAGGTGCACCGCCCTGAGGTCGGACTCTTCTGCTGCATTGTGCAGACCTGGCCTAGTGTTTTCTAACGTCAGGCCCCCCCTCCCCCGCCCCCAGGTGGCTGGGGCTTCTGTTTTCTCTTTAGTCTGCAAGTTATTGAAAAACTGAGTCTATTTATTTCTTCATTTCTGTATATTCAGTCATATAGTAGGAGCTCAGAAAGGTTTCTTTTTTTTTTTTTTTATTTTAACTCCATTCTATTGAACTGAAAAGATAGGTACCAAATCCAAGAAATGCCAGGCTATTCTCTCTGATTACGTCTTTCTGGTTGAGCACACTGAATCTACGTGGGTTTGGGGAGGGGTGTGGAGCGCCCAAGGATGACACACACTGACCTCCCGGCTCACAGACCACATGCATAGCGTCATTACATGGAGCGCCTGTTACTGGCTGTGTTATATTAAAAACATCCAAGAAACAATATGATGAGGCAGTACTAGAGGCAGGGAGAGAATGCCCTGTCAAAGGGTCTGTAATGTGTAAAGTGAGTAAAACTCTATGAAAACCCAGGTCTGTGAGACTCAAAATTTCCACCAAGACCTTTATGCTCTACAACAGGGGCATTGCCACTTTGGAAATATTTGCTTTATTCTCAATCCCCATGAGATATTTAGTATTAAAAATTAGGAAGAGGCCAGGCGAGATGGCTCATGCCTGTAATGCCAGAACTTTGGGAGACCAAGACTGGCTGATCACCTGAGGTCAGGAGTTCGAGGCCACTCTGTTCACCATGGCAAAACCCCATCTCTACTAAAAATACAAAAATTTTCTGGGCATGGTGGCAGGCACCTGTAATCCCAGCTACTCTGGAGGCTGAGCCAGGAAAATTGCTTGAACCCAGGAGGCAGAGGTTGCAGTGAGCTCCAAGCTGGGCGACAGAGGGAGATTCCGTCTAAAAAAAGAAAAAAAAAAAGGAAAAAAACAATTAGGAAGACTTTTGAGAAGTATCTGTTGATATCCTTTGCCCACTTTTTGATGGGGTTGTTTGTTTTTTTCTTGTAAATTTGTTTAAGTTCCTGTAGATAGGTAGATTGTGAAAATTTTCTCCCATTCTGTAGGTTGCCTGTTCACTCTGATGCTAATTTCTTTTGCTGTGTAGAAGCTCGTTAGTTTAATTAGATCCCACTTGTCAATTTTGGCTTTTGTTGCAATTGCTTTTGCTGTTTTAAGTCTTAAAGTCTTTGCCCATGCCTATATCCTGAATGGTATTGCCTAGGTTTTCTTCTAGGGTTTTTATGGTTTTTGGTTTTACATTTAAGTTTTCAATCCAACTTGAGGTAATTTTTGTATATATTTATGTGGACAACAAACATATGAAAAAAAGCTCATCATCACCAATCATCAGAGAAATGCAAATCAAATCCACAATGAGTTACCATCTCACTCCAGTCCGAATGGCTATGATTAAAAAGTCAGGAAACAATAGATGCCGGCGAGGCTGTGGAGAAATAGGGAAGCTTACGCTGTTGGTGGGAGTGTAAATTAGTTCAACCATTGTGGAAGACAGTGTGGTGATTCCTCAAGGATCTAGAACCAGAAATACCATTTGACCTAGCAATCCCATTAGTGGATATAGATCCAAAGGATTATAAATCATTCTCCTATAAAGACACATGAACAGGTATGCTTATTGCAGCGCTATTTACAATAGCAAAGACTTGGAACCAACCCAAATGCCCATCAATAATCAACTGGATAAAGAAAATGTGGCACATATACACCATGGAATACTATGCAGCCATAAAAAAGAATGAGATTATGTCCTGTGCAGGGACATGAATGAAGCTGGAAGCCATCATTCTCAGCAAACTAACATGGAATACAAAACCAAACACCGATTGTTCTCACTTGTAAGTGGGAGTTGAACAATGAGAACACATGGACACAGGGAGGGCAACAACACACACTAGGACCTGTTGGCGGTGGGGGACAAGGGGAGGGAGAGCATTAGGACAAATACCTAATGCATGTGGGGCTTAAAACCCAGATGATGGGTTAGTAGGTGCAGCAAACCACCATGGCACATGTGTACCTATGTAACAAGCCTGCATATTCTGCACATGTATCTCGGAACTTAAAATAAAATAAAAAATAAATAAATAATAAATAAATACAAAAAATTTAGGAAGACCAAGAAAATGTCAAAATCACTGTCTTGAATTCCTCCCTTGCTTGCAGATTGTTTTTACTATACCTGCAAAATATCTCCCAGCTGTGAGCTGTCACAAAAGATGCATTCAAAGACATGCTCAGTGGGCTGGTAAGGACCCAGGAAGGGCTGTCCCACTGGGAGCTCCCAGCATCAGCATCCTCTCCTGAATTTTCTGTGACATCCATCGGGGTGTGCAAGACTTCTAAAGGCAGAGTCTCGCTAAAGTGACTAACGTAATTGAATGCATTTCATTTATATATTGACTCCTCATTTGATGAAAAATATAAATTTTAGTTATTACAAATATTACATAAAAGAAAAAATACGTTTTTTAAAAGGATGAAATTATAAAGTATAAAAGAAGCATAGAATGCAATGTATTCATGCATTTGTAAGCAAGGATATGAGTGTAAGTGTCATGAAAGATTTTTGTCAGACTATTTCTACCCTACTTATACTAATACTTCTGAAATAATGTCTGATAGAAAGAAATGTCTAGCAAAAGTGATTTCTTAACGTGAATTTTAAAGCATACTTTGCACATTTTGGATGCTAAGTGTTTTTGAACATTACGTAAAACCAAGAATAATTTAACGTATTCTGGCTTACCTTTCCATCTTGTATTCAATCTTACAGGATTACTCATTGCAAAACAGTATAAAGAAGGATATATTTTATATTAAAATATTTATCTTAAATCCTGGATCTGTCTGTTAAAAGTGAGCTAATCCATTTTGCTATTCCTTTTAGCCAGTGGGAGACAGAGGAAGAGGGAAGGATTCAATAAACCCACAATCTGAGAAGGACCGAGATGAATTCTGTGAGAATTTCTTATTTGCTGGGCTCCTTTGGATTACTCTAATATGTTATCTCAATTAAACCATATTGCAACACCATTAAGTAAATACAGTTAATAGTTATTTTGATGGTTAAGACCATCAGATTCCAGAATGGTTATAAACCTTGCTCAAATACTATACTAGCCTGGAGTCTGAAGCTCATAGTGTTAACCACTACTTTATATTACAAACCAGTTTTGCCCTATGAATTTTACCTCAAGAAATGAAACATATCGGGTGCATCTTTAACTGAAAAATCCAGATGGAAATATTAAAATAAATGACCAGTAACAGCAGTTATACATGTGTACTGGTTCCAGTATAGACATCTATTTCCTCTATAGTTGAATTGGATGTGAATGATAGGAAAAAGGCTTGGTGCCTTTGTAACCTGCCCCCTTTTCTCCATTGCTTTTGAGCTCAGCTGCCACTGGTCCTTATGCGTTTGCAGTTCCCACAGGCAGAAAGCCTTGTACGATGCGGATCTAGACTGGGCGCGGTGGCTCACACCTGTAATCGCACCACTTTGGGAGGCTGAGGCGGGAGGGTCATGAGGTCAGGAGTTGGAGACCAGCCTTGCCAACATGGTGAGACCCCGTCTCTACTAAAAATACAAAAATTAGCCAGGCATGGTGGCGGACACCTGTAATCCCAGCTACTCGGGAGTCTGAGGCAGGAGAATCACTTGAAACCGGGAGGCAGAGGTTGCAGTGAGCCAAGATCGTGCCACTGCACTCCAGCCTGGCCAACAACAAGAGGGAAACTCCGTCTCAAAAAAAAAGTTGCAGATCTGACTCTCTGCTCTGATCCAGTTCCCCTGCCAAGTGCCTTAGTCCTCCTCCTAATCCAGAATCACCCCAGCTCACCTCAGGCAGTGGCTGCCTCTCTCCTTCCCTCTCAAGCCATAGCATCTTCAGTGGTCGCTGCCATTGACCCGCCTGCCTTGATTGGAGTCATCAAAATCGATTCCCCTGGAGATGCCATTGTGGATGACATCATCTTCCACTTGGAGTCCTCGGTGCCCAGTGCAGTGGCTGGATCACAAGCTCTCACTAAAAATATGTGTTTAACTGGGCAAAAAAAAAAAAAAAAAAAAAAAAAAAATTTTCATCCTGAGATTTTTGGGAATCTGGAAAAACAGGTTCTATTTCTGATTTTTTTCACAACTTTTTATATGAATTTAAAAGAGCAAGTTCATTTAAATAAAATGAATTCTTTGTGTTTTAATTTTTTTGGAGGGGGGGAGAGTCTCACTCTATCACCCAGGCTGTAGTGCAATGGCATGATCTCGACTCACTGCAACCTCCACCTCCCAGGTTCAAGCAATTCTCCTGCATCAGCCTCCTGAGTAGCTGGGACTACAGGAGCCAGCCACTACACCCAGCTAATTTTTGTATTTTTAGTAGAGATGGGGTTTCACCATGTTGGCCAGGCTGGTCTCGAACTCCTGAGCTCAGGTGATCCACCCGCCTTGGCCTCCCAAACTGCTGGGATTACAGGTGTGAGCTACCACACCCACCCTGTGTTTTAATTTTTATCAGACTAGTACATATCTAATATTAAGAACTTAACTAGTGGTGAAATTTATTTATCATTTTGAGAAATAAAACGGTTGTTTTTCTGTTACTTCTCACACTCCAGCTCATTAGACACTAGACACAATGGCTGTGAACTCTGTCACCTGAGTCTTCCCGTGGTAACCTTCAGATTTATTAAACAAAACCTTCACACTGTCCTTCAGAGACTTATCCATTTGGGGCATAGGGAACTGCTTTTTAATGACAGCGGCAGATCAACTCTTCCTTGGGCCTGTTTCCTTCCTCACCACCCCCCACTACAATTATACCACCCTCTTAGTCAAATTACAATCTTTGTGTGGAGTCTGGTGTTTTAAAATCGCATTTTCTTTTCTGCAGAGTTGTGGGTTTTTTGCATTAACGATGACATTTTACATGCATATTTTTCTATATGTATCTACATTGTATTCTGGGTATTCCACGATTTTATCTATCATATTTCCATTCTTCCAAATCATCTTCCGAGAGGCAGCCTTCCTCCTGGGCTCCCCGATTCTTGTCCCAACAGCCAATGGTTACTTTCAGGCCTGTGGCCCAGACAGCACCATGAGGTCCAACCCAATATTCCTGGAAACAATGTCTCTCTCTTTCTTGGGTGATATTTTTGTTTGGAAAGAGCACATCTTCCAGAATCCTGTAAGGACCTCTACGCTGCCCAGAAGTTTTCCTGGAAAACCCTATTCATTTCTGTATTCAAGGGTGTGAACAGATCAAGTTCTACAGCTCCAGGACAGTGAAGGGCCATCCTTGGGAAAGTGAATGCAGAGCTTACCAGACGGCACAATTGCTAACACCGATGAAGGTAATCGGCCCGGTTCCGGAAGTCCTCTCCCTGCGAACACTCCCCCTGCTCCATCCCTGAGTGTCACACAGAAGACGCCGCTCTGGAGGCAGATGCTGGGGGCTGCAGCCATTGTGGGTGGGGCTGATCTCGGGGAAAGGGGACCCAGATGTCAGAGGAAGGCCCATAGCGTAGCCTGGTATGTAGCACTGTCTAAGATATAGAGCTTGAGTGTGATGCTGAACAAGGCACACCGCCTTAGACAGTTTCTTCACCATTGAAACCAATGGACCTGCCCCCAGAGAGCTGCAGGATGGATGGACAGGAAGATACGTAAAGCTCCCTGTACCCGCTGCAGAAAACAGGCAGGTGCCTTCAGGCATTGAGACTCACTCGAATGTAATTTCAACGAAGGAAAATGTTGTTTTTCAGTAGCTACATTGCCAGCACTGACAGCAAAGTCTAGACCGTATTTTTTGTTGTTGTTGAATGAATGGATTTTTCATTCTCCTTCTCTGCTTCTTTCCTCATAGATAATTACATTAGAGGATTCTAATGGTGATCTTTTCGTTTTTTCTTTATTCTATGATGCAAGTTTGTTTTTTTGTTTTTTTTGAGGTGGAGTCTCCCTGTGTCGCCCAGGCTGGAGTGCAGTGGCGCCATCTCAGCTCACTGCAACCTCTGCCTCCTGGGTTCAAGCCGTTCTCCTGCCTCAGCCTCCCAAGTAGCTGGGACTACAGGTGCACACCACCATGCCCGGCTAATTTTTGTATTTTTAATATAGGCGGTGTTTCGCCACATTGGTCAGGCTGGTCTTAAACTCCTGACCTTGTGATACGCCTGCCTCAGCCTCCCAAAGTGCTGAGAATACAGGTGTGAGCCATCACGCCCGGCCGATGCAAGCTTTTATATGTTCTTGAGAAAATTATTACAGGGTGTTTTTTCTCATATTCTTTAATATTTTTCAGAACAAATGCTCATTTGCTTTTTATTTATTTAAATTTGAGCACCATGCAATTTTTACTAAGCTGAATAGCTAGGCTAACTACTATGATCTTTTTAATTAAAGAAAAGAAAAACAGGGTCACAGGTTATGCAAAAAAAGAAAAAAGCATTCGCAGAATATAAAAATCTGACCCCCCAAAAAACAAAGCAAAACAAAACATCACTGATCTAAACATATTTGAAAGTTACTTTAGAAGTTAAAATAATTTTTTAACTCTCTTCACTGAAATATCTCTTTGGCTGAGTAGTTTTGTAGTTGTGATATGAACATAAGACAGGTAATAAAGATAAATTACTAAAGGAAGAAATTACATAAGCTTAGACTTGACTAAAGTCATAATCTATTCTCATCACTTGTTTAATCCTTAAACATATGAAACTCGAACTTAGTCACTTGCTTTAAATTCTGTGGTCAGAAAAAATGATTTGTCACTCCAAGGTGTTGAAAATTAACTATGCATCTCTCTGATATTTAATCTATCAGGACTACCAATGATTAATATTTAATCTTCTATCCCCTATTAATAGTTATGAGGAATACTGCACATTTAAGGGAAGAAAAGGAATCAAAGCTGTGCCTCCTGTTGCATACTGAATACAGCTGTTCTGCAGAGACACAGAGTGCAGAAGCAGGTCGTAAAACTGCTAATTAAAAGTACCAAGTGCGCTAGTAACCTACGGAACTCTCCTAGAAAGAAGGAAAACTTTTAGGGTAAAATAACTTAATTGACTCCCGAGGGAATGAATTGCAAAAGGCCAACCAGCCACACAAACCTGTAGGGGTCTGGCAGAGACATCTTTGAAGAAAGTTGGTTGACTAGGAGGTTCTGCATAATACCTTGTGAATGTGGCTACTAATTAGTTTAAAGCCTATCCATGACTGAAATGGATTAACCTTTCTCACAGCCACGTATGAAGTGTGCAGGCTGCAAGTCCAGGGAGAGCATGCTTGTGGTAGAAACGCTGGGCAAAAGACTGCTCTCAGCCATGGGCAATCACTAAGACTAAGCAATGGTGCAGGCAAAGCTTCTAAAACTAATGTGTTTTCTATTGCAACTCGGAATATTTGGCTATACCACTTCCATGCATATTCTATTATTTATTCTGTTTTGTTTAATCGCTGTGGCTGGAGAAGAAGTGATCTCACGGGAAAGTCATTGCGCGATTCAGAAATCCTTACTATCCTCTGTGGATGGGAATGTAAGTTAGTATAGCTACTATGGAAAATAGGATGGAGGTTTCTGAAAAACTAAAGATAGAACTACGGTATGATCCAGCAATCCCACTACTGGGTATTTACCCAAAGGAAAAGAAATCATGATATCAAAGGGACACCTGCACTCCCTTGTTAATTGCAGCACTATTCACAACAGCTAAGACATGAAATCAGCCTAAGCATCCATCAGTGGATGGATGCATAAAGAAAATGTGGTACATATACCAATTAAATACTATTCAGCCATAGCAAACAATGAAGTAATGTGTTTTGCAGCAACATATATGGAACTGGAGGTCATTAGGTTAAGTGAAATAAACCAGGCACGGAAAGACAAATATCACATGTTCTCACTCATATGTGGGAGCATAAAACGTTGATCTCAGGGAGCTAGAGAGTAGAATGATAGAGACCTGAGGCTAGAAAGGATGTGTAGATTGGGGAGGAGGAATGACGAGGTCGGTTAATGGATAGAAACATAGACTTGATAGAAGGGATACATTTTGATATTCCATAGCCCAGCAGGTTTACTCTATTGTATATTTCACAACAACTATAAGATTTGAAACATTCCCAACACAAAGAAATGATAAACATTTGAGGTGATGGATATGCTAACTACCCTACTTTGATCATAACACGTTCTGTGCACCTATCAAAATATCACATGTACCAATAAATATGTGCAAATAGTATGTATCAATTTAAAAATCTTGGCTATAACATGATTAAGGAATTTATGGAAAGTCAGAGCATAAGCAGATTAAATCTAAAAGGCAGTCTTGGCTGGGCTTGGTGGCTCATGTCTGTAATCCCAGCACTTTGGGAAGCACAGGTGGTGAATCACTTGAGGTCAGGAGTTCGAGACCAGCCTCGCCAACATGGTGAAACCCCATCTCTACTAAAAATACAAAAATTAGCTGGATATGGTGGCAGGTGGCTTAGTCTCAGCTACTTGGGAAGCTGAGACAGGTGAATCACTTGAACCCCGGAGGCAGAGGTCACAGTGAGCTGAGATCATGCCACCCCATTCCAGCCTGGGCAGCAGAAGAAGGTTCCATCCCCCCAAAAAATAAAAATTAAAACTAAAATTAAAAAAAATTAAAAGGCAGTCTGACAGGTGAACACACCAAAGAGAAGTGGGTGCTGCAGTGGGTGAAACAGGGCGGACATCCGAAAAGGCGTGGGGTGGATCCCAGGCTTGAGCCTCGTGAGCCAAGCCTCCAAGGAATCGCTCTAGGGGTGCTGGGCAGCTCTGGTTCTTGGTGTCAGCGGTGATGTGGTCCATGAACTAGATGGGTCAATTTAAAACACTGGAGATGGGAATGAAAATAGCCACAATTGGTAATATTAAATGAATTGCACTGAGTGGTCACCCTGAGAGAAGGGCTCTGGAGAGAGGAGGCTGGTTGTGGAGTTAAGAATCTCTCCATTGTCTAGTTGCAGAACTTGAGCGTTAGCGAGGCAGGAAGACATGCATCTTGGGGACTGAAAAGTCCTGGACTCATCTCAGAGGCGGTTTGGGGCTTACATAGCTACAATCAATAACCATCCTATCAGAGAGTCCCCGACTTCATCAGCATAGAAAAGAATCACTTCTTGGAGTGCATAAAGACATTGTTCAGAAGGAGATTGAAAAAAAAAAATTCAACTTGTGTGATGGTAAAGCCAACTCTGCTGGGTCAGCGTCCATCTTCTCTAACAATATAGCCAAATTATTGGGAACAGGACACCCATCGTGTCTCTTTCCAATCTTAGATTAATTTGCATATAATCTTATTATTATTATTTTTTTTTTTTTGAGACAGAGTCTTGCTCTTGTTGCCCAGGCTGGAGTGCAGTGGCGTGATCTCGGCTCACTGCAACCTCTGCCTCACAGGTTCAAGCAATTCTCCTGCCTCAGCCTACCAAGTAGCTGAGATTACAGGCACCCACCACCATGCCCAGCTAATTTTTGTATTTTTAGTAGAGACGGGGTTTCACCATGTTGGACAGACTAGGGTCGAACTCCCAACCTCAGGTGATCTGCCCACCTCGGCCTCCCAAAGTGCTGCGATTACAGGCATGAGCCACCACACCTGGCCTGCATATAATAATTTCTAATGAAACAGATATGAATTAGTTTAGACAAATGCTTCATGATGAAAATATTATGTGAGGCACTTATGTAATTTTACTTTTTCTAGTAGTGATAGTAAAAACAAAGGGATGCAGGTGAAATTAAATTTAATAATATATTTAATTTGATGCATTCAAAATATCCTTTCCACATGTAATCAATATAAACGTTATTAATACAATATTTCACTTTTTCATGCTGCCTTTGAAACCTTTGGATTTTGTATTTTACACTTAGCGTCCATCTCACTGTCCACCAGGCACATTGAAGTGCTCAGCAGTCACATGTAGCTGAATGCTGTTTTAGAGTCAGCCTCTCGATTTAGAATTCTTAACTTCCCTGTGTTTAGATGTGCGTTTAATGATTCAGTAGCCTGATGTTTCTGCTGGAGTATTGTCACAGCTGATTCAGATGAGATTTCGGCCACTGTGGAATGGAACACCAGGAAGGAAAATGGCGTGGAACTTCACTGAGTTCACGGAGCAGGCTGTTTGGGATACTGAGTTCACAGAGCAGGCTGTTTGGGATCGCTTTGGTTGCTTGCCTGCTAATAAAAATTCCTTCCTGTCATCTGACACCTGTTGTCACAGTAACACACCATCTACTCAAGAGATGCGTGGGAGAAAATGCCTACAGCTCTCACTTCCCTCCTGCAATTCTCAGCTATTAGTAACCACCTACAAAAACAACCTAATCATGAAGGACAACATCAGATTTCGCTAGTTCACAATGTTAAATTTCATGATGACATATTCTACCAATTATCCTAAAGCTAATATCTTCTCCATGTCTTTAATTTACTGTCTATTTAATGACTTTAGTCAATTCAGTCAAATACAACTTTGGAGACAAAAATACCCTACTTTTGGTTTGATTTTTATTGGTCCATATGTAATTTCGCTGCATGGTCGCTTAACTCTGTAACTGTCAGTTTTCTCAACTGTGTAATAAGGAAGTTGGGGGAATTCTGCTTCTGATTCAGATATTGAAGTTAGAGGAGACCATCACTCTCACCATAAAATAAAATGAGTCAGAAAAACTACAAAAACCATAGTTTTTTTTTAACCCTAAGAAAACTCAAGACACAAAAGTGTAAATAAACTGAACAGAAAATCAGAAGCGACCTTCCACGAGTCGGGTCAACTGCAGAAGTGAGATGGATCTGACACAGCTTCGGTAAGGAGGAGTCAGATGAACTTCTCCTGGGTGTTCAGTGGCCTGGGGGAGTTGTATGTCAGAGCTGACGTTGGTCGAGCTCCAGCAATGGAAACAGCCTTCTCCCCTGCCCACCTGTCCATGGGTCTCACTGAGTGCCCAAGTGTCATGTGTCAAAGGGGATTGAGGGAGGGGGTGGATAAAAACAGCTGGAAGCGACGGCTCCCTGAGATCTACAAGGGCTCTTGCGAGTTCCAGGGAAGAGCTGTCTGACGGTGGGCAAGTACCGGGGCAGAAGGTGGAGATGAGTTGATCTGAGGGGCCCCCCACCCTTCAGAGGGAGGGTAAGGCAGCATCTGTTGACCTGGGTTTTCTCCTGAAAACTGTGGGGTCAGGGGAGGAAACTTGAGATTTTAAAAGTCGAATGCATCCCAGGCTTTCAATTACTGAAGACTAGAGGAGTTGAGTAGGTCCACAGGAGAGAAACCATCTAAAGCAGCTACCAAGGCCCTGCGGGATGCCCCTTAGGAGGCCTGAGAGCCCAGCACTGCCGGCGAAGAAAACGGCCCTGGACTCAGAAAGTAGAAGCCAGGAACTGAGATCAAAGGGTTTTCAGCTGCCCCCAGAGCAGGCCATAGACCCTCCAGCAAGGACAGATCCTGCATGGATCCAAAGCAGGTGGCTCGGCTTGGGAGGACAAGCGACCTCAGGATTCCCACGTGTGCTGGGACCCCGGACCTCAGTGGAAGGAGAGTGCTGACCTCCAACTCGACTGGAATCCTGTGATAACCTGAATCAAATTATAACTAATCAGCTCCACACCCGGCTCAAATCTGATCGGCTCAACCATCACCCTAAGGGCTGACCTGAAAAGAGCCTATACTGTTACACATTCAAAAACTGGGAAGTAATTTTCACATTGCTTTTCAAAAATTGACTCACATGCTTAGGATAAACCCCACTTAGATATGACACATTGTTCTTGTTGTTTACTATTAGATTCAATTTTCTAAAATTGTCTTTAGGACAAGTGCATCTATAATCATAAAAGATACGGTAACGTGTTTGTCCAGATTTGGTACAAATATAAACCACAATATGGATGAACCTTGCAAATATAATATTATGCAAGGAAACCAGCATAAAATAATATAAACTGTATAATTCTATTTACATAAAGTTAAAATAAAAAGCAAGCAAGATGCTATTCTAGAGAGTCAGATTTAAGTGTTAAAAATGTAAAGAAAAGCAGTAAAGGGATCATCATAAATGTCAGGATGGGGCTACCTGGGAGGGGACGGCTGGGAGGAGGGGCGGTGACTAGGTTAAGGGAAAAAATCGGGGGTGGGAAGGTTATTCATTTCTCAAACTGTGTGTGGATTGCATATGTGTGTATTTTGTGAGAAATTTCTGAGAAGTACTTTTGCTTTCTGGGAATTAGAAGAAGGGGGATTGGTAGGTACATATTTTCGTATGTTTATTGTATTCTATTAATGAAGGTTTGACAATAAAAAAATTGCAAAACGCACGTATTCATACAAACAAACTCAAGAAAATAGACCCACAGTCATAAAATGAAACAATTAATAGGAACAGTCCCCTAAACAATATATTGATATATTTAGCAGAGTGGAACCTTAAGAAAACATGAGCAAAATTCCAAGGGGTTTGCCAGGGGAGGTGAATGTGTGTGGCAATGGAAAATTTCAGCAGCATCGTGAACAGTATGCAAAAATGGAAATGTCAGAAATATAAAAAATAACATCAGAAATTAAAAAAAATACAAGAAGCACTTGATTGCAGACTGAACATGGCCTAAGAAATGGTTAATGATTTAGAAGGCAATCTGATTAAAATATCTCAGGAAAAAAATACTGAAAAATATAATAGAACAAATCACCTGAGAACTGAGGCAAAGTAATTATAAATGGTCCAACATGCACGTAATTTAAGTCCCAGAATAAAATAAGAAAAAAATAAAGAAAAGGAAATATTTGAGACGATAACAATTGAAAACTTTCTAAAACTGATGCAAAACATAAACTCACACATAAAATGACAGAAATCTAAATCTAGGGACACATGTCCCTAGTCGCAATGGAAAAATAGTTGTCAAAAAGTATGTTAATATTAGAACAAAAATAGAAAAACAAATAAGAAATAAGGTTTATATGTAACAAACATTATGAGGAAGATTTGAAGCCAAGAGTAAAAATAATGTCTCTTCCCATCCCTCCTTTTGACCAGAAAATATTGTGATCTAGTGAAAAAGGGTCTGGATTTGGCTAACAGAAGGGGACAGGTCTCTACCTACTCTGCCCTGAGCTTGTTGGTTGACCCTTTCTCTAACCAATCCTTTTCGGGTCTCTTTTCTACCAGTAGAATTTTTAACACCTGAAATTGTCACAAACACTTACTGCCCTTTGCTATCAGACGCCAGGGCAGAGAGGCTCTGGCTGTCTTCTGCTATTTATCCCCAGCCCCCAGAACAATGTCTCAGAACAGCTGCTCAGCAAGTATCCATCGATTGAAGATGGCAGGAAGGTCTCAGCGCCTGTCTCTCTAAATACAAAACCACTTCTACTTCTAGAACAAATTTGAAGATAAACATCAACCTGAGAGAAATAGTGATGAATAATCCAGCTCCACTAGAAAGACAAATTTCTTAAACATTAATCCTTAAGTGGAAGCTGTGAAAGAATTCTCCTGCTTGCTTACTTCATGCCTTTGTGAGGTTTGATCGCATTTCCTACCTGCCAGATATTGTCCTTTCCCTCCTCTTTATCCAACCCAAGATTTCATTGATTCGTTGATTTTAATGCATAAAAAATGCAATGAAACTAACGTTTCAGGAGCATGTATGAACTATATTACAGCAGATAAACATGTACAGGTGTGCACAGAAATAGCTGGTACACACAGTTCCTTCCCTGAGATCACGGCAAGTTGAAGTTACCAGGAAGTGCACGGTAAAGGAAGCTGCTTGTGGTCAGTATTTCAAATTTACGTGCATTCAGGGCAGAAATCGTGCTGCTGTGTTTTAAAAATATAATTATATATACACACATATTAAAAAATTAAAGCTCTGTTAAAAAGTCAAAAAAGAAGTAGCGAGTAAGGAAAATCCTCACGCTGAATAAATATTGTCTCACTCAATGAGAAATGATAATTACACATGTAGTCAAGATGATGATTAAATATGACAATGTATTGCCCATAGAAAATGGAAAATAAACTGTAAACTAATGAAAGTATTTCAAATAATGCCTGTCAGGATGTGCAAAGTTCTGAGTGGGAATATTTCATCTCTAATGCACAGTTCTGTCCACCTGCCCTTCATCATGATCTCTTAAGCTATTTTCAGATGACAAACCCTTCCTTCTTTCTTATGAAAAATTTGCTTAATACAGGATTATTATTTCAATAATCCTATTACATTAATCAATCAAACTTTGGCAAGTTTAAAGTGTTTTACCTTCAAGTAGGTTTTTTTCTCACAGAGATAATAATTTTATAATAAATGCCTGGTATTCTAATAGAAGAACATTTTCAGAAATTGACTGGTAAACAGCAAAGGTAATCTCTTTTGATGTCCCTGGAATCTAGTCATGCTACAGGATGTTTGAGAAAACACGCATGCACACATCGGAACTTCAAAATATAACTTAACAAGTCAGCCTCTATATATCACAAGTGCTATGTTTTACTATGTAAGAGGAATACAAATACTTCTAATTCATCTTCATAATCAATATCATTTTGAAATGCACAGGTTAAAATTGTGTACTGCATGATGGCATATATTCATAAACAGATGAAATAAAAGAATGATCACCAAAAGAGTCTTTTATTTAAAGGCTGGATGGATTTTTGAAGATTTTTAATCTCTTCTTTATTTTTTGTACTTATGTGTATTTTTATAATGAGATTATTTTTATCCTGAGGATGCATTTTTATATTATCAGAAGTACGATTGTATTAGTTTTTTAGGGCTGCCATAAAAATTTCCATAAACTGGGTGGCTTAAAATAGAAATATATAGTCTCACAGTTCCGAGGCTGGAAGTTCAAAATCAAGGTGTCAGCAGAGCCATGCTCCCTCTGAGACTTGGAGATAAAGGGTCCTTCCTGCCTCTTCCAGCTCTTGGTCGACCAGGGACTCCTGGCTTGTGGCCACATCAATCCAGCCTCACTTGACTTTCTGTCTGTGTCTTCACATCATCTTCCTCCTGCGTTTGTCTGTGTGCAAATGTCCCTTTTTATAGGGGGTGCCAGTTATACAGGATTGGGTTCCTCCCTCATCATTTTAATTTGACTTTCTCTGTCAGGATGCTATTTCCACATAAAGTGACAGTCTGAGGTTCCCAGGGTTAGGATTTCACCTTATCTTTTTACGAGGGAGATAATTCAACTCATAATAGTAATGAATCTTCATTCTGAAAATAGGAATAAAAAGACTGATGTACATAGTCTTTGCCTAGACATTTTCACAAGTTAAAAAAATCAATTTCTGTTTGGTGCCTTTTAATTTAATTAATATGCTTTCTAATATTTATATTTGTGAAATGGACAGAAGGAAAAATATCAGTATTGTTAATTAGTCATTTTGGCAATCATCACAAGGCTAAATGCTTTTAATATTTTCAAGTTGTTTTCCTCCTTGCTTTTCATATAAACCATTTAATCAACATGTTCTTCATTGATATGGCAGATTTTTAATTTGTGGCTTAAAATTATTACATGAAATTACTGAAAGTTACATATGACAGCTTCAACAAAGACTTGTAATCAAATAAGAAAAGACCCACTAAAGCATTTTGTGTTTTTAGTCATCACACTAATTAAAAGCATATTTCTGTTCTCTTAAACATTGAGCTTCTGCCTTAGAGTCACATAAATTCTTGCTTCCAGTTTTCCACAAGGACCATATTTCAAAAGCTATTATCTTAAAATTACAGTTGAAATGACTTGTTCAGCTAACATTAGTTACCTTCCTCTTCTCTATATTTAATTCTCGCTCTTTCCTGATTATCCAAGCTGTCAATCTCTGTATTTCACAAAACTATATTTATAACTTCACGGTTATTAAGGCTGATTTTATATGTCCTGATTTAAACTGAATTTCTAAAAAAATTCTAGAGGCAAATGTTCTTTAGAGAATGAGTCACTTCCAGACACCTGCCTGGTGCCCAGGTGTGCACTGAGGCAGGCTGGAGTGACTGGCTCTGGAAACAGTGCAAGAGGACCTTGTTGCTGCTTAGCAACACCATCCTCAGGACCACAGGCGGGAGGCCTTCATCTCAGCACAGTTTTAGAAAGAACAAAGGTCTAGGGACACAGAAGAAAAAAACCTCTTCAGGATATCTACCTCAAATCCAAAAAATACCTGTATTCTTATAGCTACAGTGGATTCGATAGCTGTATTGTATTGAGTTTATAGAGGAAAATACCTGAATATTATCATTTAGTTATATTTAAAGTGATCATACTCTTTTCTTCTTTTCTACCTGGAGCTCCTCACCCTCAGGCGATTTCAGAGGATGTTGACACGTTACCAGTGGGTGAGGAAAGCGTGAGGAAATAAAAGTGGATTGACTTCTTGGATTGAAAGTCCTTCTGGAAGGAGAACTAATAATGCTGACATTGGCTAAGGGAAGTGTTTGCAAGCTCCATGGGCATCTCATTGCTGATGCTCGAGCACTACTTCATCACACAATACCCGAAGATGAACTAACAGTCACACTCCTTCCCTACGTTAGCCTGAAAATGAATGCATCAAAGAGCTAGAAAATAAGTCAAGAATCACGTGGTACTAGGCAGCGTGAATTTTGAATCTCTTGGTTATAAAACTTCTGGTTAGGCTGGGAGCTGTGGCTCACACCTGTAATCCCAGCACTTTAGGAGGTGGAAGTGGATGGATCACCTGAGATCAGGAGTTCGAGACCAGCCTGGTCAACATGGCAAAACCCCATCTCTACTAAAAATGCAAACATTAGCCGGGCATAGTGGTGCATGCCTGTAGTGCCAGCTACTCAGGAGGCTGAGGCGGGAGAATCACTTGGGAGGCAGAGGCTACCGTGAGCTGAGATCGCGCCACTCCACTCCAACCTGGGCGACAGAAGGAGACTCTGTCTCAAACAACAACAACAACAATTTCTGGCTAATAATTGCATATTGTATATATGCGTGTGTGTGTGTGTGTGTGTACTTTCTGTAACAAATGAGCTTTGTATAAATGTTTGCAAATCTTAGTCGTGACTTCAGCATGAAAGCTTAGTTTATTAAGAAATAATTTCCATAAAGAATCCTTTCCAAATAATCAAATGTCGCTGAACTTGTCTAATTCTTCTTTTCTAGGACAGTAGATTTTGCTTTCCCTTTCCTTAGTACTCTGAGATGCAATTAATGAAGGCATTAGGATTTAAATAAATAAAACGTATTCAACATTTCTGCTGCTGACTGACTGTTCTCCTCCACCCTCTTTTGTGAGAAGCAAATTCAGCAGTGAGGAGAACGGCCTGCCTGCCTGATCCTTGTCACCGTGACCCACCAAGCCAGTCACTGTCACGTGTAAATAAGACATTTATCCAGGCATGTCCTGCATTGTTCTGTGGTATAAAACCCTGTGAAGATGATTAAGATGATTTATGTGTCATTTTGAAGTTACAGACTAGCAGCAGTAGCTGAATTCTTTTTCTGGGTCCACCAGAGGAAGGAAGGTAGACAGACAGCAATGCCTAAACACACGGCCAGAGCTGGAGCTGATCTAGGGGAAAGTGTAGACATACAAATACAAGGGCAGACTACATGGTGGCCTGTGTACATCAATTTATCCAACTTTTAAATGTAATTTTAAGTTAAAAGAAATGTTAGTTCTGTCCTCGTGTGATTCCTAGCTAGCAGCTCCTTCCCTTGGACGCAGTCAGTTTTTGGTAAATTAAAATGGTGAAAACAGCAGTGACATTCCACTTTCGCTCTGTTCCTCTCCAGATCTTTTCATAGTTGTCCTTTTTCTTGCTTCCGTAGGGGACAATTAATGTGGGGTCTGCCCAGTCCCCACCTGCCTGTCTTAGGCTAGCTGAAGGGGTATTTGAATTTAAAAATTTAGAAGGTTTCTTGCTTCTCTATGAGTGATCTTTACCAGCCCACATCTCTGAAAAAGGAGTCTTTGAAGACAGAAAAGACTCATTAGAAATAGGGTTTACCAAGGCTGAAGTACTTTATTACATAGTTTTTATCTTAGTGTTGTTGATAAAAATAATCAAACTCTTAAAAAATTTTATAGACATTTATTCTGAGCCAAATATGAGTGACCAAGACCTGAGGCACAGTCTTAAGAGGTCCTGAGAACATGTGCCCAGGGTGGTCAAGTTACAGCTTGGTTTTATACACTTTAGGGGGACATAAAACATCAATCAATACATGTAAGGTATACCCTGGTTTGGTCTGAGTAGGCAAGACAACTTGAAGTGGGGGCTTACAGGTCAGAGGTGGATTCAAAGATTTTATGATTGGCAATTGGTAGAATGAGTTAAGTTAGTATCTAAGAATCTGGAATAGAAAGGAGTGTCTAGTTTAACATAACGTGTTGTGGAGACCACAGTTCTTATTATGTAGATGAAGTCTCATAGGTGACCATCCATAGAGGCAATAGATGTCAAATGTTTTCTATTCAGACCTTTAAAAGGTACTAGACTCTCAGATCACCTCTTCAGGATCAGAAAAAGACCTGGAAAGGGACGGTGATTTTCTACAGAACGTAAATTTTCCCCAACAGAGACAGCATTGCAGGGCCATTTCAAAATTTGTTAAAGATATATTTTGGGGCAAAATATTTTTATTTCTTTCAGGAACTGCTGTCTTGTGATGCTATACCACAGTCAGGTTGGAATTTGGTATCTTATTGCTACAGAGTCTTAATTGTCTCTGTTGAAAATAAAGGCAGAGATTTCCCTCTTCTTTTCCTGCCCTGTGAAGAGGTGGCTTCTGCCATGATTTTAAGTTTCCTGAGGCCTCCCCAGCCATGCGGAAATCTGAGTCAATTAAACCTCTTTTCTTTATAAATTACTCAGTCTCTGGTATTTCTTCATAGCAGCCTGAGAATGGACTAATACACAGGGTCTCACTCTGTTGCCTAGGCTGGAGTACAGTGGTGCAAACACAGCTCACTGCAGCCTTGAAATCCTGTGCTCAGGTGATCCTCCTGCCTCAGCCCCTGAAGAGTTGAGATTTCAGGTTTGAGTCACCTCATCCAGCCTAGGCAAGTGTATTACTTACTGGAAATTAATAGAGCTATTCTCTTTTTACCCTATAAGTGTTTTTCCTCTGAAGTCTGTCATTTGAATTCTAGGGTAACCAGCAGCTTATCAGAATTAATTACATTTGTGAATTGTGCCCTCATCTGTGCACTTAATGTAGATTTGGAAAAAAAAATCTCTGTGTTAAATCTTAAGGACGTGCTTCCTATTTTATTTGAGTGAAATATTACGGCAAAGGAGAAATACTTTCAAAATCATGGCGTTAATTCATCTATTCTCTTATTTAAAAATGTTTATAAAGGATACTAGATATTAGGAATAAAAAGAGAAAATGGATCTTGTCCTTGGGATATCCACTTTTCCTAGGGGTAACAGGCAACTTTTAAAGTAGCAAATGAGGCTGGGCATGATGGCTCACACCTGTAACCAGCACTTGGGGAGGCCGAGGTGGGCGGATCACCTGAGGTCAGGAGTTTGAGACCAGCCTGGCCAACATGGTGAAACCCCATCTCTACTAAAAATACAAAAATTAGCCAGGCATAGTGGCGGGCGCCTGTAATCCCAGCTACTTGGGAGGTTGAGGCAGGAGAATTGCTTGAACCTGGGAGGTGGAGGTTGCAGTGAGCCAAGATCGCACCATTGCACTATAGCCGAGTGAAACTCCATCTCAAAAAAAAAAAAAAAAAAAAAAGTAGCAGATGAAATCAATGAGACCAGTGAGAAGTAGGGGGAAAAAACCCAACCTGATTAAGTGTAGGGCATGTGTAGCAATTTCACATGAAATAATTTTGAAATGACCCTTATAGTATGAAGCAATTTTGTTTGAATGATACATGGGGAAGATCCTCTCCATTAAAACTCTACAAATGTGTATAATACAGACTGAAATGGAAAATACGTTATTAGGAGGAAGTGCTCTGAAGAAGCAGCTCTGTCCCAGTGTTTAACTCGCCCGTGCTTTTGACCTGTCCTGTA
This sequence comes from Homo sapiens, assembly GCF_000001405.40. Classification (NCBI taxonomy): domain Eukaryota; kingdom Metazoa; phylum Chordata; class Mammalia; order Primates; family Hominidae; genus Homo; species Homo sapiens. The sequence goes on along the minus strand of NC_000008.11, from coordinate 2,645,165 downwards.
GGGACCCGCTCCCTCCTGCAATGCTCTCTGTCACTGGCACCCTCCAATGTGGGCTGCTGGCCACCTCCTCTGCCCTCTTTCCCAGGGAAGCTGGGTTTTACCTTAGCAGACCACACTGTTCAGCAACTTTGCGTTCATTAATTTCCTATTCTTGTTTCATTTTAATAATGGAAAACAGTTTTGCTTAGTTATTATTCTGAAAGTCCAATTAGGAGTCTTATCATTTGTAATCAAATCATTTAAATACTAATGGGAATGAAAATGGTGTGTGGCACTTCAGTATTACTTAGTCTCTCTCAGCAAGAACATTCTTTAGTCAAAATCAAATGTCTCCTTTCTTTCAACGTTTACTTCTCTTAAACAATAACAGTTTAAAAATATTCCAGGGCGGGGAGCAGTGGTTCACGCCTGTAATTCCAGCACTTTGGGAGGCCAAGGCCAGCAGATCACCTGAGGTCGGAAGTTCGAGACCAGCCTGATCAACGTGGAGAAATCCTGTCTATACTATAAATACAAAATTAGCCAAGCATGGAGGCGCATGCCTGTAATCCCAGCTACTTGGGAGGCTGAGGCAGGAGAATCAGTAGAACCCGGGAGGTGGAGGTTGTGGTGAGCCAAGATTGTGCCATTGCACTCCAGCCTGGGCAAGAGGAGCAAAACTCCGTCTCAAAAAAAAAAAAAAAAAAAAAATTCCAGTTTAACCATCTGAGGTTTTCTCCATACTTCTCAACTCAGAGATTCCTAAAACAAAGAAATACACACAGGTAGGCCTAAGATTATGCTTTGCATATTTCAGAGGAACAGCCCTCCAAGATTTCTGTTACAGTCAAGAATACCTGTTTCCTTCAACTAGAATTCCCCTATTCTACTCTGACAAGCATTGCACCCTCTTAGTTTCATATTGTCTTTAATTTTCCTCCCATACTTAATGTTATGGAAAAGGTAGGAAACATGTTCCTGATTTAGGAAAAAGAAATATTCTACTACTATTAAATACTCTATGACATATCCTGAAAGTTTTTATCTGTCAATCTACCTTTCTATTTATTTATTTATTTATTTATTTATTTATAGATATGGGGTCTCACTTTGTTGCCCAGGCTGGTATAGAAATCCCAGCCTCAAGCTTGGCCTCCCAAAGTGCTGGGACTGCAGGCATGAACCTCCACGCCCGGCCTATGTATCTTTCCATCTAACTATCTCTCTTTCTATCTATCTATCTGCCTATCTCTGTCCCTTCTTCTCCTTCTCCTCTTCCTCCCCTTTTTCCTCCTCCTCCTACTCCCGTTTCCTTCTCCCCTTTGTCCTCCTCCTTCTCCACCTTCCCATTCCTTCTCTCCCCCCCACACACAAACACACACACAAACACACACATGTGCAGATGAAATGGCTATGTTGACTGGGGTATATAGCCTGGAGTTCCCCGTCATGCACCAGGAAAATTTAGGACACAGACACACAAGGAATTTAGGAGCGGAGGTTTCATAGGCAGAAGAGAAGAGGATGAGAAACAGCTCTCTCTAGAGAGAGAAGTCCCTGAGCAGAAAGGAACAAGCGGTGGTGGACGGTCCAAATTTTACAGTCCAGTTTGTGAAGGCGGTGTCTGATTTACGTAGGGCTCACAGATTGGTTCCTTCAGGTATGATGTCTAGATAGCCTTAGGGAGGCTGGTGGCCCCACCCTAATCTTATTATGCAAATAGGCTTTCCAGTTGATGGAAGCCATCTTGTTTGGTTCTTACTGTACGAGTGGTTGACAAAGAGAAGGGCACCTTGAACATGTCTAGTCCCCGCTTCCTGCCAGCATTCACCGGTGCAAGCTCCCAGTTGGCTTGTCTATGTCTGCAGCTTGGCCTTACAGGCTGCTCTTTGTTAAGACGGTGATTTAGGGCTGCTTTTCCTTAAAGAGAAAGCCTTACAGGGGACTTCTGTACCCTATCTGTCTAAGTGCTTTCTTCTTAACTCCTATTATCACAGACACGCACCCAAATATGACTGGGGGAGATGCTGCTGAGGCTGCTGTCCCGTCCCACATTTTACCATCCATAAATCTCCACGGACATCGATCTTGAAGAGTATGGATTTTTTTTTTTTCAGAGCCTATTACCCTCAGGGAAGACAAGCTACCTGCTGTTTACTAGGAATGAGATGTCCCAGGGGGCTAAAACCTAACTCCCATTTTTTTTTTTTTTTTTTTTTTTTGCCTTGTGAAATCTAATTAGAAAATCATTCAGTTAAAACAATTAAGGTATAGTTCATTTTATGTTACAAAACAGTTCAAAGCCAACAAATTAAAGGCACAAATGCTCTATGCCAGTGGTTCTTAAATGTGTTTTCAAGTCCTTTAGGAGTGTGCTGAATTGGTTGTACTACGTACTTACTTGAATTTCTGGAAGCAAGGGGCAAAACTGTGTGGGTTCATGGGTTGTGGTTTATGTGTCTATGTTCATTATTCTGGTAGAAAACTGATCCTGACTTTAAAGTCTTAGAATTTTTTTTATCATGTATTTTTTGCATTAATTTTAAGACTTTAAAATACTGCACTGGGGCCGGACATGGTGGCTCATGCCTGTAATCCCAGCAGTTTGGGAGCCCAAGGAGAGTGGATCACCTGAAGTCAAGAATTCCAGACCATCCTGGCCAACATTGCCAAACCCCATCTCTACCAAAAACACAAAAATTAGCCAGGTGTGGTGGCAGGTGCCTGTAATTCCAGCTACTCAGGATGCTGAGGCAGGAGAATCACTTGAATCCAGGAGGTGGAGGTTGCAGTGAGCCAGGATCATGCCACTGCACTCCAACCTGGGTGAGAGAGCAAGATTGTGTCTCAAAAAATAAAATAAAATAAAATAATGACACAGAGTGAGGTCATAGCTATCTCCAGAATTATGAAGAACTACTAGACTCCTGAGTCAATGATAAAATTGATGGGGAGGCCAGGCATGGTGGCTCACGCCTGTAATCCCAGCACTTTGGGAGGCCAAGGCAGGCGGATCATCTGAGGTAAGGAGCTCGAAACCAGCCTGGCCAACATGGTGAAACCCCGACTCTACTCAAAAAACAAAAATTAGCCAGGCGTGGTGGCAGGTGCTTGTAACCCCAGCTACTTGGTTGGCTAAGGTGGGAGAATCACTTGAACCTGGGAGGCAGAGGTTGCAGTGAGCTGAGACTGCGCCACCTGCACTCCAGCCTGGGCGACAGAGCGAGACTCCGTCTCAAAAAAAAAAATTGCATTAAATATTATTTGTCTTGATAACTGAGTTTTTTCCCCTCTAAATTTTGTGCCTGAGCTAAGCTAAGTGCCTCCTTCACTCCATCCTCTCAGTCCTGGGAGGGCCTCAGAGCTTAGTTTAAGTACTGAAGAGACTGAGGACTTCACAATTGTTTCCCTTTTTCTTTTTCTAAATTAATTATCATCAGAATGAGAGCAAAATAAATCACCACTAGTAGAAAAACATCAATGATGACATAAAACATATCTCATTTTACTTGCAGAACATCCAAATGCTGGTGTATTCTGAGCCGTCTCACCATCCACCAGATTCTTTAGTGTAGATTCCAGTTTAACCACATTCAAACTGAAAGTATTGATAAAGACCAGCAAATAGGGATAAAGTATAAAGGAGGAAAGGGTCAATACATTGGGTTTCATATTCCAACTGTATCTCACCCTGACCATGCGATCCCCAGGCTTTGCACTTAATCTTCCTAAGTGTCTCTGTTTGAGAAATAACAATTTTGTAAAGTTTTGGGTTTTGTTCAGGATAAAATAAAAGTACATGTAATGAGGTAGAAAGGAAGAACTAGGGTATTTAGGAGGAGTATACGAGTGGTTGATAATCTGTGAAATACAACACTCTGATTATTGCTCATTAATTTTTCATGCAATTTCAGCACTTGGGGCAGAAAATCAAGGTGTTTTGTGTTTCTGTCGGGAGTGTGAACACTGCCCTCTGAGACACTGCAGACCAGTCCGCAGCACAGGCCTCCAAGTTTTCCCACATGTGGCACATCGAAGCTACATTCGAGACCTTCTTTGAGCGTCATATTTGTGGAATTCCTTTGCCCTGTACACGTTAATAAGTTTGTTATTGCTTGCCTCTTTTTGAACTGTCTACCCTTAGTTCTTTGCAGAGAACCTTCAGAGTAGACAGCAGGGAAGCTTTCTCTCCATCCCTCTACCTGCAGACACTGGTTTATCTGCACAGCTCAGGGCTTTGGTGAGACTGCCAGGGACAGCCCTGTGGCTCCTCCTCAACCCCTTCTGCTTCAGGGAGATAATGGCAGGGTGACCGCCACCCAAGCGAGCTTGGCAGAAAGGAGAAGAAAACTTTATATAAAAGTCCCAGGGATGGGAGCTTTTAAGGGTCAAGTTTCCCAAATGACACAGTAAATGTGAAAACATGTAAGAGCATGGTATTTTCTGTTTCCTGAGATGTAACAATAATACGAATAATCACATTCATTAAATTACACCTATTAATTATACTTCTGTAGTGCTTCTTAGTTCTAGATGCAGTCACAGATCTCATCATTTCATTGTATCCTCTCAATGATCTCGTGATATTTAAATTTCAATGCCCTCATTTATAAGGGTGGAAAAGGACAAAATTTACAGAGATTGTAATTTACTCAAGTTCAAAACAATTTGAATTTAAGTTTTCTGTATCTTAGTCCTTTGTTTTTACCACCATGCCATCCTATTTTCACTTAAAAATACAAACATTTTATTGCTTCAGTGAACTGAAATGTGATAATAGGAATCTGTTAGTGCATGCCAGCTAGTAACCTAAGGCTTCCATGTGTTATATTTGTGGTCATCACAAATCCCCACACTGTTATGAATCCCATTTTACAGATGAAGAAACTGAAATACAGACATTCAGTTTCTTGCCCATAGTCACTTACAGTAAATAGGGATTCCTGGACTCAAACTCAGGCAGTCCAGAGCCTCCCTCATAATTACCAGGTTATCCTACCTCTCTGGAAGCTGCTGACAAATATTAACTGCTTCAGTCAGTAAAACTGCAACCATTTTCATGCATTTGCCTACTCGAGTTGCTGTGACTAAGTACCACAGAGGGGGAGGCTTCAACAACAGATGTTTATGGTCCAAGACCAAGTTTCCATCTGATTTGGTTCCTGGTGAGACCACCTTCCGCGGCTTGCAGGTGGCTGCCTTCTTGCTGTGGCCTCACATGGCCTTTTCTCAGTGTATGCACTAGAAGAGGGAGAAAAATGTCTGTCTCTCTTCTTAGAAGGCCACCAAGCCTGTAGGATTAGGACTCCACTCTTATTACCCCCCTTGACCTTCATTATCCTCCTAAAGCCCGATCTCCAAAACCAGTCAGACTGGGGATGAAAATTTCGATATATGTATTTTAAAGAGAAACAATTCAGTCCAGAGTGTATCAACAAACAGTAAAAACACAATTAATGGATGTTTTATAGCCTTTATCATTTTACGTGTTTTAGATTTCCAAAGAGTTGCAACTTCTTCCGTCACAGTGTGTATTGATTTCCCATTGCTTCCATGACAAAGAAGACGGAGTTGCCATGTTCAACATGCCCAGCCCCCAGGTAGTCCCTTGCCCACTGGCATAGCTGCCGGCATTCACCCCTGCAAGCTTCCAGTTTGCTTATTTATGTCTACAACTTGATTTTACAGGCTGCTTTTGTTAGAAAAGAAATGATTTGGAGGCTGCCTTTCATTAACAGGAAAACCTTACCGAGGATTTCCTTACCCTCACTACCTGCCTAAATAATTTCTTTTGAACTCCTATATCATTAACACAGTCTCGGGTCCAGGGAGTTGGATATCGGTGTCTTTGGGGGACCCTTACTCAGCCCAGCACTGGCTGAGTGCAGTGGTTAAACTCATTGCTTCATGACATCATCCTGGGCACTGGGTGTTCCACTTTGCACTGGGGGTGAGAGGAGTCTCCCAGCCCTACTCCAATGACAGGTTGGCTGGGCTGAAGGGTCCACATGGCTGTAAGTCTGGTGCCTTGGTAAGAATAGCTGGGAGGCAGGAACAGCCCACCACAGAGGATTCCAGGAGGCCAGGCAGAAGCTGCAAGGCCTCTTACGGATTAGGCTTGAAGGACCCAGAGTGTCACTTCAATTGGTCAAGCAACCCACAGCAAGACCAAGACCAGATTCAAAGGAAGAAGAATTTGATTTCATTTCTGTTTGTAGACGTAACAAAGAATGTGCAGCCCTCTTTACCCTCTTAAACTGTCCTCCCCTTCAAAATACCTGTAGTTATCATACTGTACTTCTGTTGACTTCTATACCCAAAACTAATTATTGGGTTATAAGCAATACAACTACATTTTTTCTTTTGTGTTTTATATTTATAATTGACAAAGACAATACTTTTAATTTTATTTTAGAGTATCTTTATACATCAAACGTATTTGCTCATCAATGTATATTTACTTAATCTAATCCCTAGTGTGAAAACAGAAACTCAAACTAAAAAGCAAGTATATTGTCATATACAAATGCATTATCATTTTCATAGAAAAGTCCAGAAAGAACACATAATAACATTTAACTTTAGTATCAATTAGAGAAGAAAGACTTTTAATCCACATGTATTAATTGCTCATCACTATTTGATATGGTTTGTCTGTGTCCCCACCCAAATCTCAACTTGAATTGTATCTCCCAGGATTCCCATGTGTTGTGGGAGGGACACAGGGGTCCGTAATTGAATCATCGGGCTGGTCTTTCCTGTGCTATTCTCCTAAAAGTGAAAAAGTCTCATGACGTATGATGGGTTAATAAGGGGTTTCCCCCTTTGCTTCCTCCTCATTTCTCTCTTGCCGCCACCATGTAGGAAGTGCCTTTTGCCCTTCACCATGGTTGTGAGACCTTCCCCAGCTATGTGGAACTGTAAGTTCAATTAAACCTTTTTGTTTTGTAAATTGCCCCGTCTCGTGTATGTCTTTATCAGCAGCGTGGAAACAGACCAGTACACTATGGTAATTGGTAAAGTTAGGTGAATTTCACTATTTTGTTTATTGATATGAAGTTGAAAATCAGAAGGTAGGAAAACTTGGAACAGGGCTGTCTTTTCTGATGCCTACTAATGGCTGAGACTATAAGTGCTAAAAAATAAATATTAGAAATGAAATGGGTTATTTTATATTTTAACTTTTAAAAAATTTTAGGTGTGATATTTTTATCAATGAGATTGTGCTAACAAGACATTATATGGAGCCTTTAGTAAGTTGACTCCGTATGTCCAGTCGAATTTAAAATTGCGGTCAATATAAGAAAGCTGCATGTTGTAGTGGTGACGAGTTAGCTGTGGGGTTTCTCAGATCTCTTAGATCTTTTAGGCATAGAGGGAAAAATAATATATTAACTGTGTGAGAAACAAGAAATGAAGTTAATTGAAAGGGAACTTAGCAAGGAAAATCAATTTTCACTGCAAAACAGTGTGCTGCTGCTGTTGCAATGTTCCCTGCTGCAATCCAGGAGAATCTGTGAATAAGAAACAGATTCCTAAGGTCTCCTTTCACTATTGAACCCTCTTCCAAGGACTGTTGCCAATTACATGAGATACTTCAGTTTCAAAACATAGAAATAAATTTTAACAAACTATCAACAAAAAACAGGGTTAGGGTTTGAATGTCTGTGTCCCTCTAAAATTCATGTTGAAACTGAATGCCCCATGCTGTAGTATTAAGATGTGGGAGCTTTGGAAAAGTGGTTATGTCCTGAGGGCGCCACCCTCCCGAATAGGATTAAAAGACCTTATAAAATGATCTTCCCAGAGCTGCCTGGTCCTTCCTTCTGCCCCTTCTGCCATGTGAGGATAAAATGAGAAGCACCATCTATGAAGCAAAGACGAGGCCTTCACCAGACACCAAATCTGCTGGAAACTTGACCTCGGACCTCCAGCCTCCAGAACTGTGATCTAGAAATGTCTGTTTATAAGTGACTTAGTCCGTTGCAAATGTCTTGTTATAACAGCACAAATGAACTAAGTCAACCAATTTGATAATTAAAACAATAGAGAGAAATTGTTTGATTTTCATAATGGCAATTTCTCTTATCACAACAGATTTTCATATTTGATGTCTCTATGTTTTAAATGTTTATGAAAGTAATACATGCTTTTTTCAGTTCCCTTTCCAGCTTTATACATGGTTCTTATAAAATGCAATTATCATAGAGTTCTATTATATGGAAAGTGAAAGTCCCACATATTATTGCAACCAAAAGAGAATCATCATGGTTAGTTTCTACCAGGCTCGCATTTTTGTTCCTTTTGGAAAAACCATTATTCCCAGAAACAAAGAACATCTCAATTTAGAAAGAGGAGATTTATACTGAGAGGCAGAGGACACAAGTTCCAGTTCTCTCTCTCTCTTTTTTTTTTTTTTTTTTAGACTGAGTTTCGCTCTTGTCGCCCAGGCTGGAGTGCAATGACACCATCTCATCTCACTGCAACCTCCACATCCCGGGTTCAAGCGATTCTCCTGCCTCAGCCTGTCAAGTAGCTGAGATTACAGGCGCATGCCACCATCCCTGTCTAATCTTTTGTATTTTCAGTAGAGACGGGTTTTCACCATGTTGGCCAGGCTGGTCTCGAACTTCTGACCTCAGGTGATCCACCTGCCTCGGCCTCCCAAACTGCTGGGATTATAGGCGTGAGTTACTGCGCCCTGCCTACTTTCTCTCTTATACAAGGTGGTTCCCTATAACATATAGTTAATAATGCCTTAATTGATGATGCTTGGGATGTGGTCAGGGACCTTTTCCGTTTTAAAAGTCTTTTGTAATTTTATTTTTTTAAATTTTTTGTCTAAGTAGCACAGTACTTAACTATTGCAGATACATGTCTGCCTGTTCTACAGACCTACAGACTGATTGCGTTAATCAGAATTCTTCAGAGAAACAGATCCAGGAGGTCTATACCCACACCTATCTGACTATAGCTTCAGAATCTACAGAACTAGAAAAATTTATTTTACAGCTGACATAAGAAATATTAGGATATACACAGAATATTCAATACAAATTCATCATTCTTTTGCTTTGCATAATACCTACACATGGCTAGGTAAAATTTTGAGCAAATGGGTATTTGAATTGAACTAAAACTTGTTATCAGACTAGAGATAAGACATTATGCTTTGACTATGACCTTTCTGGTTTATAAATCACCCTCCTTTTCTTTGTTAGAAAAAGTCAAGGTTATACATTTTATTTTTACTCTCAAAGACATGTTAGTTATATTGGCCTAGAACAAGTAACATATCAGTTAGGATTTATAACTCCAGCCACTATGTATAAAATGCAAAAATCCTATATTTCTATGGGAATAAGAAATTAAATCACATTTTAGAATTGGAGCTTAATTCCTCATTGATGAGTAGGAAACCCAGTATTTCCATCTGTGAACAACTTAGAATCAAACCAATCATCTCAAATGGGGGCTATTTTCCATTTACTCTCAAAGGCATAACCATATAGAAACATGGTGAGTACTGGCAGCTGCGTGCAGTTTGATACGGTGGGATTGCAGGGTGTGAGAACAGGAAAGACTGAGAGGGATGTAAGGGGTAGTGAGTGCAACAAGGCTTTCACACGTCGGGTTTACAAGTTTCTGTTGGATTCTGTAGGCAGATTCCGAAATTTTGCTGTGTTATCAAGTGGTTGCTAATTAAATGCAACCTCCAGGGCTTCCCTGAAGAGATTCTAAAGTGGCAGGTCTAGGATAAGGCCTCTACTGAGCTTCCTACTTTTCGAGGGATACATATTAATGGGAAGGAACTAAAATTTTACCATCCTCGTCATGAGATTCTACAAATATGGAGCGGACGGCAATCCAATGAAAATGTAAGTAAAGGCACAATTGTAGTGTTTAAGATTTGCCTGCTAGGTCTGTCCGAAAACAATGACCCATGGCTGTCATGCACGTCTACACAGCACAAGCACAGACAGCCTTTTGTTCTGCACCGTCTTCAAGAAAATTTGTATGGCACACACCTTTGTAAAACAGACAGACTGTCTCCTTGCAGAGGAGCACTGGCTTTTATGAAAGGACAATGTGCTGAATGTATGTACAACCGCTGTTCTTTTTATGCTACATTCGACAGCTGGTCCTACCCAGTCAGTTCATACTATCTTTTTAAAATTTTTTTTTTCCAATGTGGCTCACACTTCCCTGAGTCTGTGTATTTTGTAATTTTTGGTTGAAAACTGACATTCAAGATAAAAAAAAAAAAGAAAGTAGAAGACATAGTTTTTTTTTTTTTTTTTTTTTCCTCAGGGCTGTTGGACTATTTTTAGGAAGCTTCCCTGGAAAACCTCATCTCTTCTACGAAGCTCAACTGTTGATGTGTTATGCTCCCTTTTTTGTTTTCCTTTTTTCCTTAGGTCCTTGGGGTTGTTTCTATCTCTGTAGATTTTGATGATCAGTTCCAGTGATTTGGACAGGGGTTGCAATCAGATATTTTATTTTGTAAGGCTTCTAACCTTCCAGTTGAGTTGTTCACGGGTTGAGAAACACATTTGAATTTGCATACAGTTTTTAAGTCTGTGTTGGCTTTCATTTATCAGAATGCCTTGGGTCTCCCCACACTTGCATAGTGTAGTGTGGCAGACAGGCAGAGAGGGGTGGGCAGCATATCTCAGCCCTTCCATGGTTCTCTTACTTCTAGAATCTTCCCATTAAGACTGCGGCTGCGCCGCCGCTTACCCAGAACCTAGTCTGCAAACTTGGGCTAAGAAAGCTGTGTGATTTCCGCCATCGGTTCAGTACCAAATCTGCTAGTTTTAGCCAACAATCTATGATTTTACGAACGACCTTTGTCCTGACTCAGTGAGCTGAGCAATCTCTAGCAATTCTTCAAAGTTGCTTGTGATTCCATCCAACCCCAATCAGAGAAAGCTTTGACCACGGTGGTCAAGAAAGCCATCTGCTCACTGATGTCCTTGCCCAAAATTATAACTGTTTTGGTTTTTCTGTTTGTTTTTTTTTTTTTTTTTTTAAAGATTAATGCTTTCTAATTTGTGGACATTGTTTCACTGGTGTCTGATTCTGTGGATATGGTAAATGTTCAGAGAATAAATATAGTTGTTTTGATAATTTTGTCTAAGATTATACTTGTTTTCTTCAAAGGGGAATCAACTGAACCCTCACAACACTCTGACCAGAAGTGGACTCTCATTTAGGGATTCCTTTCACAAAATACAATATTAAAGATGTTAACTCCAGTGTTTTAGAAAGCCTAAGTGAACTTTAGACAATATGCATAATATTTAAAAATTCCATCTGTTCCCCAAGAATGGAATGGCTGTGTCACATGGTATATATTTAATTTTTTATAGAAATTAATTAAAATTTTCTGTAAGACCCTTAACCATGTTCCATTCCCACCAGCAATGGATGAGTCCTCTCACTGATCCACATGGTCACCACCAGTGGGGATTTTCTATCTTTTAAATTTCAGCCACTGTAATTGTATGTAGTAGCATCCTGATGTAGCTTTAATTTGCATTTACCTAGTATCTGAGACAGATACTAATTCAAAGTATCTGAGACAGGTCTCAGTCAATGTAGAAGTTCATTTTGCCAAGGATGAGTATGTGAGTGTGGGAGACACATCCCAATTTTAGAGAAAGGTACCTTTCTCTAAAGATGATTTTGAAGGCTTCAACATTTAAAGAAGAAAGGAGAGATATTGGGGAAAGAGGAAGACATTTTAAAAGGTGTGGGTAGGTAAGAGGCAAATAGTTTCATTCCTTTGAGTCTTTGATCAGCCATTCACATGTGAGAGGTGGTAGAGGAATAGTCAATTATGTATTCATCTAGCTCACTGAATCTGCATTTTTACATAAAATGAAATAAACGTAGGTCAGGGGAAGCAATCAAATATGCCTTGTCTCAAGTGAGCAGAAATATGACTTTGAGTCTCATCCTTTGTGTCATACCTCTGAAGATAAGGTGTCAATTTTTCTTGCCAGGGTGAAATTCAACAGGACTGTTTTAGGGTAAGAATCTTGGGGCCCACAAGGGATTTCTTAGTGGGAAAATTGTGGGGGAGGTATGTAGCTTTTTTATTTTTGTAGCTGTCTTATTTAGGAATAAAATGGGAAGGAGATTTTCATGATGCAGTTGCTAGTTTGACTTTTCCCTTTGGCTCAGTGAGTTCGGGGTCCCAAGATTCATTTTCCTTTCACATTCTTAATGATATTGAGCATAATCCCACTTTCTGTTCTTTCTGTGTCTAAAATCTTTTTTCTGTTCCTTTCTTTTCTAAAATCAATTACAGATTTTGAGGGATATTCTAAATTATTGTTTCTTTCTGTTTTAAAATCTATTACAGATTTTGGGGGATATTCTAAATTATTATAATACAATTATTCCTCGCATATTTGGGGTCTAAGTTCTGTTTCTGTGTGGATAGTTTCTAATGTTCTAAAATTTCACTGATTTTTTCTTTTGCATTTTATAAACTGCTATGAATCCTAGTAAGTGAAATAACTCAGATATTTCATTGTTTCATCTCTAGAAATTCTATTACAGTATTGTATCTTCTATTTCTCTCTTCAGCATGTTTATATTTCCTATGAAAGCCTTGAACATATTTATAATCACTGCCTTAAAGTCTTTCTAGTATCAAGATCCTGAATTTCAATAATTTTGGATAAATACCCAGAAGTGGAATAACCGAATCACATGGCACTTCTGTTTGTAGTGTTGGGAGTACTGTTCCAACTGTTTCCCATAGCAGTTTGTTTGCTTTGCATTCCCACCAACAGTGTGCAGGTGTCCCTCCAATGTCTTCTCATCTTTACCAAAACCTGCTCTCTTTCATAAGTGCATGTGTGTTGTTGTTGTTTTTGTTGTTGTTGTTGATAGCCATCCTGACAGGTATGGGTGGTATCTCACTGTGGTTTTTCTTTGCATTTTCCTGATTAGCAGTGACACTGAATATTTAAAAAAATATACCTGTTTGCCAATTGCATGTCTTTGGAGAAATGTCTATTCAAGTTCCATTTTCTCTATAGGGTTATTAGTTTTCCAGCACTATTTACAGTAACCAAGATGAAGAAACTACTTAAATGTCTATTGAAAGATGAATGAATAAACAAACTATGGTAGAAACGATATGGATAGGAGACAAGGAAATCTTGGGTAGAAGAGGGCAGTTCCCCAGCAAAGGCTCTACCCCCAAGCCTAGAAATCCATGGCCTTACATGGGAATAGGCATTCCTGTTTTCACACCCAAATGTTGCCTTGTGGCCAACCACATCACCCTATCCTGTACCCATATAAACCACAAACCCCACACTCCACAAGCATATAAGCAGACAAACAGAACAGAGAGGAGCAGAAGAGTGGCCGAGAAGGAGTGTATGAATGTCGAGAGGAGATCTGCTGAAAATGGTCAAAGAGAATATTGGCCGTGGGACAACCAAATTCCAGGGCAAGAACATCTTCCTACTTCATCCCCTTTCCAGCTCTTCACTCACCCTGTTGAGAGCCATCTCCATCGCCCAACAAAATCCCCACATTCACCATCCTTCAAGTCCGTGTGTGACCTGATTCTTCCTGGATGCCAGAAAAGAACCTGGGTATTAAGAGGGCACTGAGCTGAAACACTTAAGCTGTCTGCAGACAGCAGAGCTGAAAAGAACATTGTAGCATGCCCACTGGGGCTTCAGGAGTTGCAGGCACCCACCCCTAGATGCTACCATGGGGACGAAGCTTAAAAGAGCACTGTAGCATGCACACTGGGGCTTTGGGAGTCACAGGCACCCACTCCTAGATGCTACCATGGGGACAGAGCTCAAAAGAGCACTGTAGCATGCACACTGGGGCTTTGGGAGTTGCAGGCACCCACCCCTAGATGCTACCGTGGGGACAGAGCTCAAAAGCGCTCACCAAAGCTCCTGCACCTGCCTGTCCTCATGCTCCCCCTCCCATAGGGGGTTTAAGCGTCACTGGCCGGACAGATGAGCCACAACCTTGTCGCATGCCCTGCAAGGGTGGTCAGATAATGTTCCCATTTCATATATACAATAAAATACTATTCAGCCTGAAAAACAGAAGGAAATTTATGATCTGTAACAACATGCTTAAATATTGGGGATATTATTCTAAGTGAACTAAAGCGGTCTCAGAAAGACAAATACTGCATGATTCCATTTATAGGAGAGAACTACAATACTCAAATTCATAGAATCAATGAGTGGTTCGCAGAGACTAGGGGGCAGAGATTACAGGGGAGAGGAAGATGGGGAGTTGCCAATTAAGAGGCATAAAGTTTTATCCAAGTAAGATAAATAAGCTCTTAAGATTTTCTGTATGGCATTATACGAATAATCAACAACAATGGATAGCACTTAAACACTGAAGAGGATAGAGCTCATGTTAACTGTTGTTACCACAGCTAAAGAAAAAGAATTAAAGTCCTTAAAGTCTTTTTTAAAAAAGAATCAAACTAAAGGAAAGGCAGTTTTTTGGGTTTTTTCATGACTCAGCTTCCAACTTAACTTTTACCTTCTGGCATAGTGAATTTGGAGTCCTGAGATTTTATTTTCCTTTTACATTTATCAATAATAAAATAATGATTTAAATAAAATGCAGCTCGACATCAGAGTTTTTCTGTGGCACAGTCAACACAGCGCATGCCTTCATCACAGATGTCATGACATGATAAGTTAAGAAAACTTAGCAGATCTTCCAGACTGAAGAATAATTGAGTTTCTGTTGGTACGAGTTGGAAAAATAAATACATTTCAACATATATTACACTTGTTTCTAACACAGCTGCAGTCATCTTAACACAGATTTCTTTGTTTTAGCAAAATTGCAACAATAAAAGTGGGAACAATATCTTCCAGTGAGAAACTCTCTGTATCCTGCTTGCCAGATATAAATCACATGCCAGCATTCTTTTGGGGAATACAGTCATTGCCACGTTTCCCTGAGGCCACAGGTTGCTGGTGAGCAACTGTCTGCTCCGGGCTTCTTTCATGAGAAAACCTGGCATTTAGTAGGTTAATTTGCATGTTAATGATTTCTCTGTATGTTAATTAATCTCTTGGGGCAGTATCTTTTAAGATATGGAAACACATCTTTTATCTGTGCTTAAAAGAGGAATGAGAGAGGGATAAACAGAAAATGAAACAGGGAAGAATACAGAAGTAGAACAAGAAAAGTATTTCAAAATAAATGATGTCTTATGATTTATAAATATTTTGCTGTTAGTTTTGTCCTTACAATAACTCTAATAAGTTAAAAGGGGGAAAAGAAAAGAGAAAGTGTGAGTAGTCAATGCGGACAGATGGAATAACATTCTAAAATTTGGTGAATATGCTTTTTCCCCTGACTTTGCGGAGTAGACCGAATTCGTTCATTATATATTCAATTAAAATTAAAAACAAACTAAGAATCTTTTATGTTAAGACACGCAGGATTAATTCTTGGACTGTCTTGCTTTTCATCAGCTCTGCCCTTTGCTAGGCCTGGCCCCTGGTCCTATCAGTTGCCATCCAGAGGGTTTCTCTATATGCTAGAAGGTGCCACATATTTGCATTGCTTGGTTTCTCAGTGATATGGACAGGAGGAAGCGAAATACTCAGTAGAAGACAGGTGGGTCCCTGACAAGGGTACCACCCTCAAGCCCAGACCCACAGCTCTAAATGAGAACACGCATTCCTGTTTTCCTACCCAAGTGTCGCCTTTTCCAAAACCATCCCGGCCTACCTCACTCCCAACCCTGTACCCACAAAAACCCCAAATTTCACTGGGAAAAGAGCAGAGGGGGCAACAGAAAAGGAGAGAAGAGAAGATGCATCTGAATGTTGAGAGAAGAGGCAGCTGGATGTCAGAAACTATGGTCAGAGTGGAGTTCAGCCAGAGACGGTCGAGAGAATTTCTCATCTGGGGAAGGTCAGAGAGGAGTTCAGCTGGGGACAGTCACAGAGGAGTTTGGCTGGGGATGGTCAGAGAGGAATTTGGCTGGGGATGGTGAGAGAGGAGTTTGGCGGGGGATGGCCAAACTTCAGGGGAAGATTATCTTTCCACTCCATCCCCTTTCCAGCTCCCCATCCTGCTGAGAGCCACTTCCGTCACTCAATAAAACCCTCCACATATACCACCCTCAGTCTGTTTGTGTGACCTGATTCTTCCTGGATGTCAGACAAGAATTTGGGATGCACTGGGTGTGGGAACCCAAAAACGTTGTCACACTGACTCTTCACTGAGCTGTTTAACACTTAAGCCATCCACAGATGACAAAGTTAAAAAAGTATTGTTTGTAACACACCGTCTGGGGCTCCATAGGTCCCGGGCAACTCTTAGATGCTGCCACAAGCTGATACAGGTTTCATTCCTGCTGGTGTGCAAAGGCACTCACCCTGGTTTCTGCACCCGCTCACCTGCGTGCTCCCCCTCCTGCAAAGGGTTTCAGCATGGTGGCCAAACAAAGGAGCCACCCCATAACAAGTCCCATGAAGGGGTCAAGAGAAGTCTCCTGTCTCAGTGTTACTACAGGGAGTCAATTGCTTTACCCCCTCCCCACAACCTGGACTTTCATCAGGTCAGAGCAGAGCTTCTGAGAAAACCACGGATCTGCTAACAATGACACAAAACAGAGCTTCAGGAGTCCTGGTGAATCTCATTGGGTGTTTAATGAAGCTTCCCTTTCAATTTCTTATTTGCAGATGCCTGCCTGCTGTCCAGGGAAAAATAGTTTGAGGAAATAGTCAAATAGAAAGATTCTATGTTTCACTTAGGATTTATTTCTGAAGTAGTAAATTTTGTAGATACAATATTGTTCTTCCTTGTCTTATTCCCTGTTCACTTAGGATCATTTGATATCCTATACGTCAACATTTTGTAATCATAGCCAATAATTCATTGATAAAATATTAATATTTAAAATAAAATCCTAATTCAAATTTCCCAAATGACTATAAGAATCACTGTTCATTATCAGTGTCTCCCCCAGAGCATTTGGTTGACAGGTCTCTTCCGTCAGTGCTGTCTGAACCAGTATCCCTTTTCTCCCTCTTCTGTCTTTCACAACATAGGCTTATTTTTATTTTTTTAAAGACCAGGTCATCTTTTGGTCTGTGTCACAACTGGATTTTTCGAAATCTCTAATTGTTTCTTCATGATTGGAGACAGGATACATATTCAGCTACAAATTCATGTGTATTTACTGTGCCCATTATGCTACACACTGGACACAGGCTACACACTTACATGTATTTGCTACATTGCTGTTGTTTCTGTTGTTTGTCTGCATCCTATGTGGTTTATTTTCTTTGCTTGCTCATTTGGATTTATGGTTCTGTCTTGGGCAGTAGGAGGTTTCCAGATATGATCTCCATGCAATTCTCCTGGTACGAGGATCTCTCCCCTCACCAGTAGTTAAAGTTCATGTTTCTTCCCCTGAAAACATGGCTAAGCCTTTAACAGCTTTGACCAGATAAAATGCATGTTGTTTTAAGCCACAATGATTTGGGATGGTTTCTTACACAGCAATATATATCCCCCAAATTTAAGACTATTTATATTTTTTTGTCTTTATGTACATTTTTATATGTTTATGATATCCTTAGTTTTTTTCTTCCTTAGTTTTCTATTAATCTATTTATTAACTCCAAATTATTCCTAAAATAAATATCAAATACTCTATTTCTTCTTTTTCTAACATTTTTTTGCTATGATCCCTCCCTCCCTCCCTCCCTTCCTTTTGCTTGTTTATTTATTCATTTAGTTTTTAGAAAGGGCATCTTGCTCTGTTGCCCAAGCTAGACTGCAGTGGTGCACTCATAACCCACTACAGCCTCAAACCCTTGGCCTCTGGAAATCCTCCTGCCTCAGCCTCCTGAGTAGCTGGGATGCCACTACCCTTGGCTCAGTTGTGTAATTTCTAAACTGGAATGCCATTTAAGATGCTCATACTGTTTTTCTCCCCTTGTCATGTTACAGGAAAGCGCAGGAATCATCAGTTCTTATTCTTGGAGAAAGAATTCTGCCAAGTGACTGGTTTGTCAAAAAAATTTTTTAAAAAATTAAAGGAAAATAGACAGCAGAGAATTTACTGAGAGAGACAGTGCATGCTGAAAAGAAGAGGCAGAACTGGCTGCTGAGGGGAGTGAGCCCACAGCAGCCTGAGTTCTGTGTTGGGATTTTATGATGAAAAATAGTCTCTTGAAGTTCTCGCCTCTGCCTTCAGTCCCCTCCTTTTTTCTTTGACTAGTGTTTCCACTCCTGCCTTAAGAACCCCCCTTCTCCCTACCGAGTTTCCTCCCCAGGTTTGTGGGACCCTCCCTTACTATTAGTTGCTGCACGTGCACAGGCCCAGTGTTGTATACAAACGGTGCCTGTGTTACTGCCTAGGAATTTCTTCCTTGCCCTCTTCCCCTTATCAACTGACACCCAGCTGCATTCCAACAGGTTAACTGCAGAGTGAGCAATTGCTGGGCATCTTAAGGGGCGTTCCTTCCTGCCTAGGTATTTCCCCCACTCTCTGCATATACCCAGCATGCAGGTTTCGGGTGGTCCCCGGGGTGAGAGATTTTCCAGACCTCTTTTTCTCAGGGATCCCCATCTCCTGCTTATGTCTGGCTGTCTGCCTACTCTAACAGCTGTACTTTTCTGTAGTTTTATATTTTTCCTGTAAATATATTTATGTCTTTGAATAGTCTTTTTCTGAAATGGCTTTTACCTAGCCATCCAATTCCTGTGTGCAGTAGCACAAGTTGGAATATTTAGCTTTTCTTTCTAACAAATATTTATAGACAGGGCTGACTGCACTGGTTTAGTAATGCATGATAAGTTCAAATATTTTCTGGCAAATACGTGCCGATAAGTCAATACAATTAATAAGTCATAAATGTTGAACACTTTGCATTTTCACAAACTTTATATATTTGTCTAAAAATTTCTCTCCTCTATGTATATTTTCAACACCATCATTTGGGACACATCTTAGCAGAGTCCACTTCACATTATCCTGAATTTCTCAACCTCTTTACACATGTTTTCAACTGTAGTGGTATGTGCAGCTATTCAGTTACTTCAACCTTGGCACAGACTCCCGGAATACACTGAGCAATATTGGTAACATTCATGGAGTCATAAACGGCCAGGAAAGGTCCCTTTAAATCAGGTGTCTTATTTGACTCATCATAGTACTTCCAATGCTCTCAAGTTATCAAACCCATCAAAACAACTATTTACACTAAAGGACTAATAATAGTCTTAAAAGAGGCTATTTGAATATATTTCTTCAGCTGTCACAAATATGGTATAACTAATTCAATGCGGGAAAACTGCTTTTCTTGCTCGGTTAGCAAAAGAATCACTCAGAAAAGTACCTTACAGAAGCCTCAGTTTACGGTTTCAAATATTGCTGAAGGAATTCTGCACTGCTGAGATGTAACGTTACATATGTTCTATTTTTTCTCTGGGTGCTGCTCTCCTCTGAGTTGGGAAGGGTGGGTTGAGTGCCTAATCTGGTAATGTTGGTATACATGATATTATTTTAGTACATGTACAGTGTTGTCATGTAATAAACACAATTTGAGGAATTTATTTTGATAAGAAAATAACCCATACTCCACTATACCCTCAAAGAAGGAGATTCAAAGATCACTGTGCTTCTTCTCTTCTTCTTTTGACTTAATGGTCCATTAGATTCCTCAGCATCTGGTGATGCATCTATCACTTTCCAGAGCTCTACACTGCACTTTTCGCTTTATCGCAGCTCTCTCTCTGGGGAATTTTGTATTTGTTCTTTCACAGCTGGGATGATCCCTGTCCCAAGTGCCTCTTTCTCTGCAGAGTCCGCTGTGTGTGAATATCACTTCTGACTCTGCTGGTTTCACACTATTTATGTTCCTTTGTATAATTTGAGGCCTAGGTATTATGGGGTGATACTTCAGTACTGTTTGAGTCTTCATTTCTCTATTATCATTTCATATAAAATCTGTATTTTGCAAAGACAATGCTTCTTTGAATCGTTTTATAAACTGATATAAAGTGGTGATTTTTTTCATATTTCCTTTTCATTTTTCCCCTGCACCTATGGCATCTCCTTTATTTTTTCTTTTATTTTTTAGTTGAGATGTAATAATTGCACATAATGCATGGGATTCAGAGTAAGGTTGTCATAAATGCATACAATGTGTAAAAATCAAACCAGGATGATTAGTATATACATCGCACCAAATACTTATCGTTTCCTTGGACTGGGAATACTCAAAATCGTCTCTTCTAGCTAATTGAAAACTCACAATTAGTTACTTTTAACTATGGTTATCCTACAGGACTATAGCACACTAGCACTTATTGTTTCGGTCTAGCTGTAATTTTGTATCCGTTAACAAACTACTCTCTAACCTCCCCTCAACCCTACCCCTTCTAGCTTCTAATGACCAAAATTTTACTCTCTATATCCATGAGCTCCACCTTTTTTTTGAAATCTCCAACATATGAGTGAAAAAGTAGTATTTATCTTTCTGTGTCTGGCTCATTCCATTTAACCCAGCATCCTCCAGGCTTATCATTGTTGCCATAAATGACAGAATTTCATTTCGTTTTATGGGTGAATAGTGTTCCATTGTGAATATATACTACATTTTCTTTCTCCATTCACATATTGGTGGGTGTTGAGGTTGACTGTATATCTTGGTTATTGTGAATACTGTTGTAATAAACATGGGGAAGAAGATATTATTTTTGATATGCTGATATATCTTTCTTTGGATAATTACCCAGCAGTGGTATTGCTGGATCACACGGTAGATGTAATTTCAGTTTTTTGAGCAACCTCCATACTGTTTTCACAATGGCTGTACTAATTTACATTCCCACCAACATTGTATAAGAGTTCCCTTTTCTCCACATCTCCACAAGCCTTTATCTCTGTGTGTGTCTGTGTGTGTGTGTTTGATAATAGCCATTCTGAGTGAGATTATATCTCATTGTGGTTTTAATTTTAATTTACCTGATTAGTGATATTTAGCATTTTTTCATGTTTGTTGGACATTTCTATATCTTCTCTTGAGAGATATTTATACCAATTATTTGCCCATTTTTAACAGAATTACTGTTCTGCTGTGGAGTTGTTGGGTCCCTTACATATTCTGGATGTTAGCCCCACGGCAGTGAACAGTTTGCAGATATGTTCTCCCATTCTGCAGGTTTTCTCTTTCTTCTGTTGATTGTTTCTTTTGCGGTGTAGAAGCTACTTAGCTTAATATAGTCCCTATTTCTATTTGTTTGTGTTGCCTGTGTTTTTGAAGTCTCACCCATAAAATATTTGTCCAGAAACAACGTCCTAACGTGTTTCCCCTGTTTACTTCTAGCAGTTTCATAGGTTCAGGGTTGAGTGGACTCAGGAGGATGCTGTCCGGCCCGGGATGTGGAGAGGCAGGGGCTGTGGGGCCCCGGGGCCAGATGCAGTGATGCGGCCCCCACCGCCAGATGGCACTGCGCTGGGGGTGGAGAGGAACAGAGACGGTTCCCTCTGGAACGAGGCTGGCATCTCCCTGCTCTGGGCTCGTAGACTGTGAGGGCCAAGAGGCACTCCTGCAGCCAACTTGTAGATGTCCCTGGTGGGAGCGTGGACTGCATGGGACTTCTCACTTACCTTTCCCCACAATGGGTAGTCGTTGTTGCCCCGAGTCAGTCCCGTCCCGTTGTTTTGCTTCCTACTCTCGGCCGCCACCTCGAGTCTCCACGCCTCAGCGCTTGGCGCTCAGCGCTCTCTCCTGGCGCCTCAGCGCTCTCTCCTGGCGCCTCAGCGCTCTCTCCTGGCGCCTCCCTCCTCGCTGAACGCCAACAGTGCTCTTCCTCAGATGCTCGATTTGACTGGTGTGAGGTCAGTATGAACCCATTTATATGAAGGTTTACAACAGACAAAATTAAGCTGTGTATTTTAGAGATGAATATGTAGGCGGCAAAAGTGTCTTTATAACAAGGAAGTGTTTGTAGTATTCAGGGTTATGGTCACTTTTAGGGGCAAAGAAATATGAGATCGGAAAGACAATACAGCAGAAAATGTGAGGTATTCACATTATTTTCTTGTCAACAAAAGTGTTTATAATATTCATTATGCTCTATTTGCATTCTTCTGTATAGAAGTTATATTTCACAAGATTTAATTACATGCTTTCTCATCAAGTTAGCCTCTATTTTTTTCCCTATTTTTTAGCCTTCTGTTCAAGTTTTTAAAATTATTTCTAAATTTTGCATATAAAGACAGCATACTTTATCAGAATCACTGAAGCCTCAATTATCTGGAAAGAAAAAATATGTTCATGCCTCTGTCGGTAAACAAGAAAGAAACTGGAGGTAGATGGAATGCAAAAATAGGACATGCATCTGAGACTGAATTGCAAGCAGTCATTGGAGAACAGCTATCAAAGGCAGAATGCAAACTAATGAAAATTTGTGCTCCTTTTCTATAATTATTTTTTAGCTTCTTTTCTCATTGAGTACTAATGACATTATTTGTCTTCCTTTAATAGAGGTTTACTTTTGAACTCCAATTTTTAAATTATTTTTAATAAACAAAAAATTTTTATGACATCAATGATATTTAGTTCAACTTTCCAAAAGGCAATTAAGAATGTCAGAAGATACAATCAAATTAATGACAGCAATTTGTGTTTTCTCACCTTTACCTGAGAAGATCAAGTTGAAATATTTTATAGACCTCATAATTCTGCACAGTATTCTCTGTGTTCCACAAACCCTGACACTTAGAATACATTAATGTCTTTGAAACAGAATACACTAAGGTTGGTAATTCATATTCGCATTATATTTGCATACTTCTATACTAAATTGTAGATGGATATGCTCAAGATTTAAGGAAGAAAGAAAAGACCAAAGGAAGAAAGAGGGAGGGAGGAAGGAAAACGGAGAAGAAAAGAAAACACAACTTAGCTAATTTAGAGTATTGTAAAGAAAACGTCCTCATGAAAATTATCATTTTTTGCGTATATACCATGTGTGTAGACCCATAGCACATTCAGTGGTACCTTTACCTTGGAAAAAATGGTTGGTACTAGAATTTCTCACTGTGCATGTCCCATTGAAATCTGTACCTAGGGAGAAAAATTCCATTGATTTGTCTTTGCGGAAGCCTGTGTTGTCCTCCTATGCTGCAGGCATTCCACTCTCATGCTTTGACTTCACTGTTCATTTTTCTGAGACATGTGGTATGACAGCTACTTCCCATTCTTCTGTTACTCTATGCAGAAAATATTCCTAGGGAGTTGTTCACACTTCTTTGGAATTGACCTCACCAGTCTCCCCTCCATCCACTGAAATCAGGCTCTTCTCCTCTCCAGGCCACTAAAATGGCACTTACTGTTGTTACCACTGCCTCTAACATTCCAAATCTAAAGATCAACATTCAGACTCTGAGTGCTGTTTTATTAGTATAATTTGAAATCGTTGATCACTTTCTCCTGAAAACTCCATCGTTACTTGATTTCTGGGCTCCATTCTCTATTGACTCTCTTCCTTGTTTTCCCCTTCCTCCTCTGCTGTGCTGGGGCCTTCTCATCTTCCAAGCTTTTAATGCTGGAATGCCCTGGGGCTGCATTCCTGTGGCTTCCCTCTTCTCTAGTTAGTGTCACTTGCTGTGCAATCACATTTGCATGTCTCTAATTCCATTTGTACTTTCGACTCATGTAGCTCTCCCTGAATTCATATCTATGTGGGTGTCTAATAATCACCTGAAAGTTAACACATATAAAATAAGGTTCCTGGTTTCCCTCTAAATCTGCCCCTTCAAAGTCTTCACCAAATCAGTAAATGGCAACTTTACTCCCAGTTTCCTAGTCCAGAAACCTTGATTTTGTCTTTATCACATACCTGACATCCAATCCATCCTTAAATATATGAATGTGATCTTTAGAATCCATCCAAATGCCTAACCTCGAATCCCCGGGGCCATGGGGACTTCTTGGTCTAAGACTTCTTGGTCTAAGCCTAGTGTGTTAATTTCCTGGGGCTTCCATAACAAAGTACCACTATTTGGGTATCCAAAACAACAAGAATCTATTGCCTCACACTTCGGGGGCTCTGAGTCCAACATCAAGGTGTTAGCAAGGCCCCCTCCCTCAGAAGGCTGTAGGGGCTAATCCTTCCTGGCCTCTTCTTGGCTTCTGATGGTTTGGTGGCAATCTCTGACATTCCTCGGCTTGCAGCTTCACCACTCCAATCTTTGCCTTCATGAGTGTCTCTGACTATATATTGCCATTGATATAGGAGTTAAGAAGAAATCAATTAGGCAGATAGTGAGGATACAGGAGTCCTAGGTAAGGTTTTCCTTTTAATGAAAAGTAGCCCCCAAATCATTTTCTTTTCTAACAAAGAGCAGCTTGTAAAATCAAGCTACAGACATAGACAAGCAAGCTGGGAGCTTGTACAGGCAAATGCCAGCAGTTGTGCCAATAAGGAAAGGCTACCTGGGACTAGGCATGTTCAAAATGGTGGCTCCATCTTCCCATCTCTTTGCCAAACCATGTGTACAGTAGGAAGACAATATGGTGCCAGTCAGGCAAAGACCCCATGTGCATAATAAGATTAGGGTGGGGTGACCAGCCTTGCCCACGTGCTATGTAAACATCACACCTGGTGCAACCAATCTCTCACAAGAGAGAGAGAGCTTCTCTCCTTTCTCCGTCTTTTGTAGATTAAACCTCTGCTCCTAAACTCACTCCTAGTGTGTGTCTGTGTCCTTAATCTTCTTGGTGTGAGATGATGCCACTTCACCATCTTCTTTAAGGACAACAGCCAGGTTGTATTATGGGGCCACCCAATATAGACTTGAGGAACTCATGCAGTCTCTCTTCTTTTCTTCATCTGTTACATTGGGTATTACCATCGGTTTTACAAAGTTGATGTAAACATGTTATGCAATTCTGCCTACGAAGCACAAAATTATGGGCACCTGTGAAGTGATGAAGGTGATGAACCCAATGCACCCACCCACATCCCTCTCACACAGGTCCTATTGCCCTTGTAGGTGGCACTTGACCCTTGTTATGCTTTAATTAAAATTCCTTGGTGTGTTTAAACCTTTTAACTTCTGCAAAAAACCATGACCACATTCAGTTGTGGATTATTAGACTAAAAGTAGCTTATTGAATGGCTGTGAGAATTTAGTTGCCTCATAAAAGTAATATACTGCCTAGTTAAAACATTATCTAAACAGCATTCTAGACATAGAAGATATTGAACATAAACTGGGTTCTTGTCTTTCTTATGTAGTACACTGGCGATGAGAGGCATAGTTTGGGGAGTTGCATATTTCATTTTGCTGCTGATTCAGACCGTGATAATACAGTAATATGTGGATCCTCTTAGTTTCATCCTGACAATAATGATTTTCTTATCTTACCCAGCTGGATAAAACATATTCTGTGGGAAACTTGTCAATCACAAGGTTGTGTATATTAGAGAATGAGAGGTCCGACAGAGCATTTTTTTTTTAGTGTAAAAATTCAACATTGTTTTGGCTTGCTTCTTATCTGCTTCTCAGACTAAAGCGGAAGCTCCCTGACGCCAGGATCCTTGTCTGTTTTGTTGACATAAACAGTGCTTGGTACATAATACATAAGGAGTCAAGTTTGTTTAAAAATAATTGAATGAATGCCTAAAGGCTTTCACTTAAAAGCTAAATGGAACATTTCATCCTTGACAATGAGTACCCAAGAACAAAGCAAAGGAAGGAAAAAATATGGGAGTCTTTCTTTCCCAAGTAGTTTAAATGATCTTCAATCTATAACAGTTTTCCTTGAGTTGTTTACTGCTGTTAGGAGTTTCTAGGAGACGCATTTGAAAAAAGTTTTTCAATTATGACCTGAGAGAGGACCTCCTTTTATATCAGAAATTAAAATAGATGGGAGAGATGATGTATTAGCTTGGTGCAAAATTTATTGAGGTTTTCGCCGTTAAAAGTAATGCAGTAAGCTAATAAACCAATAGTAAAAATATGGTTGAATGGTTTCTTCAGGTTGGATGGTCTGAGAATCTCTCTCAGAAGTACCCGAGTGATGGAAGGAATGATCTACACAAGGAAAGCCAGTGTCTCCGGCTGAGGGAGGAGCTGATGTGAACACATGTGGTGTTATGTGCATGCGTATTATATAGACACTGTAGCAACAAGCTTGCTTGTCTGGGAGTGCAGTGAGTGAAAAGGGAGGATGTTTTAAGATGAGGTCATATTTTTAAGTTTATTTTTATTGCTCTGGTTTTCCTAATCCAGGCCAAGAATTTTGAGTTTATTTTAAGCCTTTAGCATATTTTAAACAAGGTTTGACACCATTTAAAAATGATTTTTGGGGTTGGGTGTGGTGGCTCATGCCTGTAATCCCAGCATTAAAGGAGGTAGAGGTGAGTGGATGACCTGAGCTCAGGAGTTCGATACAAGCCTGGCCAACATGGTGGAACCCCGTCTCTACCAAAAATACAAAATCTAGCGAGGCATGGTGGCTTGTCCCAGCTTGTTTGGTGGCTGGGGCACAAGAATTGTTTGGATCCAAGAGGCAGAGGTTGCAGTGAACTGAGATCGTGCCACTGCACTCCAACCTCGGCGACAGAGCAAGATCCTGTCTAAAAAAAAAAAAAAAAAAAAAAAAAGGAAAATTATTCTGACTGTTTGCTTGAATAGAAGATTTTCAAGAGAGACATAAAGAAGAAAAGAGATAATTTCGAACACTGCTATATTAATTTAAGATAGATTATGAGGATTTGGAGCAGTGTGGAGGTCAAAAAATTAGACATATCTGGAAATGTTTTGTAGATGGAATGGACAAGAATCAATTAATTGAATATGAGGAAATGGAAAGACGAATCAAAGATAACTCTTATTTTGGGCTTAGGCAATTAAATTCCTAATGGTGACATTACACAGATCTGGGGGAGAATGAAATGGTGTAGGATTCAGGATGAATGAAAATAAAGACTTTGTTTTGAGCTGCAAAGTTTGAGATTCTCATTAGATAAGGATAAGGAGAGGTCAACCTGGACTTCGGAGAGTCATTACAAATATGTGGCATTTAAAATTATTAAACTGGATAGATCAACTGCAGATAATGTGTGTGTCAGAGGGGAAAAGGACCCCAAACAGGTCCCTGGGAGAGCCACAGCATTTAACTATTGCGTGATCAGGCAGGACCTTTGACAGACAACGGAGAAAGATAAAAAGGAAGTCAGTGAAAGGAAGACACTCGCTAAGCAGAGTGGCGACTCCTGTGGAATATGCGTCCCTGATGTCAGCTGTAAAGGCAGACGTGACTGTTTGATTTGAAGACGTAGAGGAGGTATCTGCAGACCCTGGCAGATTTATTCTCTTTGGAACTGGAACAGTGAGAAGTGAGGCCAGCTTTGAGTGGATTGAGGAGAGAATATGGCATAAGAAAAAGAGACCTTAAAAATAAGTTGTTTTTATTTTTTATTTTTGTATATAGAAAGGCGGTGTCACTCTGTAGCCCAGGCTGGTCTCAAATTTGTGGCCTCAAGCAAGCCTCCCACCTCAGCCTCCCAAAGTGCTGGGATTACAGGTTGTGAGTCACAGTGACTGGCCTAAAAGTAACTTTTAAAGTAAGTTTTGATGTGAAGGAGGACAAAAATGGAGCAGTCTCTGAAGAAGATAGGGTGTCGAGGGCGGGGCTGCAGAAGGTAGCATTGCATTTCAGCAGCGAGAGCCTTGCCAGGCTACTACCACAGAGAAATACGGAGAGGGGAGGCAAGGGAGGTTCTCTGCAAGAGAAAAACTTTCATGATGGACAGTGGAATCTCAGCGGAATAAGGGGAAACTTGAGGCTGGGAGACAGTGAGATCTTGAGAGGTTTGCAGAGAGATGAGAGAAGACTCAAACGAGTGCAGGAATTTCACTGATGGGATGTGGAGTGTGTAAGTAAGAAAGGAGGAGATTGCTGCAAGGGAGCAGAGTGCTTGGATGTGAGATGTCTGAGTCTGCGAAGAGAGAGGAGGTGGCTGTCAAGGGTGGGCTGTTGGAATGGCACTGAAGACGAGTGGAGGGATTCCCATTTGGGGGAGTTAGGCAGTCATAGTGTCCAATGGGTAAGACTAATGTGAGGTCTGATGCTCACAGACAAATGGAGGAAGTAGAGGCAGAATGGAAGGTGGTGAGGTGCTGCAGTTTTGGGCTGAGAAAGGCTAGGATATGCAGAAGAAAAAATTGAGAGCCTGACCTCTGAAGGAACTTGTATATTTGAAAGAACCAGATTCTTTAAGAAATACTTTTATGCAGCCAGATGTGGTGGCTTACACCTGTAATCCCGCACTTTAGGAGGCCGAGGTGGGAGGATCACCTGAGGTCAGGAGTTCAAGACCAACCTGGCCAACATGGCAAAACTTGGTGGTGCACATCTGTAGTCCCAGCTACTCAGGGGGCTGAGGCAGGAGAATCACTTGAACACAGAAGGTGGAGGTTGCAGTGAGCTGAGATCACACCACTGCACTTCAGCCTGCAGCCTGGGCAACAGAGTGAGACTCTGTCTCAAAAAAAAAAAAAATGAAAGAAAGAAAAGAAAAAGAAATACTTTTATCTATGTTACATGCATCCACACACGCATGCACACAGCATGGCTAAATGAATCCTTGACCTGTCATGCACCGGCCCCATGGGTGAATAGTTGTGCACATTCTGCAGACACATGCCTAATTTTCATTTCCGCCTTTACAGTCTAGGTATCTAGCAGCAGCTTTCTCTGTTTTTGTTAACTTTTATCTTAAGTTAAGGGGTACCTGCGCAGATTTGTTCTATAGGTAAACCCATGTCCTGGGTGTTTGTCGTAAAGATTATTTAATCACCCAGGTATTAAGCCTGGTTCCCATTAGCTACTCTTTTCTGACCTCTCCCTCCTCCCACCCTCCAATCTCCAGTAGGCCCCTGTGTCTGTTTTTCCCCTTCCTGTGTCCATGTGTCCCCCTCATTTAGCTCCCAGTTATTAGTGACAAGATGTGGTCGTTGGTTTTCTGTGCCTGCATTAGTTTGCTAAACTCATACTCATTTATCCGCACTCTCTTCCTCTGCACTGTCCCCCCCGCTGACCGATGCTGCCACTCAGCCTCCTGAGCAGGCCTTGGTGTCCCAGACAACACTGTCCTAGGTCTATGCCTTGTCAGGACCTGCAGTCCAGCTGTGGCCTCTGTTGCTGCTATTGCCATTGCTAATCGTCCCACTCTGTGCTCACTGCCTGTAACAGAAGATTTCCCAGGATGAGAGTTATCTTCCTGTTGGTTCACCAACCTCTTAGGTGCTGAATTATAGCTCTTCTCATGGTGTTTTATGCTTTGCTGTTTATCACCTCTTGTGACGCTGTTTCTAAACTGAAAAATCCTAGATGAATGCAGTATAAATTGCTCAGGAATATAGCATCCCCCACAATATTAAAAAAGTCAATGAAAACGCTTTTTGTTTCAATTTGTCCAGTATTTTCCGGTTTCTTATTTTCATGTTCCCGACACTTGAACCCCCTCTTCTTCAATGCCATGCACACAGTACCTGGGATAGGAGGTAGGGAGCAGCCCCTGCCTCTGAGAGTAACGTGTGGTTTGTGATAGGTGTGCTTTGATTTCACTGTGTGTCTTTGTCCTTCAGCACTGAGGTAGACATCAGTGTGTGTTTTTGCTTTTGAGAGTATGTTAAAGAATGTAGGACATAGCCCTTTCCACAGGATCCTCCATTTTTACTGCACTTTCTCCCCTTAAAATGACTGGCATGTTCTTAAGGCATTCAGTGAGTCCATCTTATCTGACACTCAATCCTTCCCAATAGTATCTCTTCCCAAAGGCCATTCAGCTTGAATACCTGCAGAGACACAGGACTGAGAACCTTTTGAAGCCAATGATACCATCTGCGAGATCACTGCTGTCCAATTCTTCCTAATATGAAACTGAAATCATCTCTCAGTTGCTCTCACTCTGTTGTTCTGGTTCCAGCTGATTGAGTGGTTCAGAGTGAATAGAATGCCTATCTAACAGACCAGTCCTTCGAGGATTTGATAACTGCTATCTTATCTTATGGAGTTAACTCTTCCTCAGTTACATCCTACAAATACAAATGCTTTGAAGACTCCACTTTGCTCTTCTCTCTGTGTGTTAATTTTGCTGTTGTTGGTCTCCGCAGCAGGATGGTCGTCATTGCAAACTGCAGACTCCTTGAAAGGGCCAACCGCTGCACACGAGGACTTGCAGTTTTCTCACTGTAATTTCTAGACAAAACTCAAGCCCAAGAAATTGAGGAAATACAGCTATTTAAAATAGTTTGTAAGCAATAGTTGTACTAATTCCCAGAAAAATTTAACATTCCTTTCAGACTCTAGAAAGCAAATATAAAATTAAAAAAAAATTATAACTAACATATTGAGAAAATTTTTAAGCTTCTGAACATTTTTGTGCTTTGAGGAATCTAGTTCTGATATAACTGAAATCATTTCCCAACCAGGCTGGGCTCCAGTGCTGACAGGGTTTTTGTTCTGCAGTGACTCTAGGGAATAGCCAATCCTTAAATGTGTTTCTAGGCATAGCCCTTGGGACAGAGGGGTCTTTAAATGGACAACACGTGTGGTGGAACATGGAAACTCTTTGATGACAGCTGTTCACTTCAGTGATTACACTTTTGTACATAATGCAAGATGATCAATTCATTAAAGATCTGTGTGTGTCAGACACACATTGTGAGAATAATAAAAAACATATTAGAAAGACATTTAAAGACATAAAGAGCAGATTTGTCCTATAACATAGGGATGACCCAGATGGATGACCAGGGCCTGGAACAAACCTAGACTTTATCCTTTAGAACATAATTATCTTGTCACAGGAGGGAGAATTTTGCTAGGAAATTGTATTAGGCTGTGCTTGCATTGCTATAAAGAAATACCCGAGACTGGGTAATTTATAAAGAAACAAAGTTTAATTGGTTCACGGTTCCGCAGGCTGTGTGGGAAGCATGGTATAAGCATCTGGTAGGCTTCTGGGGAGGCCTCAGGAAGCTTCCAGTCATGGCAGAAGGCGAATGGGGAACAGACAGTCATATGGCCAGAGCAGGAACAAGTGAGAGAGAGGGAGGTGCCACACTCTTTTAAATGGCCAGATCTCAAGAGCACTCACTCACTCTCCCGAGGACAGCACCAAGGAAATGGCACTAAACCATTCATGAGAAATCCACCTCCATGATCTGGTTACCTCCCACCAGGCCCCAACTCCAACACTGAGGACTACAATTCAACATGAGATTTTGGGGCACAAATATGCAAACTACGTCAATAATACTTAACTTTGACCCTTTTAGGGATAATTTTCATATTACTAAGTATATATCTGTATAGCACTCTGCAAACTTCAGACAATTGTGTTGGTTAAAGCAAAGAGTAGAATATAGAATAGTTTTTATAAAGGAAATAAAGTTCTTCTGGAAATAAACAGTGGTAAAATTCTATAGTTAGTACTTTTACAAAACAATATAGCAACTATAAGGAAAGTTAGAGGGCCATTAGAAAAATGTTTATACTTAATTATTATTAAACCTGCAACAATTATTGAGTATAATGATTGCAGATCTCGTATTGGCCAGTTCTGTGTTATATACTTTGTGAACACATAGAAGGTTCATTCTACTGCCTATGAAATCTTGTTAACAAAATCACATGTGGATCTCTGGCAAGAGTACAGTATTATAATATATTGGCAATGATATGAATAGGCAATTCACTGCAAAAGAATGGAGCCTAATTAACTTATTAATGCATGCCCAAGCTTACTAAAATTTACAGAATTGATAACTTAATAATAAATGTATCGCTTCTGGACTATTAATATTTTTTAACTATAGAAATGGTGGTATCCTTGCTGGAAAGCTGTTGAGAAACAGGCACTCTTCTACAATCTTAATGGAAGAATGAATTGATACATTTTAGAAAGCATTTTGGTAATGTCTCATAAAACCTTAAAAGTATCTGCTGTGTAACCTGACATTTCTATTTCCAGGAATTTATCCTCTAGAAATATTTTCTTAAGTGTCTAAATAATATATATCAAAATGCAGCACTGTTTAAATTAGTGACATGTTAGAAATAATTCAAATATTCATCAGGAAAATTTTAATAAAATGTAATAAATTATAAGCATATTCTTACTAAAAAACTACCATATTCTGCTTAAAAAGAATTATGGACAGCTATATTTCCTAACATGAAATCATGTGCAAGTAAAATAGCTAAAAGAAAATAACATTTTGCCCCACAGTGTATGAGATATGATCCACTTTTTATCAAAAAATATAGTATATACCTGTAAGTATACAAGAAAAAAATTAAATATATATTTAAAATGTTAGATAATAATTCTTTCTAGGGTGCTACAGCAATCTGGAAGATTTTGACTTTTACATAACCCATCTTTAAATTTGATAATGCTTGAATTTGGATAGTTTCATATGCTCCAATCAGGAAAAGTAGAATATTATAAAACAACAGACATTAGTAGAAAAGTAAATTCTTGTATCTTTTATTTCTATTCAAGGCAGTTATGGGACAATTTTCAAAATGTCTCTGATGGGCTTGGTTATTTCCTTCCTTCTAATCTCACCTCTGTCTTCTCTCATGGATGGATCTTGGCTTGTACTCAGATGCTGAGCATCACCCTTTGTGAATGAGATCTGCCCTGCACAGTCTCTCGCCCTCACTTCCATGGGCGCCATGTTTGCATTAATATGTGGTGATGACAGAAGGACCTTACATGGCGACACTCATTGGCATTAAAGACATTAGCATTCCACATGATTAACAGAAACACAACTTACTCTGACTCCTTCAGAGTAAACACCATGGAGGCAGCTGGAATGGATAAGGGCTGCCTGCCGGCCACAGGGACACAGATGAGGGGCTGTGGGGCCACCAGAGGTCCCTCTGTGCTGGGAGAGTCTTTTTCTGTGAGCTCCTTCCCAACCCAAGTGTAAAGGGACAGGGCTAACCTCCAATGCCAGTAAAGTAGAAATACAAATGAAACCATCAAATAGAATGCTGAGTACATGAACACATTACTACATCTCAGGAACAGAAATAGAATCTTTATGAAAAAGTTGTGTAGTCCCCAGAGGAATAGAGAACAATATAATGGCAAAAGCAATTAGATTTTATTTTGATGCAAAGAACCAAGATAAACATATGAGATAATCAAATTGAACACACTTTACATGGTACCTTCAAAAGTACATATACATGTGTATGTACTTGTATATACATGCATATATACATAATTATGTTCATATATACACACAAATATTTTTATATGTATATGTGAATTTAATGTGAAAAGAATAATTAAGCTTAGTTGGTAAATTTTTAAAGGAGCAGATTTGGGGAAAATGCTACATTTTGATAATTCATCATGTTCCTGCATAACTGAATCAGAAATAGATGTTAGTAGTTTTAATTGCCATTACAATAACTTCATATACCTGTATTAGCCTCCTAACCTGTGATTCAAATTCATTGTGAAACAGGGATTAGTATAGTTTTTCTCTTCTGCAGGTCCACCGTGAGAATCAAAGATGATAATATATATTCAAGGGATTAGAAAAGTTGTGTGCAATTATAGATGATCGCTGAAATCATCCATGACCTTATGTTAAGTTACTGTTCTGAAATTGACCCATTTTTTGCCACCATTATTTTTAATGACAGTACTTGACACTATCAGTACCATACGATTTTGCAAGGAAGATCCCTGCTCCTCCCACAGTCTGCAGTGATGAATTATGTGACTTGATGCAAGGCCTGTTTCAATGATTGTCTCACCATTCCTCAATCCGTGTAATAAAATAATGTGTTTCCCTGGAGTTGTCAAAGGTGATGCGATTTCACTGATGTTGCTAAGCTAGGAAGCAGGATTTGATGACGCCATTGGCCTTTTTTCCCACTGTGTTAAGAAAACCATGATAAATTTTCGCTTATCAGGTGCCAGCAAGTCTGGTAGATCCACAGGGGCCTCTGAGTCTGGGGTCTCTGGAGCCTAACCTGCTCTTTTTCTCTTTGGTTAGTAAATCTAAGATTTCCTCCACTCTGATTCTATGTGTATTGCTTTCCCAGAGCTGCTATAATAAAATAACAAAAACTAGGTGAGTTGAAAACAACAAATGTTTATTCTCTCACAGTCCTGGAGGCTAGAAGCCCCTATTCAAAGTGTGGGCAGGTGCATCAGCCTGCTCTCACATTGCTGTAAAGAACTACATGAGACTGAGTAACTTATATAGAAAAGAGGTTTAAATTGGCTCATGGTTTCACAGGCCGTATAGGAGGCATGGCTGGGGAGGCCTCAGGAAACTTACAATCATGGTAGAAGGTGAAGAGGGAGCAGGCACATCTTCCAGGGCTGGACCAGGAGGTAGAGAGCAAGTGGGGAGGTGCCACACACTTTTAAACAACCAGATCTCATGATAACTCACTATCATGAGAACAGCAAGGGGGAAATCCACCCCCACGATCCAGATACCTCCCGCCAGGCCCCTCCTCCAACACTGGGGATTACAATTTGACATGAGATTTGGGTGGGGACACAGATCCAAACCATGTCAACAGGTGTGGTTCCTGTGTGAGGGCTTTGGGAGAGAAGCTGCCCCAGCCTCTCTCCAATTGTCTGGTTCTTGCCTGCATTTCCTGGCATTCATTTGTTTGTAGATGCATCACTCCAGGCTCTGCCATCATCACCAGGTGCACTCTCCGGCTGTCTCTGTATCTCTTCTCATAAGGATACCAGTGATTGGAGTTAAGGCCCAGCCTGCTCCAGAATGACCTCATCTTAACTTGATTACATCTGCAAAAACCCAATTTCTAAATAAAGTCACATACACAGGTACCAGAAATTAGGACTTCAGCATATCTTTTTGAGGGACACAGTTCAATCCAAAACAGGATGTCTGATTTTCCTTTTCCCTTAATTAATTCTGTCAATTTTCAAGGGTAAAACACTTATCCAATTTTCCCTTTCCGAACTCTTTTATAACAGGTGCATGGAAATCCTGGGGCAAGGAGGGCAGTACTAATTTTAAATCTTAAATAAATTTTATTTATCTGTATATAAGTCACTGGGAAAATTTATATTAAGAATTAATTTTCACATTTTCCCTTAGAAGAAACAAATGGCTATTTTGACCATTATATATAAACTTTACATTTTTATATTGATAATAGGAAATCAGACTGGCATTTCTTTATAAATTTAGTAGTTTACCAATGTTAAAAATACACACATGATATGTATGTATATATCTGCAATCTGGCCAAGACTACTGAAGTGCGTATTATTAAAAATATGTAGGAAACAAACTGCATATTTTTTTTTAACACTGAGATATTTATTTCAGTTAAAATTGCATGGATTGTCTCTTCAAAAACCTCTTCAGTGTAACTCTATGTTACTCATTTGCAATGCAGTCAGCAAAGACATACAGTATATTACATACTGCTTTTCACCATTTCTTAAGGAAATCATGTTCTCTTAAAAGGTTGGTTCTAAGAATTCCAAGACGGAAACATAATGGAATGGTAGAAGACTGTAAATAAATGACAAAAATTTGAATCTGTGATCTATAAAATATTATCAAGGAGATTATAGATCTCTAAGAGGTTACGTGAGTTGCTGGAAGTAAAAAGGAAACGTGTTATTTCTCATTTGGACTTTGTCTAAAATATTATGTTTAAATGAAACTTCTGCTTTAGTGCTATATTCACTGTTTATTCTCTTGAACTTTCCTGAGTAATTATGATAAATAGGCCTAAAGAAAGTGCGTGTTCTTGTTTGAATTCACAGTGATATATGTTGGTGTCTTAATCTCTTTACTTTCAGTCAGAATTTTAAAAAACTGATATTTTGATTGTTTTTATAAAACTGTATTTCAAATTGTTTGATACATTTATGCTACTGTCTCCTCTACGTAAATAATAAACAAAAAGTTGCCCTTAATCTTGCTCAATCTTGCTCTAGTAACCAAAATAACTAAAATTCTAATTACTGGTGGCAACAACAAATATATCAACAATTATTATACAACAACAGTTTACTTATTTGTGTGTCAAGTTGTGTGTGATAAGTGCTTAGTCGAAACTATCTCATTTTATCTTTTTTATAATCCTTTGAAAAACACATTATCAATTCCGCAAATAAAAAAAGCCAAAGCTTAAAATGTTAGTGACAGCACAACTGAGCTGGTTTCTTCTTAGTTTAAAACACGTGCATCTCATCATT
The DNA here is from genome assembly GCF_000001405.40 of Homo sapiens. NCBI lineage: Eukaryota > Metazoa > Chordata > Mammalia > Primates > Hominidae > Homo > Homo sapiens. Next base: position 2,608,880 of record NC_000008.11, on the reverse strand, counting down.
GTCAATCAACTTCTAAAAATATCACAGCCACAACTATAAAATATTGCTGAAAGAAATTAAAGAAGACACACAATTAATGGAAAAAAAATCTCATTTTCATGAATTTAAAGACTATTGTTAAGTTGCCAATACTACCAAGAAAGATCAAATTTAGTGCAATCTCTGTACAAATCCCAACAGCATTTTTTTGCAGAAATAGAAATGAATTATCCTAAAATTTGTGTGAAGTCTTAAAGGATCCTGAATACCCAACATTTTTTTTTTTTTTTGTAAAGACGGGGTCTTCCTTTATTCCCCTGGCTGGTCTAGAACTCCTGGGCTCAAGTGATCTCCCCACCTTGGCCTCCCACAGAGTGAGCCACTGTGCTCAGCTCAAAATAATTTTGAAAAAGAAGGACATAGTTGAAGGACTCACTTCCTTCTTTCAAAATTTACTACAGAGCTATACTAATCAAACACTGTGGTTACTGACAAAAAGATAGACATATAGGCCAAAGGAAGAGAAGAAAGAGCTCAGAAATAGACCCTTACGTATATGGTCAAATGATGCTTGATAAGGGTGCCAAGACTAATCGAGAGAATATTGTCATATTCAAATAAGAGCATGATAAAAATCAAAGACAAAAATGTATGATTTTTTAAAGTCAACAGTAATAACATTCAGAGTTATTGTTTATTTTTCTGTACTATGAAAAATGCATTTTTAACCTTAAGAAAGGTTTTATTTTAGAAGAGTTTCCTTTGAAATATGTCAGCTTAACAACTTTATGAGCCTAACAGTCTTATTTGTGTTGTATGCAACTGATCACTAGCATAAAATATTACACACAATTTAGGGTTTTGTGGCGACCAGACTGGCATGAAGCTGTTGAAACATTCATTTCAGCGAGCAAAGACTGGAAGCTAGAGACTGTAGTACGCCCAAACTGCTACGGGGAAAAATATTTGCATAAGTTTCAGTTCTAACTTATAATGCTCCCAAGAGAATTCTTAATGCCTTCATTAGAATGGAAGGAACCTGAAACTCACCTGAAAAAAAAAAAAACACTTCAGGCAAAAACTGCAGAAGAATCCCCTAATATGTTATTAATTCCGCTGCAGGGCTTAAGAAGTCTGATGACAATGCTAAATCCCTTAAAAAATTGTCTTCACCGGGGGATGCCAGCCTAAAAACCAAACACCGTCTTTCTCTCACTGCATTAATGAATCCCACGTCGGAGTTGCCACCCCTGGCAGAATATTCCAGCCCCTGTTCTCCTCTGGCTTTGTCTTCCGTAATCTTTCTCTGCATTGTTTTTCCATTGCTGCTCACAGTAAAGATTGATGTTGCTTCTCGAATTGAGGAAAAAGTACACATATCTATCTTCTGGTCGTAGATTGATTTGCTACAAATCCTTTCTCCACAAGTCATGGGAGACTGTGGAGTCCAGGTGTAAATTTCCTCCCGTTATTTGAACGTTGAAAATAACAGTACAAAGTTCTACATAAAATATTGTAGAATACCATAAAGGCTCAGATTTTTACTTTTTTTATATATAAAAAGAGAATGTAGGATGCTTTCAGCAAAAGGTATTTTTTAAAGCTATTTTTGGAAAAGGATATAATCCAAGGTGTGGAATGTGTTAAATGCGCTCTGTTAAGAGCGCACCACAAATTAGAGAACAAGAATTAGTGTTCCTCTCTGGGACCCTCCTGTGCTCACCAAGAAACAATGCATATTCATCACTGCACGCATATACAAGATGAATTAGGCAAAGCCCAAGGTGCGCGGGAAGCAGCAGAGAGGTTCTGCAATTCCTACATGACTGTGAGTTATCTTTTCTTCTCATTTTGAAGTATTACATATTTGAAAGAAAAATTTCCAAAAACTAAATCTGTTGCTATTTTATGATTTAATTAGAAGCAGGAGTCAGTAGGAACAGGAGTGTAAAACCAATTTCTATAAAAGCAGATCATTAAAGGAATTTGCTAGATTTTTCTCAACACACTACACACACACACACACACACACACACACTTCACAACATATGCTTTAGTAGTAGATTGGTGCAAAAATTATTACGGTTTTTGCAATTACAATGGCAAAATACACAATTACATATACGTCAATCTAATACATTAGTGCATGGTACCAGTACAAATAGCACATTTAATCCAGTAATATTTATTTAGGTACTACTGTTCCATTTTTTAAATCTGGTAAATAAGAAACCAGATGCACAAATTGTGTGCTACTGAGTTTGAAGAAGACAGGAAAGATATCCTTACAGGCGTTTAGAGGATAGAGGAGTGAGGAATTTCTTCTGACCAGGGAACTATGTGAATCAATGACAGTTTCAAGAAGGAGGTAATGTTTGAATTTGACCTCAAAAGCAAACCCTGTAATGCAGTAGATTTGGATGCTAATATGTGTGAGGGAGAAAAAATCTTATCTTTCCCTTTCCCACCGCAAGGTTCATACTGACATCCCACACCAAAAGACAGATCAATGGGAGAAAAGCCCAACACATTTATTTAATCAAAATTTTATATGACATGGGAGCCTTTAGAAATGAAACCCCAAAGACCCAGGGAAAATTGTCCATGTTTATGCTTTGGTTCAATGAAGAATGGACAACCGTGCGGGAGCAGGTTTGGACCAACTGGGGTGACTTTAGCAGGGCATGTGTGTTCAGAGTGCCCCTGGCTTCTGGGTATACGGCAGGACCCATCTAGAATGAGGGTATTTCAGGCAAGGTTGGTCAGAAAATTCCTTTATGGCCTGCTTTTGGGGAGAAAGGCAAAGGAAGGTCAGAGTGACCTTGCTCCTGCATTTTCTTAATCTCCAACATGCCGTATATTTGGGTACCACATTCTGAGCCCAGGCAAAGTAGCGCTCAGATAGTTCTCACACTGGGCTTTGTTATGCTGAATGCGTGGGTCAATATCGTTGTTACTGTTTTGCAGTGACTGGATAAATAAAAATTGTGTTTAGTAAAATGCAGGGCTGATCTTTGGTGGCCTCTGCCTATGGGGGAGGAGAAGATAATTGTGTAAAATAAGGGGTGGAGGAAGATCATGGAGAGCATTTTTACGGAAATGTTTTGGTGAGAATCACTGATGAATTTTCAAGACGACACGTTGTAATAAATGTGTTTTATGAATACTGATTTGAAAGTAGTGGCTGCAACATGGCTGCATCCTCAGAGCTGCACAGAGCTGTGAGGGGTCAGCCGGGCTCTTCTAAGCCAGGGGTCTTGAACAGGGATGTGCTGGCAGGAGTTAGGAGAAGGATGAGTTTGAGAAAAGTGGAGGCTGAGCTTCTTGATGTGGGGTCAGCAGTGGGAGGGGGCTTTGAGAACATCTGTGAAGGTATCAGCCATCATCAGCCTGTGTATCCTGCAAAGCAAGAACCTCTACCCGTAACTTGTTCCACTATTTCTGCACCAGATAGTCATCATGGTGTTGCTTCCTCTCCATAAAATATCTGATTACTCGCTTTACTGAATTTTCTTTTCTTTGTAGCTCTCTGCATATACCTTACTCTCTAAATCATGGAACTCTTTATCTGTTACCATAACTTCTGTTTTTGGAGAAACAATGCCTAATACTTCGGTATTTTTGAAAAGATATCCAACGATCTTAAATTATGTTTAATAAAAACAATGCATTGATAACATATACTAAATTTAATTCTTCTGTTCACTAAAGGTCTTTCAGAAGTAATTCATTGGAGCATTCTCCCTGGATTCCTTCTCCCCAAATAAACTGTATTTAAGAAATATTTATCATAACTCAGAGAAATGACTTATTTCCTCTTTTTGTGCCCCGAAGTCACCAACTTTTACTATGTATACTAGGATGTTAAAATTGAACTATTTTGGTTTCTATTTCAGCTGATAAATACAGACATGCGATATTTGTAAAGATTTAAGATTGCTTCTAACCTAGGTCTCTCCTCCATATTTAAGGTACAAAACAGTCACGAAAGTGAAATCATGAGACTATTACCGATGTAAATGGCAGATTCACCTCAAGAAGGAGATACTTAAGAAGGTCTCAGAGACAGATTATGCCACTTCTGGATCTACTGAAGTCTGAGTCACACCTGAGAAACACAGGCAAGTGATTGGCTTTCCTGCCACCAGGTCTAATGGCTTGGTAAAGATACTGCTGCTAGAGTCAAAATTATACTATGATTAAAGTCCAGCTTGGGCTCCCATAATCCTATTATTATTATGGGAGCCCACTCTGAACTCTCCTGAGTTTGCGGGGCAGCAAGAAGACAGTAACGGGAAGGTTGTGAGCAACAGACATTGGGCACCTGCCACTGTCAGCAGGATATGAAAGAGCCTAAGTAAGGGGAAGGAAAGAACAGGGTCCGTCTTTGAGGAATTCAGCTGCTCAGGTTAGACTCCATGTGAGCTCTCCTTCCAGAGGCCACGATGGGGTAAAACCTGCAGATGTGAGACAGGGAGGAAAAGCAAAGCCACAAAAAATGGGGAAAGTGGGCAAAATGAGGGAAAACCTGCACCCTCCAAGGCTCGCTCCAACTGCACTCGTGAGAGTCAGGAATTGGGGCCATCATGAAGGAAGTTTAATAATCTGATATCTTCATTTAGACAGTGCCCTGGACATATTAAAGAGGTTTATTTATGCCCTGGGAATGATCAGAATCATTACAGAACAGGCTTTCCCAGAACAATTTTAAGGAGGTAAGAAGAGACAAAGATCAAGTTTGATGATTTCATCCCATGAATCTTGCTTGATTACAGCTGAAATTACTTAGTAATAATTTGGTAAGGTTTGTATTATTAAACATAATGCAATATGCTGCATAACGTGTTAAATTTGATTTTCTCTTAACTCATTATTTAAATATAAATGAATAAACTGAGACCAGCAAATTTCTGCCCCAGGTTGTAAGATGCTCAGGGAGCCTCACTAGTAGTAACTGCCATCTGAGTTTGGCAGGAAGTGTTCACTCACCTTGACTCAGGTAAAAGGAGATCTGACTTTTAAGAAAAAGGCAGAAAATAATAGTGAAATGAATAATCTGTCTCCTGGAGTTTTTTTGTTTATTAAAGCCAGAAAAGCAGATATAAATTCTCTGCTTGTTTCTAGCTACAGAAAATAAGTACAGTGACTTTATACAGGTGTGTGCCACAAGTATTTACTTTTCTTTTTGAGGCAGGGTGTCACCCTGTTGCCCAGGATAGAGTGCGGTGGTGTGATTACAGCTCACTGCAGCCTGGAGCTCCTGGGCTCAAGCAATCCTCCTGCCTCCGCCCCCCAGTACAGGCATGAGTCATTGCATCCAGCCTGTATTTACTTGTTATTAGCTGACAAGCAAACTAAAAAAACAGGCCAAGATTACTTTGTTTAATTTTAGAAGAGTAGTGTATTCATAGAATTGTTTATAATTCAAGAGAAAATGCTAAACTGTCATAATTTAAATGTATGTATCCAAATGTAAACACATGTAACATAAACATGTTTGTATTTGTCAGAAATAGTAAACACAGGTTGTAAAATCAAATGGGAAGAAACTGTATTTCAGGAAATTAAGATTGCACAGAGATTGTGGGAAATAGCACATCTGCGTTTGTTTTGTTGTGACAAGTAACGGCAAATAGTTTCAGCGTAAATTTTCAAACTTTTGACTTCTTCTTTTTGGCAGATATTGTGAGATAAACTGTGGGATGTTACATGTTCACACATGTAACACACTGACAAATGTGTAGAAATATTAGACAAGGGAAACACTATTCTATTGTACAACACTCTTTGGTGTGGTTTGGATCTGTGTCCTCAACCAAATCTCATTTTAAATGGTAATCCCCAAGTTAGGAGGTGGGGCCTGGTGAGAGGTGATTGGATCTTGGGGTCAGTTTCTAGTGGTTTAGCACTGACTAGTGTTGGTCTCATGATAGAGCTCTAAGGAAATCTGGTTGTTTAAAAGTGTGCCTGCTTCTCCTTCTGCCATGATTGTTTCTTGAGGCCTCCCCAGCTGTGCTTCCTGTACAACCTGCAGAACTGTGAGCGGATTAAACCTCTTTTCTTTGTAAATTACCCAGTCTTGGGTATTCCTTTATAGCAGTGTGAGACCAGACTAATATACTCCTTGAAACGTAATTTGTGTGTTCCTTTGAGAAAATTTTTTTCTGTTTTTAATAACCCTTTAAGATGTTTGTTCCTAGACTTAACCTAAATCACATTTTTCTTTTCTGTCCTTCAGTTCATTGTGAGACAGTGAACAATTGGTAAGTGTATGTTACATAATAGACTATGTATTTTAAAGTAATTATAAGCTAACTGCTGTTTTACACTCAAATCTAAATAGCTCAATTTTTTTTTTATTTTCCCCTAGTTCTCAGAATGCTTATTTTCGAGCCCTTTAATAAAATCACAGAAATAAATTATTTCCTGTTAGCCTAGGGCTTCACATTGTTTCCCTTAGGCCATAAAGGATTAAATATATGTATAAGCAAAAATGGTGTCTTTAACAGAGAAAAAAACCTGCCTATATTTTTCGGCATAATTAAGTCAACCTAGATTCTATTCCAGGCCTCCCACTATGCTCTCCCCATTAGGGGGTCATTTCTAAGGATTCACAGCTCTTGTAGGTCTAAGGCTATATCTGGGGACCGGAGCAGCCAGCACAGATATTTTCCTTTACTTCGAACTCCACAAACTGACATGTTCCCTGTTTATTAGCTAATAGTTACTTATCCTCTTCCCCATCTTTTAGGTTAACTTTTCAGATATCCTTCCATCAAAGTCTTAGAAATTGTGTAGGAGTGCTAGCCAACGGCCCTGTGGGGGCTCTGTGTGCATGTTTTGTGTAAATATAAATAAAACTTTCTCTCTGTTCAGTATCATCTACTTTGCAACATGCCATGATAAAGCTAAGATTTTGAAAGCTAAAATTCTACAAAAATATTTGTATACAAAATGAAAAGGATACAATAAGTTTCATTAAATCTAGTTTCACAGAGTCTACCAGAATTTTGAGTCTAGCAGAAGTCAAATTTAGTAGAATTTTCTGGTTTGTATGAACATAAAGACAATAGCTAGAATAAAGTTTTGTTGGACTTCATGAAGGGAAAAGAAATTGTGGAGAAAGGTTGAATATATATTTTGTAATTAGGACTATATGTAGTTCATTTTACTGGTTTGTATACCAAAAAATAATAATAACAGTAGGAGTTCACCAAAACCTATTAAGTTGGATAACAGTAGCTATCTTCAGGTTTTCTTCTTAAGCAATAGGATGAAATGACTGTTCTTTGTCCTGGCCGCACTGGGACTGCAAGATCATGGTGTCCCTGCTCGTTGGATTTGAGCTGCACAAACCTGTCTGATTTTAGTTTCATGATCCTTTTTATTCAGTCCCCATCATGCATTCTCTAAATTGTTTGGAAAGTTTTAAGCAATTTATTTCTATGAAAACCTTTTCTATCTGTTAAGCAAAATGTTCTCTGTCACTGTGAATTCTTGGATCTTCTTGTCTTTGTAACCACAGCAGGCTGTCCTAGAGTTTTCTGTCAGTTTGTGCATTTGGAAAAGCCTCTGATATTTTGACCCAAGAAACGGAAAATGCAATCATGACCTCTGCAAAACCATAATACATGCTCACAATTAAGCAACAGAGAGCTTAAGTCAAACACTGCATGTTCTCACTTATAAGTGGGAGCTGAGCAATGAGAACGTATGGATACAGGGAGGGTAGCAACACACATTGAGGCGGCCTGTCTGGGGATGAGGTCGGGGAAGGGAGAGCATCAGGAAAAATAGCTAATGCATGCTGGACTTAACACCTAGGTGATAGGTTGATAGGTGCAGCAAACCACTGTGGCACATGTTTACCTATGTAACAAACCTGCACATCCTGCACATGTACACCAGAATTGAAATTAAAATTAATTAAAAAAATAGAAACTCTAAAAAAAAAAACCATGTTATGCCCAATGTATTAGCCTATTTTCTGATATGCTGATAAAGACATACCGGAGATGGAGCAATTTACAAAAGAAAGAGGTTTATTTGGATTTAGAGTTCCACATGCCTGGGGAAACCTCACAATTGTGGCGGAAGGCAAGGAGGAACAAGTCACATCTTACATAGATGGCAGCAGGCAAAGAGAGAGAGTGAGAGCCAATTGAACATGTTTGCCCTCATCAAACCATCAGATCTCATGAGACTTATTCCTACCATGAGAACAGTATGGGGGAGAGTGCCCCCATGATTCAGTTATCTCCCACCAGGACCCTCTCACAACACGTGGGAATTATGGGAGTACAATTCAAGATGAGATTTGGGTGGGGACAGAGCCAAACCTTATCACCTAATGTTCTTGACACCAGTGGGGCAGAAAACATTTGAGGCTATTTGCACCCAAGGCAGTACCTCAGCAGGTTCCATTTCCCCCACAGTATATTAATTTGCAAAGCACAGGCAGCAGAAGTGGACATCCTTGTGAACACTGTTGCCTTTCACTTGTCTTTGCAAGTGCACGCTAGTCTCCATTCTTACATTAGAACTTGAAATCTCATCCTTAACACCTAGTGGGGTAACTAAAAAGTATAAATTAAAAATGAGCACCTCACTTCAATCACTTAAGACAAATCGACCATTGGGCAATCTCAGTGCATCATGAATCTGAGCTAATATTTACTGGATACTACATTTGAGGTATACTAGGCACTCCTCTGAATATTATATATTCACTACCATTTAATCTTCAAAAATACTTACAGCCAATACCATTATTGTCTCTATTGCCTCATAGGGTTGTTGTGAGAGTTAACTGAGATTACATTTGCAAAACAGCACAAGTGAACACTCTATAAGTGTTTGGCTTCTTTACAATATTATTATTAGTAGTGCTAGTCATTTTTTTAAAGAGTAATATCTATCTACAGAAGTTTGAAACTACCTTTAAATGACTGACTGAGAAGTATTTTGAAAAGGTGGAGAAGCTAGAGATAAGCACAGTGTTTTGTTATTAAACATTCTGGGGGGACATTTGAGCAACATTGTGAAACATCGTTGGACAGCCGTGCCTAAGACAACATGGATATGCAGATTGTAAATATTTTAGCTAAATTTTTCTAGTACGAGCTATATGACTTTAGACCACAACTCTCCAGGGCAACTCTATCAACAGCATTATTTTATGAATTTGGAATCTAAAATTCAGAGGGGCGGGATGGAGCTAGAATCTTCACCTCATCACGTCTGATGCATGGATCTTCGATATATGGAATAATATTAGAATTATATGTATACTCAAGGAAATCCTTAAAATTCAGACTTTTCATTTTAAGAAGTAAAGAAATATATTGACAGCATTTCTAAAAGTAGCGAAGGTTGTGACAGACCATTTATTATGCCAAGCAAACAGAAAATATATTTGGATTTTATGTGTATTTTTCCCATCCGTAATTCAATGCCTACCCAATTTTATTAGCTTGCTAGGGCTGCTGTAACAAATTACCACAAACTGGGTATTTTAAAACAACAGAAATTTATTCTTTCGCATTTCAGGGAGGCCAGAAGTCTGAAATCAAGTTGTCAGCAGGATTGGTTCCTTCTGGAAGCTCTGAAGCAGCACCTGCTCAGGTGTCTGTCCCAGCCTCTGGGGGAAATCCTGGCTGTTCCCTGGCTGTTAGAGGCATCCCCCATGATCTCTGCCTCCATCCTCACACCACCTTCGGTGTAACTCACGTCTCCCTTTTCTTTGCTGATCTTTGGTTTTCTTTGATGATCAATGACATCAGTCATTGGATTTAGCTGTCCATCCTAAATCCAAGTTATCTCTTCTCAAGGTCCTTGACATAATTACATCTGGAAATACTCAGTTTCAAAATAAGGTCACCTGCCATGGTTCCAGCTGGACATGAATTTTGTGCAGATATCTTTTTTTTTTTTTTTTGAAATGGAGTTTTGCTCTTATTGCACAGGCTGGAGTTCAATGGCGCGATCTTGGCTCACTGCAAACTCTGCCTCCCAGGTTCAAGCGATTCTCCTGTCTCAGCCTCCCGAGTAGCTGGGATTACAGGCATCCGCCACCATGCCTGGCTAATTTTTGTATTTTTAGTAGAGACAGGGTCTCACCATGTTAGCCAGGCTGGTCTCGAACTCCTGTGACCTCGTGTTCTGCCCGCCTTGGCCTCCCAAAGTGCTGGGATTACAGGTGTGAGCCACCGTGCCCGGCCTGGGCAGATACCATTTAATCCACTACATCAGTCATTACTTCTTCAAGAAATGAAGACGAATTGCTTTCCTGCTGCCTATCTGAGTCATTATCCAGTATACCTGAAGCAAATTATTGTATATGTTCTATGGAACTGTAAAAGCTTAATATATGTTTTCTTGGTTTTTCAATCTGTGAAAGCATGTTATTTTAACAATTTTAATTATAAAGTGTAGAATATTATGTAGTGAATAACCATGTATTCATCACACAGATTGGACAGTTTCCAATATTTTTTCTCAGATTTCTTTCTTAATATAAGGTTAATAAAACATCACAGTACAACTAGAGGCTGATTGCACCCACATACCTGTGCTTGGTCTGACAGCTGGGACATGTCATTCTTATGTATATGTCCACAATCTTGTACGACAGTTTTGTTTTGTGTGTATACGTGGGTGTTTTATTTCTACACTGAGGGCCTCATGGTGTGTGTAGAATTTTGTACTTGGCTATATTCAACATTATGATTTTGTGATTTCTGTAAACTGAAATTATGTATGCTAATGTATTTATTGAAACTGTTCTAAAATACTAAACGTTATGAATGAATCACAATTTAGTTATCCGTTTTGTCAATCTGGTGAAATATTAGGGTTTTCTGGCTACTAAACCAAATGCTACCACAAAAATCACTGTTCAGGACTCCATGTCAATGTGTCACTTAGGACTCATACCTGAAAATAGAAATCCGTGTATTGACAATGTACATCTTCACGTCTTTAAATGCTGCCAAGTTGATTTCCAAAGAGGTTGTCACAGGTTACATTCTATTAATAGTTTCTAAAAATAGTCTCTCCTCACATGATTGCCAGCATTTAGTATTTTCAGGGAAAATTTATATTCTGCCCATTTGTTGGGTCTAAAGTGATGTATCATTGACATTTTGATTTACATTTTTCTGACTCCTAAGGAGATTCTTATCTTTGTACATAATTTATTGCATATTATTTTGCTGAATTGTAAGATATGTTCTCATGCAATTCTATTTAAATTTATAAAATCCTGTAACTGCTGTCTGAATTAATTTTTTTTTTTTTGAGTCGGAGTCTCACCCTGTGGCCCAGGCTACAGTGAGGTTGGCACGATCTCGGCTCACTGCAACCTCTGCCTCTCAGGTTCAAGTGATTCTCCTGCCTCAGCCTCCTGAGTAGCTGGGACCACAGGTGCCCGCCACCATGCCCAGTTAAGTTTTGTATTTTTAGTAGAGATGGGGTTTTGCCATGTTGGCCAGGCTGGTCTCAAACTCCTGGCCTCAAGTGGTCCACCCACCTCGGTCTCCCAAAGTGCTGAGATTATAGGTGTGAGCCACCGTGCCCTGCCCAACTAACTTTTGGTGCTCCTTCCTACTGATGTTTTAAATCAGTATAGTTAAATTTATCCACTCTTCTTTAAACTTTAAATTATATCTTATTTAAAATAATCCATCTGTATCAAAACTTCTAAATGTTCGTATATTTTCAAAAAAAATTAAGTTATACTATTTCTATGTATTTTTAATCACCTTCTTATAGTTGTTTTGTGTACTGTGTAAAATAAAACCCCAAATTTATCTTTTAATTTTTTTTGAAGAGTTAGTGATTCACCTCAGCAGAGTCACAAAATATTCCATCTTTTCTAAATGTAAAAAGAGATATAAATGGGTCGGTTCTTATATTGTTTTATTGTTTTCTGCATATATTAATTTCTTTCATTAAATTTTATTCCTAAAACTTCTTATTAATCATGTCATTATTCTTAATGTACAATCTCTATCCTTATTCTTCATTTTCAAGTTAGTACCGAATATTCTTGGTCATTTATGCTTCCTTGTGAAGATTAACTATTAATCTTATTATTATGTCTCTGAAAAATAATCAGTTGTGCTTTCAAACAGAATTGCTTGGAATGTTTGAATTAATTTGGGGAGCACTTATTATATTCTCCTTTTCTTTTCTAGATGCAGGAGAAATCTCCTAATATATTCAGAATTGATGTGTAATCCCCCATAAAATACATCGTTTCCATTGTAAAAATCAGGTACATCTTTTGTTAGAATTTTCTTCGGTTGTCTGGGTTTATTGTGAATGGAGTCTTTGTTTTGATAACCACCAATTTAAATGAGCTTTTTATGGAGGGTAGAGACACTATTGTTTTTGCACCCTTATCCAACAATTTTACTGAACTCCTAATTAAAATTTAATAATTAGTCTGAACAAATTCTCTTGGATGTCCTGTGTAGTCAGTCATTGAGCAGGCTCACATGCTCCTGCAGGAGGATGGCTTCCCCACAGGACGGTGAGCAGACAGCAGGGAGAACAATAATCTGAAAAGAAGGAATATATTTGTAATGTGCAGGGGTGCTCAGAAGGCAGTGATCTTGCATGTTTCTTAAAGAACAATTCTAAATGTTGTGAAACAACGTTCCACGGGTCTCTTGCATTTCTCCCAACACGGCATGTAGACACAAGGGCAGCTTTTGGTCTGGAATATCTTCCAAATGATGTTTGTATAATGATTAACCTTAAAGGACAGGAGACATGTAGTCATGCGCAGGCCAGAGAGCTGGCTTGTCCACTGACCGCTGTGTAGCACAGATGATCTGTGCGTCTAGAACAAACGTCAGGACAGTTCTGCTTGCATCGCCTAAGTGTGGGGGCTTCTAAGCTTGCCATTCTATATGTCTTTAATCAACTTCTTAATAGTTTTTTGTGTACTATGTAAAATAAAACCCCAATTTTATCTTTTTATTTTTTTTGAAGAGTTAGTGATTCACCTCAGCTGAGTCACGAAATATTCCACCTTTTCTAAATGTAGAAAGAAATATAATGGGGCTGTTATTATATTGTTTTGTGTTTTTCCATATATTAATTCCTTTGCGTTAAATTTTTATTAATTCCTAAAACTTCTTATTAATAATTTCATTTTTCTTAATGCACAATCTCTATCCTTATTCTTCAGCAGTGATGCAAACCCACTTCACGCGCAGCACCCACCTGCACCGTACCACACAACGCTGTGACAACACTAACACGAAGCTGATGCTGATTGCTCAACAGTGAGGGATCCCTGCCCAGGAGCAGCCAGCACCGTGGAGCTGGTAGGTTAACTCATCAACTTCTAAGCATGGTAAAATCTCAGGCCCTTCAGAGTTCTTGACAATAACCACACCTCAGGGAGCTGTAGAACTGTGTAGATAGAACCTGGACCACCTAAGCTTATTTTTCTGGTGAGTAAAATATAGTCAAGATAGTGAACATGTTAGTCATGGCAACTCCAAGGAACACTGAAATTCTGTTTGCCAATGTGTGTAGTCAGAGACGAAAACAAAATGGAGTGACCAATTTAGAGGACTTCCAGTTGTGTCCTGGTCATTACTGATGCTTTCTAGTCCTGATTGCTTTTTAAGCTGTAGATTATTGTTGGAACTAAAGCTGCCTCGCTGGAAGATATTTAGCTATTTGAACTACTTGGGGTTGTTGTTGACTATTTAAAATAAGTGTTTCTGAGTATCAGTGATCCGTTTTGAGCTACAGACATAGATTCTTTTTATACCAGGAAACTGTCTTTGTTATTTCTATGATGTTTTATAAAAATTTCTTTAGGAATAAAACTGACCCAGGTTCGGCCGGGCACAGTGGCTCACGCCTGTAATCCCAGCACTTTGGGAGGCCGAGGCGGGTGAATCATGAGGTCAGGAGATCGAGACCATCCTGGCTAACATGGTGAAACCCCGTCTCTACTAAAAATACAAAAAATTAGCCAGGCGTAGTGGCAGGCACCTGTAGTCCCAGCTACTAGGGAGGCTGAGGCAGAATGGCGTGAACCCAGGAGGCGGAGCTTGCAGTGAGCCGAGATTGCACCACTGCCCTCCAGCCTGGGCGACAGAGCCAGACTCCATCTCAAAAAACAAAAACAACAAAAAACAAAAAACTGACCCAGGTTCTAGACTGTTCTTTCACCTGTTTATGGGCTGTATTCTAATCAGCGTCCTTTGCTTTTTATTCTAGACTTGCGTCTCATGCTTGTAATCACCAGAACTTATATACTTTGCTAAATTGGGGGCTTTGCTTGTTAATCCTTCTTACACTGATTTCCATACTGTTACTTAAAATTTTGATTTCTTACCAAGCTCTGTTTTTAATTTTGCCTGAATCTTCCTCAGCTGAGTCCTTTTATCTCAGCCCATTGACATTTTTCTTATTTCACAAATACATGTTTTCTTGAATGTTACTGAAAATACAATATAGAAGCTTTCTAAAGTTTTTAAAAAAATTCCTCCAACAGTAAATCTATTTCTTCATATAAAGCCATAAAAATGATACAATTGACTCTGGGGACTTGGGGGTAAGAGTGGGAAGGAGGCGCGGGATCAAAGACTACACTTAGGGTGCAGTGTATACTGCTCGGGTGACGAGTGCACCAAATCTCACAAATCACCACTAAAGAGCTGACTCATGTAGCCAAATACCATCTGTACCCCAATAACTTAGGGAAAATAAAATAAAAAATAAACATTTATAAAAAGAAATAAAATAAAATAAAGTAAAATATAGCAAGGTTCATATTCTTTTTTCTTCACACTGTAGACTCTTTTCATCATTCCGATGTTGGGAATTTTTGTCACAGATTTGAACAAAAGAATTCAATAAAGGCCAAGTATTTTTAAAATCTGTGGTGGTTGACTTATTCTTTGATCTCCTCTCTGCACGAGCTGCTAAGAAGAAACCTCGCTTTTATATTTTAATCTGGTATTGATTGATGTAAAGTTACATTACCAATTCAGTGATCCAAAATTTATTCAAGGGCATGTGGGCACTCTTGGCATAATGACCCTTTTTATCTCTCATCCCCAGGCCACAAATTGGTTTCTAACACGGAGCTTTCATGTCCATTTTAGATTTTGCAGCAAACACCTCCTAGATGTTCTGATTTTGCTTCTGTGCCTACTGCTTTGTGGAGTGTCTTTTCCACCCAGTGGTCTGTCACTATGTCGTGGTGTAGGATTCTGATCACTAGCTGGGGTTTTCACCCAGTGGCTCCACAAATTAATGTGATGAGCCAGGAGCAAAGGGTCTTGTACAGAGTCTGCTTCTCAGTGACCTCCTCATCTTGTTTGCATTCTCACCCTCGTCTCTCCAAGTTCAAGGCTCTTAACGTGGTCCTGTGGCACTCCCCACACATTCTTCATTAATGCATGTCTTTCTCAGGTTGGGGCTCAGGAGAAGGTGGTTGAGGCTGAGAGTAGCCTGGTCCTGCCATCACTATGCATGGAAAGTTACGACGATGTTCCAGTTTCTGACAAAGGAGACTGATTCCCCTTCTCCCAGGCTTAGTGCTGATGGTCTCACTTGCATCGTCTTCGTTTTCCCCATGTGAGTCTTAGAATTTTTTTTTTTTTTTTTTTTTTGAGATGGAGTCTCGCTCTGTCACGCAGGCTGGAGTACAGTGGCACCGTCTTGGCTCACTGCAAGCTCCGCCTCCCGGGTTCAAGCGATTCTCCTGCCTCAGCCTCCCGAGTGGCTGGGATTACAGGCACCTGCCACTACGCCCGGGAACTTTTTTGTATTTTTAGTAGAGACGGTTTCGCCATGTTGGCCAGGCTGGTCTCGAACTCCTGACCTCATGATCCACCCGCCTCGGCCTCCCAAAGTGCTTGGATTACAGGTGTGAGCTGCCGTGCCCGGCCCTTAGAATGTTTTAAATGCACGTACTTCCACTGTCGTCTACTTCCCTGTGTGAGGGAAATCTTTGAGATAGAACTTGTCCTCCCGTTTGCCTCCCGGGGCTTTCATTTTACAAATCTGTTAAAGTTAGCTGGGAGTTTCACATGAGAAAAGTAACATATGGACTCACATGTAGCAGATACAGTGCAGTAGCTGGAAGAAAAGCTATGGATTCATAAATATCTGGAATGCAAGTCCAGGCCCAATACTTGTGACCTGAGGCAAGGAAGATAATTGATCTCTCTGAGTTATAATTTGCACAAATTTGAGAAGATAATAACGTAAAGAGCAAGTACGTCATAGCTATTGCTGTGTATGTATAGCTTCTTGATACTTTTATCTATTCATTAATTTAAAAATATCTGTTGAGTGCTAGTCATTGCTAGCATTGTGATAAATAATAACTTGGTTTTGGAATCCAGTAGCAGTTAAAGATAGGAAAAGATCGTTAGTTTCTCCTGTGTTAACTTGAAAGCTCTTCATAGGAACTGTAAATTTTCAAGACAAGTAGAAAACAGGATTCAGGCAATCTGTTAGGACAATAGATTTTCATGATAAGAAAGTTTACTTAAGCCGAGTAAACATGCAAATTGATAATAAAATGCTTAGCTTCATTCTCCAACCCATTCATCACAAATCTTTTGGCAATGAAAAAAAACATTCATTTTTTAAAAATGAGAATTTAAAGTAGTGAATCCACAAAACACAGCTTTTCATTTTTAAACTAGTGAAAGATACATACATAGGTTTGCTGATGGTTTTCTATTCATCTAAGCCTCAGGGACAAAATCCATACATAAAAATTAAGGAGAACATATTCTAAAGGAATGATTTGTGTATTACTCCTCAACTGCTTTCATACAGTCAAGAATTTAAGAATAAAGATGTGTAGGATCTCATAAAATATAATTGGCTGTAGTTTAACTCTTTTATTCTATGAATGTGGATGATCTAAATCTAACTTTCGCCCTTACCATTTGGTAGAAATAACATTATGTTCCCTAAAATAACTTACAGTTTGAAGAATCATAACAAATATTTTTGCAACATCAAATTTTCTTATATTGGGGAATCAATGGTGCTGTTTTGTTTGTTGAGCTTTGAGCTGTGCAGTTGAGTTGCTAATGATCTGTTTGGATTACTACTGAGCACAGCAATTGGATGCATGACATATGCGAAGGAGGTTGTGTATCGTGGCTGTGTCAGCTGTAATTATAATAGATGGCAGGGAGGAAGACCAGCTACGCAGCAGTCTGGATGTGGGGCAGATTTAAACCAGTAATTTACAGATTGCTACGTGAAATTATTACAGATTACCAGGAACTGAAAGCCACTGATGAATGTCTTTCCTAGGGTAGATGCACATAATTATTATTGAGCTGATATTTTATATGTGTATACTTATACTTATTTAATCTTCTTAAATACATTGAGATTGCAAAGTGCTTAGGACAGCACTTTGCACAAAGTAAATGTCATACTGGTGTTTATTAAGTAACCATTTGAATAAATGAATGAGCTTCACCTAATAATCTTTCAATAAGACCAGGAGTTGCTCAGTGACAGTTACACAGAGTAAAATGCATAATGGCTTCTTACATAAGTCTAACTCTAATGAATAAGTGTGCTTAGATGTTAAGAATCATGTCATTCAGATACAGGGTACTTTTTTTTTTTTTTTTTTTTGAGGTAGAGTCTCGCTCTGTCATCCAGGCTGGAGTACGTGGAATACAGTGGTGCGATCTCAGCTCACTGCAACATCCGCCTTCCAGATTCAAGTGATTCTCCCAGGTAGCTGGAACTACAGGCACCTGCCACCACGCCTGGCTAGTTTAGTAGAGACAAGTTTTCGCCATGTTGGCCAGGCTGGTCTCAAACTCCTGACCATAAGTGATCCGCCCGCCTCGGCCTCCCAAATTGCTGAGATTACAGGTGTGAGCCACTGGACCTGGCCCCAAAATGAAAATCTTCATAGTAAACATAAAACAAATAAGCTACCCATTAACTAATATAAGTAATCATATTTTAAAGGGAACTACTAAAGTCACATCAATAGAGTATAACACCTGTGTAAACATTGGGAATAATTGTTTTAATATCAAAGGGAATTCTTTAGTGTTTAAGTTAATTTCTCTATAAAGGCATTAATGTTCAAATGTCTTCTAAGAATATTAGAAATTTTTAAAAAGTGCTTTGTAAAGATTATTCGAACACTGCATTTTTTTTTTATCCTGAGTTTGTTCTTTGTTGAATGTATCTTAAAGTTTCTTGGTACTAGTGTATTTAAGCTTTAATACATACATGTATAGGTATATATTTTAAGTGCTTTATAATCTAAAGTGCTTTCAGGCACCTGCCAGTGTTCATTTTTAAATGGATTTCTGCCTCGTTAAAAATCAGTATTTCAAACATTGCAGTTTTTTACGTGGTGACTGGGTGTGGGGCTCCTTTGAGGGACTGTGAGGGTCTGGACTGTAGCGGAAGTTATGGGTAGTGAAAGGGCTGCATGAACAAATTTGCTGTCCCAAATTTTGTGATTCCTTTTGAGCTAATGTTCTTGGGAAGGGTGTAACGTCTGTCTCTAGATTCACATTTTTTGCATGTGGATATCTTGTTTTTTTAGCACTGTTTTTTTTGAATGAACTATCCCCTTTCCATTGCACTACTTTTGTTCCTTTGTCAAAAACCACTTGAGTATATGTGGGTCCCTTTCTGGACTCTCTAATCTGTGCTACTGACTGATGTGTTCATTCTTTCTCCAGTACCACACTGTCTTGATTATTGCAGCTTTATACTAATTCTTGAAGTCAGTTAGCATTGTTAGCATTGCTGTAAGTATGTGTCAATCTTGGATGAATACTGTCCCAATGCTCCTAAAACTCCTCTGTCTCTCTCTGCCTGTATAAACGAAATCTTAACTTTTCTACTTCAGAACATGACTCTATTCCTCTGAAGTTTGTGTTTCTGGGTGGTCCATATACTTTGTGCCTGAAAAATTCTCTTTAAATTAGATTCTGAACTTTTTGATTATTTTAGGGCGACATGGCTACGGGGAGATTCTGGCTTATCCATTTTAAAGGATTCTTGTCCAAGCAAGGCCAGGATGATGAACTATCAAGGGTAGGGGATGAGGAATTTGATCAGATATCAAGGGTGGGAATTTTGGCAACCCAGCCGGATTTTAGCCAAAAGTGAGCTAAGCTGGCTGTGGACCGAGCCTAAGTTCAAGGCACAATCAAGAGACTCCGAGAAGTCTGACACACATTTTATCCGGAGAGAGCTTTTGCCAATATTCAGAAAGCTCTTTCTCCACAAACCAAGGGGTTCACCAGCAAAGCAGCTGACATGCCTGGTATCCATTTTGGTGCAGTCCCGGGGGAGGGACAAGAAACCCACCCAGGACCCCTTCCCTCCCCAGCCCCTCTACAGAACAGAGGCCTGAGTGTGAGGACGGAGGGAAACAGGCTCTGGGGCCTCCAGGGAGCTGGTGGTGAACTCTTACTCCAGATGGGGGACAGAATCGGGGGGAATAGTGGAGGATCAGGAGAAAAGAGGCTAGCCCTACCTTGACACCCAGGGACAAAGACAGGCAAAGCTGATGTCTAACCACAAACACACCAACCACAGGCCCGAACAGGGGGATGTTGGGAAAATATGATTAAAAACAATATTTCCCCCAGATCCAGAAAACCTCTCTACAGGGGTAGAAGACAAAAAGAACAATTGTGTCATTGAGTAAGTATTAAACTAGAATGGGATACACGTCACACTGCAGTCTGCTGAGAGATGGCAAAGAAGGAAAGAGATCTCATGCTTTCATACAACAGGCAGATACAGCCCGTTACAAAGTTGTTTTCAAGATTAGCGAACAGTAACTAGCCCTTAGGTAGAACAACTCCTCAGCATCATTGATTACACATAGTTCATCTTAGATTGACCTGGTAATTGAGATGACTATCTGTGTTAGCTAATTGGCTTTATCCAGTGGAAAATAAACTTCTCATATCCCAGTGAAATGATATAGTTTCGCAACTTGGAGCCAGGTGCCCCAGGAAATTAGGCTCCAACGTTCCCTCAAGAACAGAGACAGGGGCTCTATCTTCCTCAATGTTTGTATTTCAAAGAGATGGCTCCCAGGTCTTAGGAGAGGCATTTCTGGGTCATACAGTTGACAAGAGGCATATCTCATATTCAGAAGACTTCATATACATTTCAAAGAAAGGAGAAAGTACTTGTAATCACAAATTTGTGAAAATAAATTCTCTTAGGAAAAAGAAGGCAGGAAAACCTCTTCCCTTATTTGGAGAAGGAGAACTCAGCCTCTGATTTTTAATTTGCATTTATTTGTCCTTTCACTGGTTGGTATAACAAGCAACAAGAGTATACTTCTGGGAGAACAGGCGAGACACAAGAGCTTGAAAAGGGAGACTTGGTAAGGTCCAACACAAAGAGAAGACAACATTCAGAATCAAACAGAACAAGACTGCTCTGGCAAGCCACCCCACCCTGCACACAGGTTATCTGTATAAAAAAGGTAAAAGTTTTAGGTCACAGAGGGTTACTGTAGCACACACCAGGTCCTAGATTAATGCAAATCTCACAGAAAATGGCCAGCGAAGGGAATTAGTGGACATATCCCACCATAAAATCTCTTTACCTCCACCATTATAGTCCTTGAAAACATGCCTGGCTTTTAACTAAAACTTATAAGAAGTTCCATGAGAAGGCTAAAACAACCAACACACTCCTAAGAGACAAAGAAATTATCAGAAGCAGACTCAAACATGACACACATTTTCAAAATGTCATGGAAAATTTGAAAACACCCAGGGAAAAAAGAAAAAAAAATTACATTTGGGAGAAAACAGTAAGAATTACTGCAGATTTGACATCAGAAACCATGTCAGCCAGAAGATATATTAAGTTTCATGTTTTAAGTTTTTTTTCCAAAGAAAAAAAAGATAACACCCATGTTTATAGCAGTGCAATTTGCAAATGAAAAACTATGGAACCAGCCCAAATGTCCAGCAATCAATAAGTGGATACCATGCAATACTACTCAGCCATAAAAAGGAATGAAATAATGGCATTTGCAGCAACCTGGATGGAATTGGAGACCATTATGCTATGTGAAGTAACTCGGGAATGGAAAACCAAACATCATATGTTTTCACTTATAAGTAGGAGCAAAGCTATGAGGGTGCAAAGACATAAGAAAGATACAATGGACTTTGGGTACTCTTGGGAAAAAGGGTGGTGGGAGTGAAAGGGATAAATGACTATGCATTGGTTACAATGTACACTGCTTGGGTGATGGGTGCACCAAAATCTTAGATAGTACCGCTATAATACTTATCTGTGTGACCAAACACCACCTGTTCCCCAAAAACCTATTGAAATAAAAGAAATACATTAAACTTACATTACAGAAATTAAAAAAACAAACCCTGTCAACCCCAAATTCCATGCCCATAAAAGTATTTTGAAAAGGACTGATAAATAGTCAGTTAAAAGGAAAAAAAAATAAAAAAGAAATAAAGAAGGAAAAAGGGAAGGAAAGAAGGAAGGAAGGAAGGGAGGGAGGGGAGGGAGGAAAGGAGGGAAGAAAGAGAGGAAGGAAGAAAAAGAAAGAAAAGAAGGAAAGAATTTATTTTCGACAGGCCTAGTTTATAAAACATGATAAAGAAGCTTTTTGGGCCAGGTACGGTGGCTCATGCCTGTAATCCCAACACTTTGGGAGGCTGTGGCGGGCAGATGACAAGGTCAAGAGATCAAGATCATCCTAGCCAACATGGTGAAACCCAGTCTCTACTAAAAATACAAAAAACAAAAAAAAGAAGAAAAGAAAAAATAGCTGGGTGTGGTGGCACGCATCTGTACTCCCAGCTACTTGGGACACTGAGGCAGGAGAATCTCTTGAACCCGGGAGGAAGACGTAGGTTGCAGTGAGCCACATTTGCGCCACTGCACTCCATCCTGGCCGTAGAGAGAGACTCCATCTAAAAAAAACACACACACAAAAAAAAAACAAAAAAAAACTTTTTTGGCTGATATAAAATATGTTTCTGAAACTTGGATCAACAGAAGGAAACAAATAGCACTGGAAATGGGATGAATGAATTTAAAATTAATCTTTTTTTGTTTGAATTACTCTAAAAAATATTTTAGCAAAAAATAACAATAGCTTGTGTGTTTACTGTATGTGTAAACATAGAAAGTATGAGGAAATTGTACAAATAATGGGAGGGAGGAATTGAAGGGGTGAGTTGAAGGGGTTACCACTGTCCAAATATAAGAAAATATGAGCATGAAAAACTGATAGTGCAAAAAGAGTATTCTATGGAATAAAACACATAGAAAATAAAAATAAAACAAAATGCAAACCCAGCAGCCTATACTGGTAGAAATACATAAATGGATAAATGAGAAAAGCTATCTAATAAATAGAATAATGGGTTTGGAATACTATCAATGAAGTCTAAAATTAGTGGGTAACATTTTGAGGATAAACAAGATATTTGCATTATCTCAAATTATCCTTCCGTAAATTAGCTATTTATTGAAGTGGGAAAGTTTTTACTTTATATTTATACCACCTTATAAACCAAAGCGGGTATCGCCAATATTGGGACAAAAAGACCTTGGGTACCTTCCTATGGGAGGCATTAAGAAGCATTCTACAACACTTCCAGGTTTCCTGCCCAACATATGTTACCTTTATCTACAGCTAAAGGAATTCCAGGCAAATACAAATTAAGGTACATTGTACAAAATAATTATCTATAATCTTTAAAAATGTTATCATAAAAAGATGACAAAGACAATGATAGCTCAGAACATGTTTAGATTAAAGAAGATATAATAAGCTGGAACCTGGTCTGGAAGAGGGGGAATAACAGACATAGCTCCAAAAAAATGTAACTGAGAAAAGTAATGATCCTTGAATACACACAGATAACTGTGTTGTATCAATGCTGACTTTCCTTAGTTTGATAGTAGTTCTGTAGTTCTGGAAAATAATGTCATTGTTCTTATGAAATGCTGAAGAATTCCAGTAAAAGAGTCTCTAACTTCCTCTCAAATCGTTCAGAAAATGTACCTGTGGGCAATGCATACTTGTGTGTAGTTCTGTGTGTGTGTCTGCGCAAGTGTGTAGTTCTGTGTGTGTGTAGTTGCATGCGCGCGTGTGTGTGTGTGTGTGTGTAGGGAATGGGATGGCAGAGAGGAAGCAAATATGTGAACCCAAATCTAAGTGAAGGTTATATAATTTCCTTGTGCTATTACTGAAATTTTTGACACATTTACTAGTATATTAGAGTATAAATTTGCAAACATTTTTAAAATAAAGGTTAAATACCTAACGAATCTAAGTTCAAGCACCTGTGAGTCCAAGTCTCAATCTTTTTAAGGACAGTACAATGTATCTTCCAGTTTCTCATCATCTCGTTTTTTCCAAGACTAAGTAATCTATAAATATTCGACTTTATGGAGTAGGAAGGTCAATGAAAGAAATAGAATGCCCATTGGATTTCTAACGGATCAATGAGTGTCTCCAAAGGCAGACATAAAAATCATCAAATGTCAGATAATCTATATGAAATGTTAAGAAAATCATCGTTATCTAAGGAGCAATAATAGTCTTTATCTTTCTGTTAGATATTCTTTTCAGAATATTTTGGCTAACTTTCCTTTGACATACATTTGAATATACACAATAGTTTTAAAATGTCATCTTTGTAAAATCAAGTGGCTATATTTGTAGATTCCTCTCCCAAAAAACATCAAAGATTTTTTTTTACCTTCGCTTGCCATCCACATTAGTGTTTTATTCAAAAGTGATGAGCAATGTCTCCTGTGGGATTGACATATACAGTATCTTTAACGTGCTTTCTCAAGTCTCTTTTTATCCCTTTGCATTCTGAATTTTTATTTGTGATACAAAGTAAAATAAAGCCCATTAAACCATTTATTTACATGAAATCAGAGCATTTGTTCAGACCCAGCATGTGGTCTGAAGAAAGATATTCAAGCACGCATCTTTCTTTCTTTCTTTTTTTTTTCTTCTCTCTGATTGCACCATTTCTTTGATCAGCCCATGAAGGCTGTGGAAAGTCGGGATATTCAGAATGTAAGATGAAATCTTTGCTTTAACCCTCTGTGTTTAGTGTAGGTCCTGAACCTCAAATGTGGCTGTGCTGCCTGACTCACCAGAACTTCTGTGACAGCTCAAATTTCTTGTGCTTGGGTCCTCTTTGCTTTTTCAAGGAAGAATCAGTGAGGGTGATGTTTCATGCCCACTGATCCTGGAGACCTCCCGAGAGACCCTGGGTCCAGGGTGTGATCTGTAAATCGGTGATAAAGAGTTCCTGCCATAATCTCCATAGGAAAAAAAAAAGGAAATGCCTTATGTAAATATCTGTATCTGCTCATCTGTGTATTAGTCTGTTGTCATGCTTCTAATAAAGACATACCTGAGATTGGGCAATTTACAAAGGAAAGAGGTTTAATGGACTCACAATTCCACATAGCTGGGGAGGCCTCACAATCATGGCAGAGGGCGAAGGAGAAGCAAAGGCACATCTTACATGGTGGCAGGCAAGAGAGCTTGTGCAGGGGAACTCCCCTTTATAAAACCATCAGATCTCATGAGATTTCTTCACTATCATGAGAACAACATGGGAGAGACCCACCCCCATGGATTCAATTACCTCCGATGGGGTCCCTCCCACCACATGTGGGAATTATGGCAGCTACAATTCAAGATGAGATTTGGGTGGGGACACAGCCAAACTGTATAAATCTGCTAAGAAACAGTGTGCTTTTGTTGTTCGTTTATGCTAGACAGAGGAGAGAAAGAGAAAGGTAATATTCACCTATTAGTCGCCAAGTGCAATTATGGTGTAAGTAGCTGGATATAAGAGGTGGAGGTCAGGTCAGGGAGCGGTGGCTCACACCTGTAATCCCAGCACTCTGGGAGGCTGAGGCGGGTGACACGTGAGGTCAGGAGTTCGAGACAAGCTTGGCCAATATGGTGAAACCCCATCTCTACTAAAAATACAAAAAAATATATATTAGCTGGGCTTAGTGGAGGGTGCCTGTAATCCCAGCTACCAGGGAGGCTGAGGCAGGAGAATCGGGAGGCAAAGTTTGCAGTGAGCTGTGATTGTGCCCCTGCACTCCAGCTCAGGCGACAGAGTGAGATTCCAACTCAAAAAAAAAAAAAAGAGGTGGAGGTCAGAAAAGGAGCCATTGATGGAGTCCTAGATCCTGGATTATCAGCAGATAGATGGCATTTAAAACTGTAGAAGAGGGTGAGGTCAGTGAATACATCATGACAGGTAAAAGAGAGGAAAAAAAAGTACTTTCAATCAGATCATCCCTATCTGAGAAAGTTAAAAGATGGAAATAACCAGTTTGAGGTTAAGAACTTTTTCATAAGTTAAAATAAACCAGAAGCAGAAGGAGGTGTGTGGAAAAGTGGTGAGAATAGAGGCCTGTCGCTGAGGTTGTTCACTTTTTATTCAGATTACTTGAGTGTTATCGGAATGTCCAGGTGGGAGGTAGCCAGATGACCTCTAGCATAGACCATTCTACTCTGAATTTCTGAGCATTGTTCATCCTTTATAAGTGCCTATATTTGCAGTTAAAAATTAAATGGATAATTTCAAGACAAAAAACTTAAACTCTCCAAACTCTTTATCCTAAATCAGTGAAACAAACGAAACAAAAGCAGCTTTCCCATTCTTAAAACATCTATTATCTGCAAATGTTTGGAAAGAAACCACAGAATGTGAGGGTTTGTACCTAAATTAATCATTCAATGTCTGCTGCTAAAAAGCCCACTATCTGCAGTCAGAATCAAGAATTTGATACGCATGGAAAAACTTAAAAGAGACCACTAATTTTCCCAAATATTTATATAGATAAAATATGACCTTAGTCTAATTATGCAAAATCATTTTAACACTTGATTTTCTTGTTGAAAACTTAAATGTATCAACTGACTGAGCCTGTGATTTATTTAACATACATTTATTTTATTTCTGCTGTGTGTTGGGCATTATCAAGGGCTATAGTGACACAAATAAAATGAAATCCATACTTCTTGCCCTTTAGGAACTTGCATGATTTTGGAGAAATGAAAAATGAAAACAACTACAATAAAATATGACACTGGTAATGATAGAAATCCCATTTACTATTATTTTATTCAGTAAAAATGCCGTGTATTTTATGATAAAATGAAAGTCCCTATTAGTGTACTCAGATAGAAACTGCCTATCTAGGTCTCTATTCTAAATAGATTGGAAAGAGTGGCTGATGTGTTAGATTTCCCTTGTGTGAATACAATCTTTTTCTACTTATAAAGCTGTTTTATTTTTTTAATTGGTCAAGGGAAATAACCTCTTACTTATCAGGAGTTAAGTATCCATTCATTCTTCATGCTTTTTGTTTTAACATTTTCTTCACAGCTTAATGGACACCATACTTCTTGTTTCTCCTCTAAGCATTTTGAATCCACCTTAGTAAGTTCTTCTTCCTCTGATCTCTAAATATCTGCATAATCTAGATTTTCTTCTTCAGAACTCTTCTCTCGTCTACTTATCTTCATGTCTTCAATGACCTCAGCCTCCTCTCTTGTTTTAAATACATCGACTTGTTGATAATCTAGGATCTATAACTCCGTCAATGACTCCTTTCCTGACCTCCATCTCTTACATCCAACTACATGCACAATAGTTGCACTTGGCACTAACAGGTGAATATTGCCTTTCTCTTTCTCTTCCCTATCTAGCATAAAACAACACACAAAAGCTGACTATTTCTTAACTTCCTTCTTTCATAGAGCAAATAGAATCTGAAAACCAAGCCATTACTACAATTTTAGTCAATTTATTATCTTACATTTTTCTAGAAAGTGTGCATTTCAACAATGCAAGCTTTCAAATGTGTGTTATTCTAGTGCCCAGATTTAGGTTTCTAGTGGAGAGATGTTGACGTTCAAGTATTATTGTATCATCCTTGGAGTCTCACGTAAAAGCAACTGCTTTCTGTGGCTTCTAGGACATCCGCCTTCACCTTCCTGTTCCAAGTGACAATTTCCATCAAACAGGACAAAAGTACTTTCAATTTCTGTAAAGAGCAAGCATTGCCACATTCTCTTTCTCTCTCTCTCTCTTTCTCTCTCTCTGTCTCTCCCTCCCCCTCCTCTCCACCACTCTCCTGGATATTCTCTGTCAGTTATGCTCTCTACTTGCGGAGGGTTTCAGAAATGTTAAGGATAAACAGTCACCCACATGATGTTTTAAAAAGGCAGAAACTTTGGTGATTTTATCTACAACCGTATTGTGTAAAAAAGTCTCTATTTGACTCAGGTGGTTAATATATCTTTGTGACTTTGTTAAGTGGTAGGAAAAAATTATTACTTGGAAGAAACAAACTTACACAATAAACTAAAAAAAGGAAAAAATAAAGTAGCTGTTTTATAAAAAATAAAATTAAGTCCTTGAGAAACTTAAGTTCTAGAGCACATTTTCTATCTCGCTTAGCTCGTTATCACCATAAACTTTCAAAAAGAGGGGAAAGAAGTTTTAAACTTGACTTTTAGTCAATGCACGTTAGCATTTCTTTTAGGACACCTGTTCTACTGCTCCTTAAAGAACATCTATTTCAGGCAAGGTGAATAGTTTCAAATGGAGTTTTTCACCTAAGTCAATAGAAATCGAAATTTTTATCAAGAACTGGGAATTTAATTCTGTGTAGGATTAAAGAAAAAGCACCTAAGATTTGTAGATTGCCTTTTCACATTAAAGAACAAAGAGGCTCCTTTCTTTTTAAATACAAAAGCATAAATATACTTTTAAACTTTATTTTCTACAAAATAAATATTTGGGACACCATTCCCATTTTTTGATTGACTACATATTGTGCTCTAAAATAATGTTTGTATAGGTTTCGGGGAGGGTGCAAAGCATGGTAGCGTCCATGAAGACCGTGATATCTGGGTGAGCTGCAGAGAAGAAGTCTGTGCAGTACCCGGTACTGTGCCTGCACACTCCCACCACAAGCGGTCCTTAGTGGTTCTTGTCCTGTCCCCAACTGACCTTCCTCTGAAGACCCAGTTTCATGGAGCAAGAGCAGAGGGCTCTGCACAGGCCCCCTTTTACCCCTGTCTGAGTCAGTATGGTCTGCAGTAACAGGATACCATATTGGGTGGCCTAATGACAGACACCGACTTCTCACAATTCTGGAAACTGGAAGTGTGAGATCAGGGTGTCAGGTGCTCAGCCCTGGCCAGGGCTCTTCCAGGCGGCCCACCTCTGTCTTCTCACTGTAAACCCACATAGGGGAAGGGGAGGAGTGCTTTCTAGAGCTTCCTTTATAAGGGCACTAATCGCAACCAAGAGGGACCAACAGGGGTCCATCCTGAAGACCTAATCACTTCCCAAAGCCATGGTTTGCAAACACTGTTGCCTCAGAGGTTACATTTTAACATAAGGATTGAGGAGAGAGACACAATCTTTTAGTCCATAAGGAGCTAGGAGGTGGCCTGGACTCCAGAGGGACTCGGACACTGGACCAAATTGAGGACTAGCTAAAACAGGGCTGGATAGAAGCAGCCTCCGTAAGACACACCCTGTGTGCCATGCCAGTTTACCATTGCCATGGCAACACTCAGATGTTACCACGCCTTTCCATGGCAACAACCGGACAACCTGGAAATTATCACGCTCATCCTAGAAGTGTCTGCAAACACTGCCCCTTAATTTGCATATAATTAAACACAGGTGTAAATAACACTGCAGCACTGCCTCTGAGTGGTGACTCTGGGCTCACTGCCTAAGGGGTGACCCGCTTCATGGGGAGCAGTACCTCTGCTGCTGCTGCTGCACACTGCAGCTTAAGTAAAAGCTGCTGTTGAACACCACTGGCTGGCCCTTGAATTCTTTCCTGGGTGAAGCCAAGAACCCTCCTGGGCCAAGCCCCAACATTGGGTTCACCTGCTCTGCATGGATAACCCTCCCTAACCAGCCTGCCGCTACGCCTTAACATGGTATTTTGAGATCCACATTGTGCTACGCTTTAAAGTCATACATAAGTCACTACAATAATAACTGCAGTAACCTGCGAATCAGGGTGGGTCTTCACCATCCCAGTCCAGGTATGAGAGGGAAGGCATCCTAGGGTGAAAATAGGAGGTTTGCAGCATCTCTTGATACTGAGCAACTGAAGTGGGGGGTGCGTTGAGTGGTGAGAATCCCCGACACGAGTGAGGAAAAGCAGCAGCCCTGAGCTCTGATGCCTGTGGGGTCTGCAGGGTGTTGTGCTCAAGCCTGTGGCATACACAGGCCTTCGGTCTGTGTGGACGACTGTGTGTATTCATGTCACATGGAAATCACCTCTGCATCCTCTCACATTGGAACACCTTCCGGAGTATTTCTGTTACTTAAAAACAGAAGTCACTCTCATGCCCAATTTCACTTGTCTGTTTTTCTTCCCCTGTCTTTGTTGCCAGACAACAGACTAGACTGATTTTATTTTTTATTTTCACTCTGGTTTTTATTTCTAAAGAACTCTTTGCCTCCTCTCAGCACAGACGAAGTCAAGTCATTACTAGAACAACAGGGATTTCAAGTTGCCAAGTTTTAGATGGGGAAGATGGGGGGAGAAAAAGACCTTGATTGCCAGTGTTTAGGGAAATCAGAAGTTTGACTCTGGCAAATTAAATGGAAGATGACTGTTAGCTGTTCAAGTGGAGATAACTCAGTGAGCATCTTTCCCCTAGAAAGGCAGATTACAAATAAATACAGAAGCCTCCAGCACTAGTGTACGCACTGGACAAACACCAAGGGAAAACAAAATCAAAGAAGGCATCTCAGAGGGGCTGACTCATGAGCAGAAGCTGAATGGCATGAGGGCGTGAGGAGTCAAGTGAACTACAGTGAGGAGGATTCCAGGAGGAAAGAAAATCCAGAGTGAGGTCCAGGGTTAAGAGACGGCTTTGTTTGTTTGAAGGCCAGTGGCGTTGCCTGCTTGGAAGGAGCCGCCACACAATGGCAGGGGAAGAAAAGCTTGAAAGAATATCGTGAGGTTACGAGGAAAACCTTAACCCATGTTCATGGTGAGACATGGGGTAGGGAAGTGGAGGAGAAAGTTGGAGCTGCATCTAGATTTCAGAAGAGATGGAAAGAATGAATGCACAGTGGGTTGGTGGCCAGCGCATATTTGGAAATCAAATTCTGACTCCAGACTGCTTCAGCAACCAGCCCGGAAGAGTCAGGACCTGTCCATCCACTGCCAGCTTCCCAGTTGTTTCCTCTGCTTATGGGTCAGCACAACTGAGATAAAGCTGAACCCCTCACCTAGGATGCCCTGCTTCTAAGCTGGCTGCCACCAGCATCCCCAGTTGTAGTCCTCGTTCACCACCTTGACACCTGGCAGCTGGACACAGTGAGGTTAACCCTCCTTGGACTTACTGTGTGTAAAAGGGGGCATAGAAAGAGTGGATTCCATACAGAATTTAGTGGTGACAAAGGAATTGTAAACTTATTTTGCTAAGAGAGGACATCTTCTAGGAGATCCTGTTGTGGAATGAAACACTGCCCAGAGAAACGATGAGGACTCAAGAGCCAGAGCGCCTGTCTGCAGGAGCGAGGGCACATCCGACCGTGAGGGAGTGCAGGCAGGAGGCAGAGGCGGGTCACTAGTCACCATCAGGACAGCTCAGACAGAAGAGACGTCAGCCAGTTAGTGCATGCTGTGGTGAGAATGCTCGGACGTTCAGTCTGCTTAGTATCATCAACCTCGTGAAAATTGCTATTGAGTGAGAAGAGACCTAAAGAGAGGGAGTACACAGCCACCAGCCATGGTGGCTCACATCCATGATCCCAGCACTTTGGGAGGCTGAGGCAGGAGGACCACTTGAGGCCAGGAGTTTGAGACTAGCCTGGTCAACTTACCAAGACCCCCATCTCTACAGAAAAATGTTAAAAAAATTAGTTAGGTGTGGTTTCACGTGCGTGTAGTCCCAGCCACTTGGGAGGCTGAGGCAGGAAGATCATTTGAGCCCAGGAGTTTGAGATCAGCCTGGGTAACATGGCAAAATCCCATCTGTACAAAAAATACAAAAAAAAAATAGCCGGGCATGGTGGTGTGCGCCTGTGGTCCCAGCTACTCAGGACCCTGAGGTGGGAGGATGGCTTGAGCCCAGGAGGTTGAGGCTGCAGTGAGCCATGATTGTGCCACTGCACTGCAGCTTGGGCGACAGAGCAAGACTCTGTCTCTAAATAAATAAAGAGAAGGATTAGAATAAGGATCTGAATTGTGTAGTTTCTGAATTCAGAAACCTCGTAGTTCTGAGAACTTTGGCCACCAATGGGTTGTGAGCTGGAAAGTTAATGTCGCTCTTTGGCTTGGGTGTTTCCTGAATCAAGTGAGTCCTTTAATTGTGCTAAGGTGAGTAAGGAGCTTAGGGTGGTGCCTGGATCACAGCCAGGCTCCCAGTAAGGGAGCCATCCACAAGAGGATACACAATGCAACTGATTCCACTCCTGAGGTCATACGTGAAGCATTACGATCAGAGGAGCAGAGACATGGATCTGATTCTCAGCCGTGTCCAGTACACACTGACGTGGCCGTCGGCCTCCTGTTTGCCTCAGGAGTCAAGCTGACGCGGCAGGAATCGCATTGCCCTGGGTGCCAACATGCTGTGAATGAGCGCAGTGAATTCCGCTTTGGTTTCCCCCACTTTGTACCAATGATGGTGCCTGGAGTAGTCTCAGTGGATTTTCTCTCATTAATATTTCTTGATCTACCCATTGCCTGTGTAGAGATGTAACAGGACAGGATATTTGCATGGAACTGATCCCTATTAATAAGGCACTTAGAATAGCACTGGGAATGTGTTCGTGTTTGATATGGTTTGGATCTGTGTCCCCACCCAAATCTCATGTTGAATTGTAATCCCCAATGTTGGGGGTGGGTCCTGGTGGGAGGTGATTGGGTCATGGGGATGGAGCCTTCATGAATGGTTTAGCACCATCCCTTTGGTGCTCACCTGTTCTGGCCATGTAACACGTACCTGCTTTCCCTTCGCCTTCCGCCATGATTGACTATTTCCTGAGGCCTCCCCAGAAGCCACTGTGTTTGCTGGACAGCCTGCAGAACTGTGAGCCAATTAAACCCCTTTTCTTTGTAAATTACCCAGTCTCAGGTATTTCTTTATAGCAGTGGGGAACGGGGTGGGGGGAACAGAATAATACGGTGTTTCAAGATCAATAGGTATCAGTTGTGTTGCTTGAATTTTAGACCACTCCCTCTCCTCCCAGGCTCCTACTTCCCTTTCTTGGAGCTGGCATAAGGAAAGGGTAGGGAAGCCCCAGGAAACGCGGATGGACCGAGTGGAGCAGCTTCTTAGGCTCCATTATCCTGGCGGCTCCCTTCTTGGCCTCAGGACTCACCAACACATCTGGCACACAGCAGACGTTTAGTAATATTTTCAAATGAGTGAATGCATCCACAGGGCAGACTCAGAGTCCTGTGAGAAAGCATGAAAGACGGGAAGCAATCACTGCTTTTCTAATGACATAGTCAGTTTCATTAGGAATTTCAAATATCAGCAAAGGAATAAAAGAATGCTAGGTGCAGTTTATTTTATGTGACATTTGTATCCTCATGTTCGAAGGCATTGCCTACATTTTTGGAGAATTTTCTACCAAATTTTCTTATGTACTTCTCAATTTACTTTTTGTTTCTATCATCCCCTAAAGGTCTTTGGGTAGAAATCACTTAGCAGTGGCCCCACAGGTGGTAACGTTCTAGTCTGTTTTGTTCTTATGCCTCCAAAGTAGTTTTTTTGCATGTTGTATATGATCAATACATGGCCATGTATTTCACATGTATTGAAATAAATCCTAGCACATTTCAAAGCAGTACCTGACATTCTACAAGCTTTCTGAGTGGAACTATGTAAGGCAGAAACATTCTGGACTGGAGAAGAAAATATTTTGTGGCAGGGAAACATACTAGAAAATTGACATTAGATCTCAATCCACTGTGAAAAACAAAATAGAGATATTGAAAGCAATTTCTAGTTACTATAGCAACAAGAATAGATTTTTTCCCACTCTTTGTAGATCATGCATATTAGATTTGAGTATCTATGCTATATTTCCATTTGTATATATTCAAATTAAAAAACATTCCCCAATTAAACTTTTCTCCTTTGCTGCTTCCATCATGTAGGAGAAAATAAAACTCATTTAAAATTAGAATTAAATGAGCCTTTAAATTATCAAAAACAGAAAAGCAAATGGGGAAATAGCTTTCAGATGTTTTATTTGCATTGGAAATCTCAGCCAATATTGTACTTCAATTGACCTGTGTTTCCATTCCTGCCACATACATCCTGGAGGCTATGAAAACGTGAGTGCCTCTCCAGCCCACAGCTCTCTCATACCAAATTCTAGTTGCTTAATTTCAGAGAAGGAGAAACCCATGAGCTCGGGCTTCCAGGTGATCTATGAGAGCAGGTTCCTGGTAAAAGACAAGGATTCAAGAAGGGAGCCCCTGAGTGTGTAGGCAATGAGATTTCAAGCAGAAGGAGCAGTTGAGGCTGAAAGGTCTGGGTTTTAATCTGATCTTTGGTGCTTACAGCTGTGTGCTTGTGAGTCTGTTTCCTCCACTGCAAAATTAGATCAATCACCATATTGAATTCAAAATGTTGTAAAGTAGATTAAATGAGATAATGTACATAAATCTCTCAGCACCGTGCATGCCATATGGCAAGCGCTCAATAAACATTGATTAATGTTTGTATTATTAAAATGTAGAAAAACCATGGGATTTCTTCAGACCAAATGAGTACCTTAATACTAAATCATAAATTCCCAAGTTAATACAATACATATATTTACATTGCTTATTTTATGGCAAGTCTGAGAAATATCATGGGCTAAATTTTGAAGATGAGAGAATGCTAGGCACTGGCAAATTAGAAAATTAAACCTCCCATTTCTCACTGAACCTTTTGGAAAGGCAAGAAAATGAATATCTAAGATGAATGTAATATGCTCTGTGACAGAATTGTAACTAGCTCAATGGGAGCACAGACTGGTGAGCTGCTAATGGAACTTGGAGAGTAGGCCTCACTGAACTTCCCATTTCACCTGCACATTAAAATACCAGTGCTGGAAAAAAGAAAAGAGAAAGGGCCTTATACTTCCCGATTTCTAGTGTCTATCCTATTTGGTCATAAATTACAAATTCATAGTTACCTTTTAGTTTTTCCAGCACAAAGTGAAAATTGGATTTGTCCCCTTAAGGAGGAGAAAAGACACCAACAAGGAAATAAGTAAAATTGACTACAAGGTAGACAATAATACACGATAAAGAGAGAAACTAGCAAAGAGCTCAAAGGCAGAAGGCAAGACTTCTGAATGGAGGCAAGATGTGGTATTTGAACCAAGGATTAAAGAATGCTTAGAGTCTCGAGTGGCTGAACGGTGTCAAGGAGGCAGGCAGGAAAGGAACAGATGGACAAAACTCAGACCAATTCATTGTCCTGAGCTGCTTTATCTCCTTATGTGGCAATGAGTTATTACCTATGAGCAGATGTGAGCAATATTACATTAAGAGTACACTAAGTACTCTAATAAAATGAACTTTAAAAAAATCTGCATAGTGCAAATGCTACACTATTCTTACCAATGTATACACCCACCTTTCAACTTGTTCCATAGCTGCACTTAATGTTTCAAGTTGATTAGATCAGAAGGAACAGCTCAAGATAAAGAGCTATTTAATTTTTCAAAGAATATGCTCTTTAACTTTTACCAGATATGGTTTGATACCTGTGTAAGTCTGTTCTCACACTGCTACTAAAGACACACAGGAGACTGGGTAATTTACTTAAAAAAAAAAAGGTTTAATGGACTCCCAGTTCCACATGGCTAGAAAGACCTCACAATCATGGCAGAAGACAAAGGAGAAGCAAAGGCACGTCTTACATGGTGGCAGGCAAGAGAGAACCTGCAGGGGAACTGCCCTTTATAAAGCCATCAGATCTCATGAGACTTATTCAGTATCAGGAGAATAGCCCAGGAAAAACCCGCACCCATGATTCAGTTACCTCCGGGTCCCTCCCAGGACAAGTGGGGATTTGGGTGGGGACACAATTCAAGATGGGATTTGGGTGGGGACACAGCCAACCATATAAATATCATTAGAAGTATTTAGGAGGAATTGGGTATTGTTATAGTATAAAAAGCTAGTGTGAGAAATCATTTAGTCACATGGTCTTGAAGCCCACATTTCATTATTATTTCAAGTTCTGATAATGTAACCAATATATGTAATCCACACACGTTGAAGTCTTTTCTTTATTGTATTTCAAGCCATGCACATTTTGAAGCCAAAGCAAGCTATGCAGAAAACAAGACTTGAAACAAAATATAGCAACTCTGTGTTAGAGGTTTATTGCCTCTGAAGTTTTTGTTTGGCTTTATGAAACATCTAACAACCATAACTTAAGTGTTTGAGATTTTTTTAATAAAAAGTTCAAAGAGTTTGTAGAACTTCCATTGGATCAGCATCAGAATTCAGATATTTCTACAGACACTTATTCTTACAGGAGCTGAATGAACGTCTGTGAATCACTTAAATTACACTGTGCCTTAGTGTCAAAATATATAAAAGCAGAGTTTAGAATGAGCTCTCATATTTTGGGAATATACATGTTTTGATATCTTTTAAAAAGCCTGGTCTCTAATTTGCAGGTCACCATAAATGACCAGTGTACTACATAGGCCAATCAGTCATTTATGATCAGCAGAAATTGTGTAGCTTCTCAACATGATTTAAAAGAATATCTTCCAAAAATCAGTCTCATAAGAATGTGAATTTTACCTAATAAGACACACATTATTCATGAATCTTCATCCTACATATATACCTGATATTTAAAAACATTCTAGATTAAGACAAAAGAGAGACAGGTAAGACTTTGATTTGAAGGGTTTCTTCTCTCAGGGCCCATATGGGATTCAGAGGCAATATGTGCTATTAATTATAGACAACTATAGTCCATTCTAAAACAGTCTGTACATTTCATCTAGTTGATCTTTAAGCTGAAACTAATTACAGAAATTTCTAACCCAAAAGGATTATTTTTTTGCAAAATATGAATAGAGTCAAACTATATTATAACAAAAACATCCTTATAATTAAAATGAATGAATAAGCAAATATATACTTGCGATGACATCATATGCATGCACTTCAAATTATTCATTTTTATTTGCAAAATGACATAGACATTTTCATATCCTGGGAGGTAATGTGGCCTCGGGGAAGTAGCTGGAATTAGTGTTATTTTCTTGTTCCTCCAATGCTGAAAGTGAACCAGACCAATGTGCATGAAGTAAGTGCTTTCTGCCTGGAATGTGACTGAGAAAATCTAATTTCAGAACCTGGAAACTTTTGGTCCTCATGGGATAAGGATGGGTTCGGATGACTCTCCCAGTCTCACTCTATGATGATTTTAGTGCCCTGTAGCACAGAAAGCACTTCCTGTCCATTTTATATAAAAAAGAATTGCCCAAAGCATTAGGTTGTAATTCTTTAGACTATGAACTCATTGAATTTTACTTTTTCATACTTATTTTTGTAGATTAGAGATGGCTGAATTTTTTTTTTTTTTTTTTTTTTTTTTTTGCTGCTTCTCTAAGAAGAAGGGTCTATTTTTTTTTTTCTTCCTTGAGCCAGGGCTGGTCTTCACAATTATTCTTGGCTAATTTATCATGGCCGACACAACAGTCAGGGCTGTCAAGGCAGGGCAAGGCGAAGTTGGCCCGCTTCCCTCCAGCCCAGTCTCCCCAGTCTCCATGGAGTCCAGCTTTTCTGAAGTCTTCACACTACGGGAAAGCCCAAAGTGACCACATGCAGACCCCAGGCACAGGCCATGTGAGACAAGAAACCGTGGGAGCCTTCCTGAGTCCGCAGATGCAGAAGGGAGAAGAGAAGACCCCCCCTCGGTGCGACTGAGCCACCTGACCTCCCCGATGGAGGCGGCGCGGCTGCTGCTGAGTTCTGCCTGCATGTCTAACCCACAAAACCATGACTACAATATACAGCTGTGGCTTCATGTGACTGCAGTCTGGGACTGTTTCTACCATAGATAGTCAGGACACTTATCTTCAGCCAGACCATTTCTCTACTATCCCACAAAAGGGAATATTTACACATCTGACTATAAAGTGCACTTATCTCTCTCTTTTTTTTTTTCTTGAGACAGAGTCTTGTCCTGTTGCCCACGCTAGAGTTCATTGGTGCAATCTCGGCTCACTACAACCTCCACCTCCCGGGTTCAAGCCATTCTCCTAGCTCAGCCTCCCCAGTAGCTGAAATTACAGATGTGCACCACCATGCCCAGCTAATTTTTTGTATTTTTAGTAGAGATGGGGTTTCAATGTGTTGGCCAGGCTGGTCTTGAACTCCCGAAGTGATTCACCTGCCTCAGCCTTCCAAAATGCTGGGATTACCGGCATGAACCACCTTGCCCAGGCCACTTATGTAGCTTTTAGCTGTGATTTCTTGTCTTGTACAAGACAATATACAAATTATTATCACCTTTGTTCTACTATAATCTAGACTTTATCATATAAAGTTGAGTTTTAAAGGCCCAAAAAAGTATTTGTAGAAAATTAATACTATTTATTATTCGTGAAAAGTCATGATTTCTTTTCAGATCAAATTATCTGTCAAAAACCTTATCAAATAGAAAACAACTCATAAATAAAATGTATTTCTCATCAAGTCATTTGAAGTGTATACCAGGCTGGGTATGGTGGCTCATGCTTGTGATCCCAGCACTGTGTGAGGCCAAGGCGGGAGTATCACTTGAGCTCAGAAGTTCGAGCCCAGCCTAGGCAACAAAGTGAGACCCCACCTCTACAAATAACAACAAAAAAAATAGTTGGGCATGGTGGTATGTGCCCATAGTCCCAGCTACTTGAGAGGCGGAGGTGGGAGAATCACTTGAGCGTGGGATGTGGAGGCTACAGTGATCAAGTCACTATACTCCAGCCTAGACAACAGAGCAAGACTGTCAATAAATAAATAAATAAAGTATGAATTCAATTTGCCTCTTAATTTCCTCCCTCCTTCCCTCCCTCTTTCCATTCTTTCTTTCTTTCTTTTCTTTCCTTCTTCCTTTCTTTTTCTTTCTTTCTTTCTTTCTTTCTTTCTTTCTTTTCTTTTCTTTTTCTCTCTTTCTCTCTCTCTTTCTCTTTCTTTCTTTTTCTCTCTCTTTCTTTCTCTTTCCTTTTTTTTCTGGGTGGTCTCATTCTGTCACCCAGACTGGAGTGCAGTGGTGTCATCATGGCTCACTCCAGCCTCAACCTCCCTGGGGCTCAGGTGATCTTCCCACCTCACCTCAGATCCTTGAGTAGCTGAGACTACAAGCACTCACCACCACACCCAGCTAATTTCTATAGTTTTTTGTAGAGACTGGATTTCACCATGTTGCCCAGGCTTGTCTTGAACTCAAATTCCTGGGCTCAAGTCATCTCTGTTAGTTTTCTTAATCATATTGATTTGTTTGTTGAGAACTTAACTTCCCTTGTCTTTTCCTGAATTCTTATTTGGCACTTTCATGTGGGTGAGGTTGACATAGTACTTTTCTCTCCCTGCTTGGTTAGCTTATATTAAAACAGAAACAGTGCTATGAGCAGAGGACCATAACAGAGCAGCTGTGACCAGCAGTTCTTTATTTTGTTTCTGGCAAACAGACGTGTTTCTTCAGGTGCAACCATTATGGGGTAGCTAGAGCATATTTTGTGAGGAAATAGAAGTTTAATTAATAAGAATTAAAACTCTGAATTACTTTATTAATTGAAAGTGCATCATTTGTTTACTTGACTTGGGAATTCCATTTTCATTTAATTCAGTATCTTAAATGCTGGAAGTTCGATGTGAGTGAACGCATCAACTATTGCATTAGCAGGTCAGTTTTACAACAAACTGAATGCTATCAATTTAAAGAAGCTTTAAATATTTTGGAATAAAATGTCAGTGAAGTTTCTAACAGAAAAACCAAACCTCAGTATTTAGATGTAGCAAGCTTGCCATCTACTGATCAGTAGGATTTGTTTAATGTAAAAGGAAATTTTGAATATGAATGTGGCTGCATCTGAAATAGTGATATTAATATTTTAAAGCAAAACGGCTTAACAAGTAGCTTCCTGGTATAAAGCCCTAGGCTGAGCCTTGGGGAAGATACAAGGAGGGTATGAAGCTGCAGTAGGCTTCAAAATAATTAGTTTGGTAGGGCATGTAAGATGCATGCACAAGTTTGTTAAGGAAACATACAAGGTGTCTTGTATACAAAAGGTGGGACAAACAGGCCTGGGACATGTTCTCCACCATCTTCGCGCCCCTCGGCAGCAGCCTGGCACGCCCGCAGCCTTTGCTCTCTGTCTCTCCTGACAAACCCACATGGCCTCCCCAAAGCCCACATTCTAGAAGCATTTGTCTTCAGGTGCTATTTCAGATAACTGTTTATTATTAGTATTTTGGAAGAAGTGCAAACAAGGTACTATGGTAGGATAGTTCTCATGTCAAAAAAGAGGTGCAAGCAAAACACTAAGGTTTGTCACAGCATAACAGCACTCGTTGGCTCCATGATCAACTCCAGGTGCATTGAGCTGTAAATCAAAAGCGGAGCCCATGGCGGGTCCCTGCTGCAGGTGGTCCCTGCAAATTGCTGATGTAAATGAAGTAACATGATCTAGATGTGACTCCTACCCCTGTAGTCTAAGCAGTAAAAGTTCAGATAAATGAAAATAGTATGGCTTCTATCAAACTCTAACGCATTCCATAATGAAAACAAATAGTGCATTGTTTATTCATTTAATAACTCTTCCCCATATATCATAATAAAGAGCATCATAACTAACTGCCAGACATCAGGACAGATATGACTGGCCCATTTTCTACGTGCAAAAATTGAATCTGTAAAAATTAAAGTGAATGATCAAGGTCACGAGAAGCCATAACCCTCCTTGTGTCTTCCAGTCAAGCCAACGCTTTTGCAGACAGCTTTTTGCATGGTTGCACGCAGCTCCATATGCCATAGACAACCATGGTGTACCACGTGTGTAATAATATGCTGTGTACAGTGCGATCTATTTAACAACTTTGAAAAACTACAGGGAAAATGTCTACGAAGTTCATCATAGGATAAGTGACTATTTGAAAATTAATTCAAAAAGTTTGTTTTCCCAAAGTAAAATCTAAAGTTCTTTCCTGTATGCAGAAACTATATAGGAATCCCAACCCCTTAGGGAAGTAGAAAGCATTTTATTTTACAATAAAGTTCTAAATTAGCAAGTGCCAGTTTAAGAAACAAAAAGGTGAGTTTTTTTTCCTTTGTGAGGAACTACATTTAATTTGCACGTCTAATTGATGATGATTCTATAACTATTTTACCTTTTTGCAAGATTATTTATAAGAAGAGAGCATATGATTGGAAAAAAAACATATTGGATCTAAGATGTAGAAAACTTTTCAAATACTATCTGTATAAAATGTCTATTATTGGTATCTTTCATTGGTTTTTTCCCCCATTTTTTCTTCTCTTGTCCATTTAACTGGTTTTATTTTGTTTTTATTTTATTTATTTCTTTTTTGAGGCAAAGTCTCTCTCTGTCACCCAGGCTGCAGTGCAGTGGCATGATCATGGCTCAGGGCAACCTCAACCTCCCAGGCTCAAGAGATCCTCCTTTTTCAGCTTCCAAGTAGCTGGAAGTACAGGCACATGCCACTATACTTGGCTAATTTTTTAAAAATTGTTTTGTAGAGATGAAATGCTACATATCAAGCTGTAACAAGCTGGTCCCGAACTCCTGAGCTCAAGTGACCCTCCTACCTCCCAAAGTGCCTGGATTACAGACGTATGCCACTGTGCTCAGTCCATTGAATTGTTTTTTTTTTTAAATATTGAACTGTTTTTTTAAACCTTTACTCTCAATTTAGGCTAAAAGAAGCCCTATAGAAAGCACTCAATCATTTCTGCAAAGGGGTTTGAGGGTATAAACACACAGTGGGAATAAAAAGTGTGTGTCTATGTGGGCGAAGCGTACTACTGATGCCTCGGTTGGGAGTGTAGCCACGTGATGTTTTATGTAGTCAGCCTTATTCTCAGATGAGGTACCAGGTTTCACTTTTTTAGGTATGTGTACCAGATTCTGGAGTCAGAATGCCTTGTTTAGAGGCTGCGATGGAAGAATCACCAGAGCCCTGGAGGTCAAGGCTGCAGTGAGCCAAGACTGCACCACTACACTCCAGTCTGGGTGACAGAGTGAGAACTTGTCTCAAAAAAGAAAACAAAAAAAAAAAAACCCTAGTTGTAACATAAACTAAATATGTGACCTTAAACAATGTATTCAAACTCTGTGTGCCTCAGTGCTCTCACCTGTGAAATGAGAATAACGCACCTGCCCCACATGGTTGGTGAAAGGGTTGGTTGTAAACACAGGGAGGTACCAAGAACATGTTCAAGACACAAATTAAGGGGCTTACTGTTACTGTGGTCATTATGATTATTACTATTTTGGTGGTTCATTTCCATTTTCTTCTCTTCTTTTGAGATTTTAATTTCATAGGATTAAAATAATTTGATTATCCTTATCATTAGTTTTGTAATGACCTGTTAAAATCTCAAACACGATGAAATATATTTCACATGATATGAGATACAGGAATCACTCAAGGAAGTAAAAAACCAAAAGAGATAGAAGTGATCAGGCTGAGGCTTCACCATGTGACCGGCAGGACTTTTTTCTAGTCTGCTCATGCTGCTATCACAGAATACCAGGCTACAGGGGATTTACAAACAGCAGATATTCATTTCTCACAGTTCTGGAATCTGGAAATCCAAGACCAAGTCACCCAGAGATAAATCTCCTGTGAGGACTGGCTTCCTGGTTCACAGATGGAGCCTTCCTTTTTCACAAGGGCCCCAATCCCCACTCATGAGGCCTCCACCCTGTTGACCTGATCACCTACCAAAGCTCCGCCTTCTAATACTATCACATTAGGGGTTTATAATTTCAACATATGAATCTGGGAGGAGGTGACACAGATATTCAGACCATAGCAGACACGTTTAGTGAATTCCCAAGAGGTGTCTACAAGAGAAAATGCAAAACTTGTATCACTTGGAAGCACCTTCCCAACATCAGCTTCTAAGCCATCAGCTTGTTTTCAGATTTTAAAAAAATGTGATAACTTTGAAACTAATGAGTTTGGACATTTGAGAACACTGGTTTGAAAAAGTGAGACACAAACCTGGCCCCGGCTCCACCAGCAGTGAGCTGCTATGGTCATTGGCAAGTCGATGAACTGCTCTGTGCTACAGCTTTCTTACATGAAATATTTAAGAATGAATTTGAAGGTGTGGATTTGTTGTTCCCAAATAAAGCCTACTAGTATTGATACATTTCATTTTAAAGAATTATTCATTATTCTAAAAAGAGTTTACAATTTGAAATGCTTCCATTTGCCTATAATGGTGAAGAAAATCATCAAAAATTTCATTTCTAAATTGTTGATTCTATGAATATTTTCTCTCCCCTGCTCTTTACTTCTGTGTATGTATGCAGGCAAATCCCACCAGCCAGCCAACATCCAATGAGAGACAACAGTGCCTTATTAATCCAGTGATGTGGACCTTTATTCTAAAGTCGGTAATGTTAGTTAGCTAGGCAGATGTGAGCAAGGCAGGAGGGCTCCCCAACCCCCACCAGAAATGCCAGGTGACCATCAGGCAATGGTCAGGTGGTTGTTAAATTGTCTCTCTAAAATCATAAGAGGTCACAGCTGATGCCAGGGAAAGGAAGTCTCCTAATAGATGGAAAGCACCTGAAACGTGATCAGCAGCTTCCCAGTAAGATCTCAGGACTAGGAAAGTGGGCTCAAGCATGCACCCTAAGAGGAAAAATGGGGGTGTTTCACTGGTATATGAGCTTGCTCTAGGAACACTGAAATGGTAAAGGAAAAGTGTGTCAAGTGAGTCTGTCCACAATTTCAGTGAACACACTGTTTATGCAGCCCTTCCTAAGTGCTGGCAGCCCACTGCACACGCAATAGCCCAGCCCCAGGGGAAGAATTAGGGGAGAAGAGAGGCAAGATTCTGGAAATATGCCAGTGTATAAGACCCCAAGTCAAGGGCTGAAGAAGGCACTTGGATCCCTCAAGTTACCTACTCGGAAGAAGGCCAAGTGTAATTCCTTCCATTCCTGCTCTGAAACTTTTTAATAAACTTTCTCTCCTGCTCTATAACTTGCCTTGATTTCTCACTCTGCTTTGTGGCCGTCAGTCAAATTCTTCTATCTGAGGAGGCAAGAAATGAGGTTGCTGCAAACCTGTGCAGATTCACTGCTGCTAACAGTAATTAATTTAC
Organism: Homo sapiens; assembly: GCF_000001405.40. Classification (NCBI taxonomy): domain Eukaryota; kingdom Metazoa; phylum Chordata; class Mammalia; order Primates; family Hominidae; genus Homo; species Homo sapiens. The sequence goes on along the minus strand of NC_000008.11, from coordinate 2,565,478 downwards.
TGAATGAATAAATATTAGAAGCTGTCCTCACTGGGAGCTCTCCCTCTCTCTCTCTCTCTCTCTCTCTCTCTCTCTCTCTCTCTCTCTCTCTCTCCCCCATCTATATATCTCTCCCATATATCTATATAGAGATAGATAGATCGATATAGATACAGTGGTCTCTCTCGCTCTCATATACACATAGTATGAGCACACACACACACACACATATATACAGTGTGTACTCAGTTTCATTTAACTCTTTTCCTTAGAAAAGAGTCTATGTCTTTAAGCACCCTGTGGTCTCCAAAGTTTCAAGCAAATGAAACATTAGCACAATAAAAGTGAATATATGTTCAGGGTAAATAATTGGCCTTATGGACTTTCTCACTGTGCAAACATCCACACACCTCAGGATGGAGCAACAGGAGGTGCTCCGAGCTTAGTCAGTGGGTCCAGGGTCCAGTCTTATATGATGATCTTCTGAAGGTCACCACTTCTTAGAATTTTGTTTTTCTCATAATATTTTATCTAATGCTAAACCTACCCTGAAACCTTATGCAAAATGCCTACAAGGCATAGATACCAGAGCTTCTTCATTGAAACATTAATCCACCTTCTCTCTGTTTCTCAATCTGTCTCTCTCCTGCCCTCTCTCTCTCTTGCTCTCTCTCTTCTCTTCCTAGCCATCCCCACTCTCTCTTTCAACTCAGTCAGTCAAAGCAAGTTGTTTATCAACATAAACAGCTTTTTCTTTCTTCACAAATGACAAGATACCATAAAGTGCTGACTACCAATCCTCAACCATCTCTCTACTGGGAAGTTGTGGTCTCACTTAATTTCCTCCAAGCACTTTGCATCCTCATGTCTTCATCAGATGGAGAAGGCTCCCTTCTAAGGAGACTGTTTTGGAGAATGATATCCAATGTAGCCTGAGTTTTGCTCCACCCGCATCAACTCAACATCTGAATATATTCTTATGCACCTCCTGCTCAGGGACATGCCAGGAAATTTTCTCATATCATTTACTTCTTTGAAGATACGAAGGTCCTGGGAAGCACTGTGCTCCTCCAGTGTGGTCAGCTTGGATGTCCCCTCCTGTGAGATGACTGCTAAGCTCTCCTACCAGCTTTCTGTGGGGGTGATGATGACAATGACTATGATGGTTTCTAATTGATTTGTCGGAATTCTGAATTGATGACCTAACTGGATTATATTTGCTGCTATTGTCCTGACTTTTTCACTTTTCTAAAGGTGTCTTTTGATGAAGAGAAGTAATTAATTTTAATGTTTTCCAGCCTTTTCCTTTAGCATAGTGGCTAGTAATTAAAACTGAAGGCATCTGCTGCCTGATGTTGAGAGTTCCAGGATAAGACTGCAGATTGACTGTGCCCCAGGGCAGTCATCCTCTGATTTCCATCCAACGTGCTGGCAGAGGAAGGCAGTGGACTGTCCAGCCAGAAGGTCCACCACGTCTGGCAGGGGAGGAGAGATCTGAGCATGGCAGAGGCTGGACTAACTGGAACTGAGCCGTAAGCCAGAGGCAAAAGCACATTGGTCAAGGCTCACAGTCAGCACACGACAGAAAAACATCCTCAACATGCAGAGACACAGATGTGAATCCCCGCTCTTCAGTGCATTGTTACTGTGAACTGGGTACTTAATACACTTGCCTGAGCCTCTATTTTATTGTATTAACAAAATCCAGATTAAAACAATAAGATGGATGATTTTAAGTTATGACATTTCCTAGCACTTGATCAATAGTTTCATCACTCACTGGGCAGATGGGTGGAAATGTGCAGAAACTGAATGAATGATGAAAAAAATAGCAGAAGTGAACAATATAAAGCAACATAATGGAAATTGAAATACAGTTGACATATTATTGAATTATTTCTTCAGTTTAAAAATCACTCTCTTGAGCTCTCAAACTATGACAATAACATATTTATAGTTTAAAAGATGTGCTGATATATTTCATGAAGATAAATCCTGCTGGCAGTTTTGTGGAGAGAGTGAGAGGTTCACCCCATTTTACCCTGGGAAAGCTGGGGCACACAGAGCTGTAGGGGAGCCTCAGTTTGTAGGGTCAGGGTCCGGCTTTGTTGGCTTGAAATTATACGCTGCTTCTAATATATATATTTTAAATGAACAGTTAAAAACCTTCCACTGTTAGACGTATTTTATTTCAGATATCAAGACTGATTTACATGATGGACAAATTGTGAAAATCCCATTGAAGGATGAACAGATAAAGACAATGTATGTACCTATCTACAATGAAATATTATTCATAAAGGAAGTCTCATTTTCAGCAACCTGGAGAACACCATGCTAAGTGAAATAAGCCAGGCACAGAAAGACCAGGCCTGCATGAGCTCGTCCTGATGTGAAACCTAAGGGAGTCCAACTCTCAAGTACCGAGACTAGACTGCGGTTAGCAGGAGCTCGGGGAGAGGAATGCGAGGAGATGGTGCTGAAGCAGCACAGACCCTGAGCTATGCAAAGTGAGTGAGTTCTAGAGACCGCTGCACAAGGGTGCCTGTCGTAAGATGGGGAGTGCGCGCTCAACCATGGCTTAAGAGGGTCGATTTCATGTCACGTGCTTCTTACAACAGTTTCTAAAAGGATGAATTCATTCTTCTAGAATCACAATTCTAAATAAAAATAACTCCAGAAAAAAATCGTGTTTCCATTATTTTCTTTTCCAGCAGGGGTTGAGACAGGGTAGAGAGTACGGCTGCAGACAGAGAGGTGCACAGCCCCGTTCATTCAGTCCAGGGAACACACATCCAAGGCCCCTGAGTCCGGCGATTCTTGCAGGCCCAGCCTCCTTTCCTGGATGTCGCTTACTGAGGGTCCTCGCTCTCAGGCACGTGGCTAGCTGACGAGTCCTGGAAACGAACCCATTCCGATATCCATCACCTCCCACGGTGTGGTGCAGAACAAACTCCGAAGTGCTGAGCGGGTCACACAAACTCACCTGAACCGGCCACGGCGACCTTCTCCTGAGTTCTTGCCCTCCTACGGAATTCAGTGTTCACCGCTGGCTCCCTGACTTTTCCAACCTTCCTGGTTTTGCTCAAGCTCCTTCCTGTCATAACTCTCTCCTCCTACCTGTGCCAGCACGACCCTGACCCTCTCGCACATCGCCATGGTTTCCTGCACCGCAACGGAGCAAGGCCCCTCAATCCGAGGACGACGCACAGGGTAGGGGTGCCGCTCCCTGGAGGCAGGCGCGGGGCTGGGTCGTGGGTCCCGGTCCCTGGAGGCAGGTGAGGGGCTGGGTCGTGCGTCCCTGGAGGCAGGTGCGAGGCTGGGTCGTGGGTTCCCGTTCCTGGAGGCAGGCGCGGGGCTGGGCTGTAGGTCAGGAGGTGGAGGAGGAGCCGTCGCAGGCGAGAAGGGCAGGGAAGTTGTGTCCTGGACATAGGGCGGGTCTCATCGCTTCTTCCTCTGGCCCCTTCTGTCCGTGTCCTGAATTCTTTTTCTGGCCGTGGACAGAGCGATGAGGTCGGGGCGGCTGTGACCGTCAGGGGAGAGGAGCAGGCTGGGCGCAGCCGGCGCTGGCCTATTCCCTGCTTCCAGGCAGTGACCTGGGGACGCATCCAGAGCTTGGAATTGCGCCAAGGCTCAAGCCCCGCCTCCGCCGTGCGCTGCTCAGGGACCCAGGGCCTGGCGACTTTGGACCTGATGACCCTCAACCAGGCCAGCTTGGGAGCCAGGAGCAGGGACTTCTGCTGAAGGCGGACTTCCCGGCTCAGCAGTTTCTCCTCGGGGTCTGAGCATCAGGTCTTCCTGTCTCCTGCGCCCTTTTAAGGAATTTGTCCCATTGAAACGGGTCTTAGTTTTCAGGATATCCTGTCTGTCTGAGTAGAAGCTAAGTTCTTTGATGGTAGCAGAATGTCTATATTTTTGTCTCGAAATAACTTGCATAGTGACTTGCCTGTAGCAGTCTGAGGAGGGATAAGCTTTGCTCTATGCTCCGGTGGGTGGTAGGATCCCCGGGTTCACAGGGAGGGTGCAGAGGCTCAGGGGTGTGCAGAGGCTCAGGTGGATGCAAAGGCTCACGTGGGTGCAGGGGCTCAGGAGGGTGTAGAGGCTCAGATGGGTGAAGAAGGTCGGGGGGTGCAGAGGCTCGGGGGGTACAGGGGCTCAGTTGGGTGCCAAGGCACAGGAGGGTGTAGAGGCTCAGGTGGATGCAGGGACTCAGATGCGTGCAGAGGCTCAGGTAGGTGCAGAGGCTCAGGTGGGTGCAGAGGCTCAGGTAGGTGCAGAGGCTCAGTTGGGTGCAGAGGCTCAGTTGGGTGCAGAGGCTCAGGAGGGTGCAGAGGCTCATTTGGATGCAGGGGCTCAGGTGGATGCAGGAGCTTAGGTGGGTGCTGAGACTTAGATGGGTGCAGAGGCTCAGGTGGGTGCAGGGACTCAGAAGGATGCAGAGGTTCAGCGGGGTGAGTCACAGGTCCTCCTGACACAAGCAGTGCTAGGGCAGGTTTTGAACTGAAATCCGTCTGACTCAAAAGAACATACCCTTGATTGCTATGTTGTACTTTCTATTTTACAGGTAAAAACTCATTATTTTGTTTTTTTATGAATAAATAAAATCTAAAGATTCTATTTTCATTTAAAATTAATGGTGATAGGAACCTCATGTAGGTGCAAACTTTTAAAAATTATCCTGTCATTATGGTCTGAGAAGTTCCCAAATGCTCATGAGTATGCGTCTTAGAGTATCACACAGTTCAGTCCACATGAATACATGGAGATATAGTTAACCTTGATGTCTGAAATTTCAGAAGTCTGAAATATTTAAGCCAAGTATAATGAACAATGTGGTTTAAAAAAACCTATCCTTTCTATTTAAAACATCTTCTATGCAATACCCAGTGACAAATAATTCACACTGAGAGAAGCTCCACTTTGAATTATGCCAACCAGCTGGAATAAATAAGGAAAAAGTTGACATATCTGACTGTAAATCCAAGCAATAGCATGTGTTTTTCTTATATATAGTAAAAATATGTGAAAGAAAACAGCAGGTCTTTTCCATACTAGTCAGTTACTCACATAAAATATTAGTTGTTCAACTCCTTCGGAGAAATTATTGAGCAAATACAAAGTTTTCAGTCCATGAGAGACTGAAAGTACTTTGGAAAATTGAAGCTAATTATTGAAACCATATTAGCAATTGCAAATGAGATTTGGCTGTGTGTGTATGTGTGTGTGTGTTTTAAAGTAAAGTAGTATTGTCTTATTAGAATTACAAGTAGTTTTTATATAATGTCTTTGTATTAACATTTCAAAAGTAGAGTTAATAGTATATTCCATTTCATATACCCATTGTCCAGTTTGAACAATGATCAATTGCTATGTGCTTGGCATATGCTATGGGAACTTTATGCTCAATTCATGGCCATTTCTGTTTTGTCTAAAACCTGACCATTTTTGCCTCCCCCCAGGGATTTTTTTTGAAGAAAATTTCAAACATTATGTATAATGTTTTCCATATGAAAAAAATTCCATTATATCATTTATATCATTCCCATGATATAAATGAGGAGACAGGGCATGCAGAGGACAGAGCATGCCCCTGGTCCTACAGCTGGTAAGTAGCAGAGGGAAGATTTAAACCTAGCCCTTCATGGTCATGTCCACTTTTTGTGTTAATTATTACAGCTGAATAATGGAACTTGATGCCTGGTGAGCGGACTTTGCTACACGTAGTCTTCGTTTAGAAAGTTGTTTGGGCTACACTGGCTCTTTGGATCTCTATGTGTATGATAGAATTATCTTTTCAAAGTCCAAAAACTCCCTCACTGGAAATTAAACTTGAATTGATTTTGTAAATTAAGTTTGTCAGAATTTCTTATCAGTTTTGAGTCTTCTCATTTATTAACATTTGTTTGTATTTCCTAAGAATATGTTTTTAGAATTTTTACCACAAAGTTCTTAGCACAGGCTGATTTATTTCTAAGTATTTATTATTATGTTTCTAATATTGGTGATATATTTATTTCTGTTGCATTTTTATTTGGTTACTGTTGGTATGGAATGCTATGTCTTCATTTATGGTACTCTGTCCAGCAATCAAAGACCAAACATGTCCAGGACAAAGACCAAATGGCTACCATCAAAGTAAACTTTTCCAGAAAGAAATTTTCTTTGTCTTCCCAAATACTGTCAACATCTCTCTCAGGAGTAAGGTGTCCTTACTGCACTAGATGTGTCCCCACTGTACTCTCCTGGTGGAGGTTTGATGTATGGGGATGGGTGCACACTCCTGCCCGCTCCATCCTTTTTTCAGTTCCAACTCTTAATTCCTTATTTTTAATTCCGATTCCTAATTCCAATGTTTAATTTCAAATCTCCTAGACTCTTGGTGTACATCAATGCCATGTTGCCTTCATAAAGAACTACTCTCTATGTTATCCTTTTACTGCATTTCCATTTAATTTGTAGGATCCTTTAAAGTCTCTGTATCCTAGTACATTATTTTGTTTAGTAGGATCCTTTGAGATTCTTTCTCTATATTGTTGTTATATGTGAACCCTGGCACTATTTTTCCAGCTTTTAGAAGGAGTCCTCATTTTCCAGAACTGTGAGCAGGAAAGACAGTCTCCTGGATTCACTTTTTCCTAATAAAACTGATGTGTTTTTTTTTCTTAGTGAAAAGTCACATAAGATGGATATATGCTATGCAAAAAATAACAATCATATAGACTGACAGAGTAATTGATTCCTTATGCCAGTAGAAGAACAATACCTGGAGGTCCTGAAAGGTAGATTTTCTTGTATTTTCTCTGTATACAGTCACATCTTTTGTACATAGTGGTGCCATTGCCTATTCTTTGTCCAACTTCAAGACTTTTTCTCCGTTAATAAAAACCTCTCATACCATGCTGAGCAGATAGATGAGTGATGGTGACTTCCCTGGTTTCTTCTTAAATGTAATGTTTTTGTTGATTTTCTTTATCATCTTGAAAAAGTTTCCTGGTATTCATAGGCTAGAAATATTTTTTACTATCATAAATGACTCCTGATTGCTATTGAATGCTCCTTTGCTTTTAGATGAATGATCAGATGGCTATTACCATTTAATAAATTATGTGGTGATTTGAGTTGACAGATGCACGGATGTTGAATAATCCTTGCACTCATGATATAAACCCTACTTGTACATGGTGCATTTTTAAGGCACTATTGAATTCATGTCTCTTGCATTGATCATCTAAGAATACATCCATGAAAGACTTTGCCTTTAATCACCTGCACTTGTTCTTTGCTTGCCCAATTTTGGTATCAAGATTATAATTCCCTCAAACAATGACTCCAGAAGTTTTCTCTTTTTTATTTTGTATAACTCCTTGAAATGTGGAAAAGTAGGATATTTAAAAATCCAACAAAATGAAACAATGTTGAAAAGACTCCCTCTCTCTCCCATTTTGGGGAAGGGTCGTGCCAGGCTAAAGCAGCACCTCTCCACCCCACGAACACTGCCCTCTGGTCACCGTATCAGCATGAGTCTAGGACAGAGATACAAGGGTCTTGCAGGTATAACCAAGGTCCTAAGTCACTTGGCTGTAGGATATGGGATTGGACAAGGGTCCTGAGCCAGTCAGGTCTCAGCTGAACCTTTGGAGCATTGTCTGCCACAGATGGGAGAAGAGGAAGTAGCCAGAGCTGAAGCATTTGGGGGATGCAACACTCCCTTGCTGGCTTGAAGAAGGAGGGGCTGCATGAGACTTTGAGCAGCTGGGGGGCCCAGAACGTCCTCGATGATGTCAGCATGGAAAAGAGACCATCAGCCCTACCACCTGAGTGCGGGTTCAGCCCACTCCAGACTGAGTTCAGCTGGGTTATTCACCAGATCCCCGACCAGAGCCCGGCCCAGCTGATGTCCGGGTGTGAGCCTCTGGATTCTCTTAACATAGAACCAGCCAAGCCCCCGGACTTCTGGCCCAGAGATTCATGAGCTAATAAGCAGGTGTCGTTTTTAGCTGCTAATTCTATGCCTTCTTTTTCGTGGTAATGTAAACTGTAGGTGGTGGTTGGGGACGAAGGCAGGCAGGATGCAAGAGCCCTGGGTGACTCGAAACAGCCTGAGGTCCCCCAGGAGGCAGGGAGGCCGTGGAGGTGTCCAGTGCAAAGGCATCTTCCCCGTATCTCAGCTGCCATCAAAGCCTCTCCCCGCTGCCTTAGCACCCCACCTCCAATTAGTCTTCACAGAATTCCCTTTGATCTCACTGAGTCTTTTGCTACAGGACCTAAGTCTGACATCAGGGTTGTTCTCCTGTGATCCCATCAAAGTTTTAGTTCCTCCTCAGCTCTGAATTATTTTCTTTGGACTTCTATACTTGCTTAGTGTGTTGACACTGCAGTATTTGGTCATTTTTGCTTTTTCTTTCTTTCTTTTTTATTTTATCATGATAAGAACACTTAGCATGAGATCCACCCTGTTTACAGATGTTTAACTACCCAATACAGTGGTATTGACTATGGGCCAATGCTGAACAGCAGGTCTTTAGAACTTGCTTGATGAAAACTTTGTAATTTGTAACTCGCCCCTTTCTGCTCCCTCCAGAAACCACCTTCTACTCTGATCCTTTGAGTTTCACTCCTTTAGATCCCTTCATATAAGTGGAATAATGCAGCCTTTGTCTGTGACTGGCTTATTTCACTTAATACGATAACCTCAAGGTTCAACCATGTTGTCTCAAGCTGTAGACTTTTCTTGTTTCTTAAGGCTGAAAAGCATTCCATTGTATGTGTATGCCACATTTTTAAAAATCTATTCATCCGTACGTGATATTTAGACTGTTTTCATGTCTTGGCTATGCTATTGTGGATAACACTGCTAAACACATGGGGGGTGCTGATGTCTTCTTAAGATCCTGATTTCCATTTTGTTAGACAAATACTCAGAATTGGGATTGCTGGATCTTATGTTAGTTCTGTTTTTATTTTTTAGAGGAATGTCCATAGTGTTTTTCATACTAGCTGTACCATTTTGCAATCCCAGGTGAAGATAACAGAATCACGGGGATGGTTTCCCCCACACTGTCCTTGTGGTAGTGAAGAAGTCTCATGAGAGCTGATGGTTTCATAACGGGGAGTTCCCCTGCACACACTCCCTTGCCTGCTGCCATGTAAGATGGGACGCTGCTCCTCATTCACCTTCTGCCATGACTGTGAGGCCTCCCACGCCATGTGGAACTGTGAGTCAATTAAACCTCTTTCCTTTATCAATTACCCAGTCTCGGGTATGTCTTTATTAGCAGTGTGAGTACAGACTACTACGTATGTGAGAAATGTCTATTGAAACCTTTGGCCCATTTTTAATTGGGTTATTAGTGTTTGTGCTATTGAGTTGCAGGAGCTCCATATATATTTTGGAAATTAATGCCTTATCTTACTTATGGTTTACAAATGTCTTCTCCCATTCCATACGTTCTTTAGGTTGCCTTTTCACTCTCTTGTTGTTTCCTGTGCTGTGCAGAAGCTGTTCAGTTTGATCTAGACCTATTGTTTAGTTTTGCTTTTGTTGCTTGTGCTTTTATTATCTATCGTATCTAAGAAATCATTAACATGACCAATGTCATGAAGCTTTTTCTTAATGTTTTCTTTTAGTAGTTTTACTGCTTCAGGTATCACACCTAAGTGTTTAAATGATTTTGGGTTGATTTTTGTGTATGGTGCAAAATTGGAGCCCAATTTTATTCTCCTGCAGGTGAATATACAGTTGTTTCCCCAGCACTGTTTTCTGAAGTGATGTCCTTTCTCCACTGGGTATTCTTGGCCTCCTTGAGGAAGGGCAGTTGATCATGCATGTGTGGGTTTACTTCTTGGCTCTCTATTCTGCGAGGAACATGAGAATTGCCGTAAGGATGACGGTGGAGTCTCTATTTAAGAATTTCACAAATCTCAATAACCAATTTTATTTTTTAACAAAAATATATTGAACTATTTGTATGGGGAGGCATTTGCATATTGATAACTAAAAGTAGATGAGATAGTTCTGGCTTCAAGGAGTTCTAAACCATAAAATAGAGGACAATGTTGGATCTAATCTTCTCCTTATCATAGTTAATCCCAAAGAGAAACATGGCAACAGGTTATGCACAAAAAAAAGCCAAGGTCACCATCATCTCGAGGGTGAACATCAGCAAAGATCAAGCCTGAATATTGGAACACCTCTCCTTGTTTAAGTTTATACACAAATATTCCATTCTGGAAAAAAAATACCAGAGTAAAAATAATCAGTTTATTTATTTATTTATTTCCCCAGGGAAAACAAAATCAGATTGAATTAGGACTCTGAAACACAACATAAAGCCACAGAAAGGTTTATGGAAACTAGGAACTAAAAATACAGCATTTTTCTTCATATCAAGCCCTTTAGATTGATATTTTGAAAGCCCAAGAATGTATAAATAGATAATAATAAGATTTAACATTTATGCAGCATTTGCTATTTGCCAAATTTTCTCTTGTTTTACATATGTCAACATATTTAAATATCACAGCACCATTTTGAGTTGATACCTACTATTATGCACATTTTATAGAAGAGGAAACTAAGACCCAGTAGATTAATGACTCTTCTCAAGACCCCAAAGCTGGCAGGTGGCAGAGTCAGAGATACCCCTAGAAAGCTGGCCTCCAAACAGTGCACTCTGCTTTATGTTAGCACTCATGCAGCACTACTATTTTCTCCAGGAATTTCAGCAGACAGAAAATAAAAAGGTAATTGCATTGCCAGATACATTCATTCAGCATTAACCAGGCATCTCCTGTGTGCCATACATTCTCCTGGAGTCACATTACAGAACAAATGAATCCTATATGGTCTTTGCCTTGATCAGATTCACACAAAGTTATTAAGGAAACAGCACAAATCTTTATCTTTCTGAAATGCAATGCATTCCTTTAGTTCACTAGCTCTGGGCATCTAAACAGTGTAAGAAATGCTCCACACGGATAGAATCCTGTAAGGTTTAAAATGCAAAATTATATTGGAAGAAAAAATGGAAAATTATTTACACAAAGTAAAATCTAACTTGGCAGTCAGCGCTATTTACTTAGAAAGAGGAAATTAATATGCATGACCATCAGATGTGTCTACAGTTCAGACACTTTGCAACCATAACTGCATGTAACAAAGGTTCAGATTGGAACAGGAGCCTGCAAAACATTCCCCAAATAAAAAATTGTAAGACAGACTGACAACTCAAAGGATTATACTTCAAGTGAGGCAAAAGAGTAGGAAAGTGTATTCGTCCATTCCTTCACTGCTATTAAGAAATACCCGAAACTGGGTAATTTATAAAGGGAAGAGATTTAATTGACCCACAGTTCCGCATGGCTGGGGAGGCCTCAGGAAACTCACAATCATGGCGGAAGACAAAGGAGAAGCAGGCATCTTCTTCACAGGCTGGCGGGGTGGATGAGCACAAGCAGGGGAGATGCCAGAGGCTTCTAAAACCATCAGATCTCGTAAGACTCAGTCACTATCACGAGAACAGCACGGGGGGAACCACCCCCATGATCCAATCACTTCCACTCGGTCCTGCCCTTGACATGTGGGGATTATGGGGTGATGGGCATTACAATTCCAGATGAGATTTTGTGTAGGGACACAAAGCCTAACCATATGGGAAAGGTAGTTTTTACTGAGTGGATGAAAATAGATCACCCGATGCAAGGAAGAAGAAGGAGAGTTTCATCTAATAGCATAATGATTGGATGGCTTTGATACCCAGCAAATTCTCAGTAGCTCAGGAATGCAAGGCTGTGGGCAGCAGGACAAGGGCCTAGTTATCACTGGAGCTATTGGTGAGATCACTTGCTTCTCAGGGACGTGGATGGAGGCGGAGGCCATTATCCTTAGCAAACTAGTGCAGGAACAGAAAACCAAATACCAAACGTTCTCACTTCTAAGTGGGAGCTAAATAATTAGAACACATGGACACATAGAGGGGAACAACACACACTGGGGCATTTTGGAGGGTGGAGAGTGGGAGAAGGGAAGGGATCAGGAAAAATATTAAATAACTAATGGGTACTAGGGTTAATAGCAGGGTGATGAAATAATCTCTACCACAGACCCCCATGACACAAGTTTACCTATGTAACGAACCTGCTTTTACCCCTGAACTTAAAACAAAAGTTAAAAAAAATTAAAAATAAAAGGTATTGTAAATCAGTATTTTTCAAATGGTGCACCATAACCCATCAATGGGTTTCGAAAACATTATAGAGGTTCACAACCATCATTTGTTTTTGCGACAGAATAGAATAGATCAACATACAGAGTACTTTAAATAACAAAGGTTGTGATGGTTTGGTAAGATTTTTCAATTATATAAGCCCTTTTGTGTTTATGTATATGTTTATATGATTATATGTTTATAATTACATATTTATATGTATGTATATATTTACTTGACATCACAATGAAAATCTTATTTTATGCTAAGGGTCAAGTTTAACTAAAGTATAAAACAGTACTTTAGACCTTTTTTTTTTTTTTTTTTTTTGAGATGGAGCATCGCTCTGTCACCCAGACTGGAGCACAGTGGTGTGATCTCAGCTCACTGCGACCTCTGCTTCTCGGGTTCAAGTGATTCTCATGTTTCAGCCTCCCAAGTAGCTGGGATTACAGGTGTGTGCCACCGTGCCTGGCTAATTTTTGTATTTTTAGTAAAGACAGGGTTTCACTAAGTTAGCCAGGCTGGTTTTGAACTCCTGACCTCAAGTGATCCATCCACCTCAGTCTCCCAAAGTGCCGGGATTACAGGCATGAGCCACTGTGCCTGGCCTGCTTTAGAGGTTTGTTTGTTTATTTATTTATTTATTTATTTATTTTGCATATTCTGAAGATACAGAATATGGCAAGCACATTTTAGGTACTCAAGTAAAATTCAGCACATTTCAGAAAGAATACTATGTAAATGATTATCTAGGGACTGGATTACTGCTCTACAATAAAGTAAACACACCACCAATACACAATGACAAAGGTCATACCAAAATCTTATGCTGAATAATACAAGTTAGGCATGAAGTAAAACATGCTCAATGATACTATCTATATAGAAATCCTAGAAAAGACAAAAAGCTCAAATACAGTACCAGAAAGCTGATCAGTATTTGCGCAGGAGCTGGGAGAAGGGGCATGAGAACATTTTGAAATTATGGAAATGTTTTATTTCTTGATTGACATGTGGTTATATGGATATGAATATTCATTAGAATGTCCCCTCACTCTACACTTAGTATAGGTACATTTAATTATAAAATATAATTCTATGAAGCTAATCAAATGGCTGTTAAAGAAAGTTTTGGTACTGAAATAAACCTATTAACAAATTGGAAGTTCCTTTTTCTTCCTTTCTTTGTTTTAATGCAACTCCTTAACTATGCCAAAAAATGGAAACCCTCCTGAATATGGTAAAATGTTTAATGGTCGTTTGAAAGCATTCAAGGTAACCACAGCCGACACCCTATTTTGGTTGAAAGTTGCCCTTATGAGGCTCATGCTATTTCTCTCACTATGAAGAATTTCTGTTTACAGAATCATTCCAAGCTTCCTGTGCCTCATCCTGCAGGCCACCTACTCATTAAGGCTGAGCCTGGGTGCATCCATCCAGGCTCAAGATCACTCCGGATGGCCCCCCTACCCACCATCACTACTGCTTGTTCAACACAGAGAAAATATTTTGGAATCTCAGCTGCATATTAGTGTTTGTCTCATTACCACAGCCATGCCCGCTCTGTTTGCATTTGGTGATATGGTTGTGGCTCATTTAATATATTGACTTCTCCTTTACCTCTGCTAGCCCTGGAAGAAGTCACTGATTCTCATTGATTTAACTAACTAATCTCATGAATAAACTTCTGTCGACAGCCCCAGTAGCCACATTAAGTCTTCATGCCCTTCCCGAGCACTGGTGTTGCCTGCCAGGGTGCCCCTTCCTGTCCGTTTCTGCACACGCCCAGACTCATTCAGCCAGAGCCACTCCTCTTCTCTCCACCTCCCTCCCCAAGTGGTGTGGTTGTTCCATGAATGCTGCTGACTTGCGCATGGAATACGTGACAGCTCTCTCTCCTCTTCATGCCTTTCCATTTCCCTCCCAATCCTGACTTTTCCTTTGATCAACTCAAGTGTGGAAACACTTTCTACTCTACATTTTCCTTTCAATAACTGTTTTTAAACCTTGAAAATTTCCTTTTATTCTTCTGTTTTCCACGTGCCAAGAAATAACACAAAGAATGCAAACAAACAATGGGAAAACAGAAACCATTCAGTTGTCAGGAACACACATCCTATTTTATGGAATGAAATGTTGACCCCAATTCCAGAAAAAAAAAAAAGAAAGAAAGAAATCCAGTAATCCAGTAGATATTCTTAGTTGGATGGTACTGAGGGCTTATATGTGTGTATTTATAGAGAATCTTCTTGAAATAGCTATATGATGTGATTAAATTTAACGAAGCCTCGTGTAAATAAAAAATGTTAATTTTCATTATAGTAGAACCAAATAAATAGAATTTTATTAAATTCCTCATAGATTATAATGGGGCACAAAGGGGTTGTGCCCGAAACTTACTGTGCTCCTTGAAAAGTTTGGAGAGACAGTGTTAAAATGAATGGCCCTAAAATAGTTAAGAAATCTCAGTCTTGGTGTTTTTATTTATTTATTATTTTATTATTTTTTATTTCTTTCTTTATTATTTTTTTCTTTGAAACAGTGTCTTGCTCTTTCTCCCATGCTGGAGTGCAGTGGCGCATGATCTTGGCTCACTGCAAGTTCTACCTCCTGGGTTCAAGCGGTTCCCTGCCTCAGCCTCCCAAGTAGTTGGGATTACAGGCGCCCACCACCATGCCCAGCTAATTTTTGTATTTTCAGTAGAGACGGGGTTTCACCATATTTTCCAGGCTTGTCTTGAACTCTAGACCTCGTGATCCACCCACCTCAGCCTCCCAAAATGCTGGGATCACAGGCATGAGCCACCGTGCCCGCCCAATTTCAGCCTTATTTCTGACTTCTGGCCCTGGCACTGTGTTTCATATTGAGAAATCTTGATACTGGTTTCTGACAGAGGGTAGGATATACGTCCCATAAGGGTGTTTAAGACAGAGGGGTGCAAATGGCTCTTCTGTGGAGTCTGTTTAGTTTCTTTAGCAAACACATGTAGCCTAAATAGCCCACCTCATCCTTCCATCTGTCAGGCTCTGCTGTTAACTGTGGAGCGGCAAAAATCAGCTTAATGTGCTTCTCAAGACAAACCTAAGAGGCAAGCACCATCATTGCTCCTGTTTTACAGAGGAAGCAACTGAGGCACGACCAGGCTGAGCAGCTTGGCGAAGAGTCCGCAGCTGGTGAGTGGCTGCACAAAGGCCCAGATTCTCCATGTGAAGTGAACCTCTCAGTGTCTGTCCCCCAGAAGCCCCCGTGGCAGACAGCTTCGAATGAACCAGTCCCTTCCCAAACCGCCACCTTGAAACACAGGATGAGGTCTGAGATGTCTGTCTTTCTGATTGCAAGGCAGAAAGTAGTTCAGTGGTATACTTTTTGAAGCTTCCCTTGCACTCTGCCTTGGGACTCACTGACCTGTCCATGGTGCATTCCCTGGCTGTCCTTTTAGCTGGAGGCGCCTCCGTTGAGCCATGGAGACAGGATGCCCTCGCACCCACGTGGGCCGGGCTGGCAACCCAGCCTGCACCAGCACCTGCTCTGCCTGCGATGTCTATTTTCAAATAGCACAGGAACCACTTGGACTAGCGGTGTTATTTTTTGAATTTGTTTTAAAATGATACCAATAGTTAAGCTTAAAGTTGTTATTATTTTTTGCAGATTATTATTTCCCAGAAATAAAAAAGATGCAGCATGATTTTCACACATTTTGATGTTCCTTTCTTGCAATGCTTCCCTGGGTCTGCCATTACCTTTGAAAAGACATATTTGTCATGATGTGTTCTTATTACAGAAGTTACAGTCATTTTTGTTTATGAGACCAGGAAAAATCTTCTCTCTGGAAACTCCACGTTTCAGCCTGTGTTTTGATGCTTGAAGAAGGCACATCTTAATCACTGGGGGATGACACTAGTTAAAACGATATGAATTTAGTGGTCATATTTTCCATCTGTGTAGGGGAAAAAGTGTAGAATCTAATTTGCCTATTTTAATGCAAAAGCTCAGTGAAAAATGGGAGTAATTTACAGCTTCTGTCGAATTATTCATGTTATTTTCTGCAGAGTCAAAACTCCTTTCATTCTCTTCAAAGTCATACTTTTTAAAGTTTTGAGGCATTCCACCGTGATAGTAAATTATACTTTTGATACATGCATATAAATTATATAATCTGCATGTGGCAATTTTAATAACGAGAATCTACTCAGGAAACCCTCTCTGATTCCGCTTGAGAATGTATTTTTCTTTAGATTTTTTTCTTAAGTGCATATAATATACACATTCCTAATCTACAACAAATGAATGCGTGCAAGACCAAGAACTGGCATATCTACGGAAGAGCTCTCTGTTAAATTTTTTAATGAAAATTGCTGCTTGAGCTCCAGATGTCCCAAGTTCAGTCTTTGGAAGTTAAGAAAGCTGCTGGGACTTGTGATCAAGTGCAAGGACATGGCTTCCCTTGAGCTGCAGTCTGGTGTATGACATTGTTGGTGTGGTTGCTACCATGGATGCTGCTAACGTGCCCAAGGAAAGCATTTTACTGAATTCTTTGGTTAATAATGAATCTCAAATTCTCACATTACAATATAAAGAAGTAGGAATGGAGGTCAGGCACGGTGGCTCATGCCTGTAATGCTAGCACTTTGGGAGGCCGAGGCGGGTGGATTGCCTGAGCTCAGGAGTTCAAAACCAGCCTCGGCTACATGGTGAAACCCAGTCTCTACTAAAAAATACAAAAAAATTGGCCGGACATGATGGCGGGCGCCTGTAGTCCCAGCTACTCAGGAGGCTGAGGCAGGAGAATTGCTTGAACCAGCTAGGAGAAGGTTGCAGTGAGCCGAGATCGCACCACTGCACTCCAGCCTGGGCGATAGAGGGAGACTTTGCCTCCAAAAAAATAAAAATAAATAAATAAATAAAAAAAGGTATTTCCTCTATCCCTTGACCAGTTTCTAGACATTCAATTTTGAGTTCTAAATGAACTCAAAGAATGCAATTAAAATATACTATAATGCAGTCTAGAGAATTAAAATGTCATAATTATTCACTGTCTTCCATGAAGGTCAAGTTTAACATATCTTATTTTTTTTCTTTTTGTTTATAGAGAGGGGGTTTCGCCATGTTGCCCGGGCTGGTCTTGAAATCCTGAACTCAAGTGATACGCCTGCCTCAGCCTCCCAAAGTGCTGGAATTACAGGCATGAGCCACCACACCAGTCCTAGCTTAAAATATCTTTGAAAAGAATATTTTCAAGTATGTTAGCAAGTGTTTCTGAATGGAATATTTGTGCAAAGTATATCAGCAAAACGAAGTCACAGTCTTAGCCACATTGGACCTCATTGTCAATGAAGAGAAAGTAAAAGTCATCAGTGTCCTCTACCAATTGCAAAAATAACTTAAAATATTTTCAATGTCAAATTAATTGTAATTTATATTAAGCAATTAATTACAATTTTTTGTTGCAATATTTTAGGTCGTCAAACATTTATCTTTGGTTAAATTACATATGTGTGCCCCTATACTTGGTGTTAGGCAATATTCAGTAGATGAAATTAAACAAAACAGGTTCCTAAATAACTCTATTAAAATCACAGAGACTATCACATCAAACCAATCAATTCGCCAAAAGCATTCTTCCAAATAAGGGGGTCATCAAATCTACAGGGGCATACAAAATAGTTGCAAACCGTGATTCGATAAAGATGACAAAAAGATATTTTTCCATTCACAATCTGTAGTCCCTGCATATCAAAAGCAAATGGAAAATGTAATAAAGGTAGACTGTAACACACTTGGTTTATGAGAACTAAGAACTATTAGACATTGTAAATATCCCTTTAAATTTTGCTACATATAAAATAGGATTGTGGCTGGGCACAGTGGCTCACCCCTGTAATCCCAGCCTTTTGGGAGACTGAGGCAGGTGGATTACCTGATGTCAGGTGTTCCAGACCAGCCTGGCTAACATGGTGAAACCCCATCTCTACTAAAAATACCAAAAATTAGCCAGGTGTGGTGGCGGGTGACTGTAATCCCAGCTACTCAAGAGGCTGAGGCAGGAGAATCGCTTGAACCCGGAGAGGGGGGAGGTTGTAGTGAGCCCAGATCTCTCCATTGCACCCCAGCCTATGTAATAAGAGCAAAACTCTGTTTCAAAATAATAATAATAAATAAAATAGGATTATGAAAGATAACTATCTGTTATTGAATATTAATACTTTGATGCCAGTTGATTGACTTCTGACCATTTATTTATTTTTTTGAAAACCATTTTATTCTGTGCTAATAAGAGCCAGGGAATGATCTAGCCATACAAATGATAAGTAAACCAAAAAGCTTCTTAAGTAGTTTGTTATTTGTGTGCATTCGAATTATCACTGAAAATATGAACCTGCATTGATCTTCCTACCAAAAAGGCCATGCAGTGCACTGAGTCACCTCATTGCCAGCATTACCCAAGCCTCCTCC
This sequence comes from Homo sapiens, assembly GCF_000001405.40. Taxonomy (NCBI): domain Eukaryota; kingdom Metazoa; phylum Chordata; class Mammalia; order Primates; family Hominidae; genus Homo; species Homo sapiens. The sequence continues at coordinate 2,546,837 of NC_000008.11, read as the reverse complement.
CGGGGAATTTGGATCTCTTCCCTCACATGGAAGACTCTGATTGCAGCATCTCCTCCCGGCATTATTGGTCAGACCCCCACGACAATCTCGCCGTGAATACAGAGGCATCTCGGAGCCACAGCTCAGCTCGCTTTTCCTCTTACCCTATACCCCGGGTCCTCTCTTATATGACGAAAATTTTTCAGCATTTCTATTCTGAATACATATAACCTTTGGAATTGTCTATTCTCCAAAAACGAAGAGTTTTATAACCAAAAGGTGCTGGATATTATCAAAGTCATTTTTTAAAGGGCCACATAGTCAATAATTTAGGTTTTGTTGTCTGCGTATTAACTGTCACATTAAATAAATAGATAGGACTTAACAATGTAAAAAGAATTCTTAGCCTGAGGGCTGTACAGCAACAGCCTACAGATGGGACCTGCCTTCTAGGACATACTACGCCCACCCCTATCTAAATCTATGTTTAAAAATGTACGTGAGGTTCACAAAGGGAGGTGATATGGGTGATATTATGGAAATGGATTTCTAGATCGTGAATCTTCATATATATTTTTTCCTAAAATTATTCTGCCTGAGTCCCACCACAAACTAACCTTTAACCACATTTACCACATTTCTGGAACATTTCATATCACTATTTTGGCTGAGACAGTACTATGTATTCCGCACATTTTTTTTTCTCTATCACCTCCCTTTGGCTGCTAAATCTATCTAATAATTTTCTTATTTTCTAAGTCAGACTCTGCATTTTTCCAGTTCTATTACTGTGTTGAGATTTCCTATTCATTCATTGAAAGCACAGTTTCTTTTACTTCATTAAATACAAATTAGAATAACCTCTTTAAAATCCTTGTCTGCCTTATTTCAACATCTGAATTTAGGTCCATTTTATTTTCTACGGAAAATATATTCTATTGTGTTAGTTCTTTACATGCCAGATAATTTTGGATTGTATCTTAGACATTGTGGTGGTTAAATTGGGAGGATTTACTTTTGTTCTTTTCATCTTATGCCTGTTGATTATTTGGTTTTATGAATGATAATCTTAACTGAACTTGAACTGAAAAACCTTAGGTGGCGGCTCTAGTCTCAATTTAGATATTCCAGCTTTAATTGAACTGCCTTGAGTTTTTTCACCCATGCATTTTTCCATGATCAGTCACTGACAACTTTTGGAGAGTTTGGGAACTCTGTCTGTATCTTTTATGTACAGGATTTCACCACTCTCTCTAGAACTCATGCATTCCCCAATATCCATTTTCAGGTTTTTCTAGGCAGAAAGGCCTCAGTAAGTTTTCTGTTAGTTGTCTTGCCAACTCATACATGTCAACTGCCCTTAGCACAGGGTTAAATGCCCTTAAAGAGGACCTTGGTACCCTCCTCTTCTAAGTGTGCACTCCCCATCGAAGTTTATAATTTTATCATTCTCCTATGCCCTTAGGTAGCTACCTATAATTCCTTAAGATTTTATCACTGTTTTGTGTAAATAAGTCAGTCTTGGAAAATCTTTCTCCATCTTCTCTGATATCCTCATTTTAAAAACAAAGTAATTAAAGCCATAAAAATTCAAAGATACAGGAAATATCTCGCAGTTATCTATCAGCAGAACCAAAACCAGACCCACGTTTTCTATCACAGTCCCCCATCCACCTTTGGTTCCAGTGATAACTACATGTAACAATAGCGCCTTCTTTCCCCGGTTTAAGAATGGCTCTTGCCACTAACTTTGCACAGGGCATGTCCATGCCTTATTGCTACAGCAGTCCTTCCCGTCCAGAGTTTTGCTTTGCATGGTTTCCTTCTGCGTGGTCTGCCAAATATCTATAAATATTAAATGGAAAATTCCTGAAATAAACAATTCACATGCTTTACACTGTGTGCTGTTCTGAGCAGCCCGATGAAATCTCACACCATCCCATCCTGTCCAACCCAGGACATAAATCATCCCTATGCCCAGCAGATCCACACCACGTACCACACACGGCAGCAGATCCACGCCACGTACCACACACGGCAGCAGATCCACGCCACGTACCACACACGCCTGTGAGTCACCGAATGTCTGTCTCGACAATCACACCTCCTGTCCTGGCACTGCAGTATTCCTGTTCAAGTCACCCTTATTTTACTTGATAATGGCCCCATAGCACTAGAGTAATGATGCTGGCAATTCAGATATGCCAAATAGAAGCCATAAGTGCTTCTTTTAAATGAAAAAGTGAAATTTCTTGATTTAATAAGAAAAAAATATATGCTGAGGTTGCTAAAATCTATGGTAAGTGAATTTTCTATCCATGAAATTGTGAAGGAATCGGAAATAAATCCAGGCTGATTTTGCTGTCACACATCAGACTGCAAAAGTCATGGCCGCAGTGAGTGATAAGTTCTTAGTGAAACTCATGGGTGGAAGATAAGAACAGGAAATGTATTCCACCTGACAGTAATGTTTGTGTCAGAAAGCATCGAGCCCATATGAAAATTTCAGCAAGGCCATTGTCTGCAAGGAAAGCATGGTTGTACAAATTCAGAAGTAAGTTTGGACTGAAAAAACCAAACATTACTGGAGAGGTCATGTCTGCTGATGAAGAAGCTGCTGCCACATTTACAGCAGAGATGAAGAAGTTAACTCAAAAGAAAGAATACCATCCAAAGCAAGACTTCAACTGTGCTGCAACTGGGGCTCCTCTGGAAGGAAATGCCCAGTAGGACCTACATTTCTGAAGTGCAAAGGAGCACCAGGGCGTCAAACACGGAAGGACACACTCACCTTGAACCTGGGCAGCAACATTGCGAGACAGGTGATGAAGCTGGATGCAGGCACAGAGCAAAGAACCCACATGCTCTCAAAAATGAAACCAAAAATTTCCTGCCCATGTTCTGGCAACGTAATCAGAAAGCGTGGATGACAGCCGTCTTCTTTATGGAATCTTTGCACCAATGTTTCACCCCAGAACTAACAAAACAAAACAAAACAAAAAAAACTTGGAAAATGAAGGGCTGAGATTTAAAGTCCTATTAATAATAGAGAATGCACCTGGCCATCTGAATGTGTTGCCTATGAAAATAAAAATGCCAAGTTGTATTTTTACTTTCAAATACTGGCTCATTGCTTCAGTCCCTTGATTGAGACATCACGTGATTTGTCAAAGCCACATTCACCCAGCTGGTCTTTGATTACATGTGACCAGCAATTGGTGAAGACCTTAATGCGGAAAGTTATTCACTATTGCTGGTTCAATAACATTCCTCAAAGCTGCAATGGATGAATTAAAACCAGAAACTGTAAATGCCTGCTGGAAGAACTTATGCAATGACACTGTGAATCCTTTTAAAGTCTTCAAAGGATTGGTGGAGAAGTTAGGAAAATCATTCATGCAGGAAACCAAGTTGATGAAGAGGGATTTGCCAACATACTTGAAGAAGTGGAAGAACATGTTGAGGGCCATGGAGAAGCACTAATGAATGAGGAATTGGAAGAACTTGTTGAGTAATCTACAGAGAAACAGGAAGAGGAAGAAGAAATGGAAGCAGAACCAGCCATGTGGACATTGCCAAAATTTGCCAAAGTCCTTCAAATTGCACACATTAAATGGCAAAATTATGACGTACAATCTCAGAATGGAACACAGCATTAATATCACACTTACGATCAGCAAAAGATTACAACCAGCAAAGCAACAGTTTGATGAGCTAAAAAGAGATGATAACTTCTGATCACAATGGTCTTCCAAAAGGTTTCAGGGAACAATCCTTTAACTGTTGAGGAGCCCCAACCATTGACATTGTCTGCTCCTGGCATCTAAAAAATTGACATTATCATGGCTCCATGATTCTGGGTCATGGAAAGCAGATTGTATTAATCAGGGTTCCCTTAGTCAGGGTTCTCTAGAAGGACAGAACTAATAGGATACATATATAAAGGGGAGTTCACTGAGTATTAACTTACACAACCACAAGGTCCCACAGTAGGCTGTCTGCAAGCTTGAGGAGCAAGGAGAGCCAGTCCAACTCTCAAAACTGAAGAACTTGGAGGCTGATGTTCAAGAGCAGGAAACATCTGGCACGAGAGAAAGACATAGGCTGGGAGGTTAGGCCAGCCTCTCCTTTTCACATTTTTATGCCTGCTTTATATTCGCTGGCAGCTGATTAGATGATGCCCACCAGATTAAGAATGGGTCTGCCTTCCCCATCCCACGGACTCAAATGTTAATCTCCTTTGGCAACACCCACACAGACACACCCAGGATCAATACTTTGCATCCTTCAATCCAATCAAGTTGACACTCAGTATTAACCATCACACAGATATATCATCAGAAGGGCAATGCTAGCTTAACTGCTACCTCACAGTGTCTGTGTCATTCACCCCAATCCATCTTATCATGTAGGCATCATATGGTCTCCTATCAGCACCAGAAGGAGTGTGAGTACAGCACAATAAGATATTTTGAGAGACAGCACATTCTGCATACCTTTTATTGCCGCATATTTTTATAATTGTTCCCCTGTATTATTAGTCACTGTTGTTAATCTCCTACTGTGCCTAATTTATAAACTGTATCTTAGGTCCGTATGGATAAGAAAAAACATAGCATATAGAGGGTTTGTTACTACCTGCAGTTTCAGGCACCCACTGGGGGACTTGGAATATATCCTTCATAGATAAATGGGGACTGCTGTAATGTTAGCTTTCTTTTTATACAAGGTGGATACAGAGGAAAAAGAGTGAGCATCTGTTCTTCAATTATAGTGTTGTTCAATGCTTAATGACTTAGCATTTAGCAATATTCATTTATATATTTTACTTATATATATTTAATATTATATATGTGTATATTTGTGTAAGTATATATACATGTACACAACACTCATTTATATAGTTTAAAAATGCTTTTAAGATGCTGTAACACAATCATAAAAGTGGAAGGTCAGACAATGATTTTAGTGTCATGGGTGAGGGTTTTGGTAAAATGTGCACCTGTAGAAATAAGATAAAAGCATTTGTTGTGTTTAACATGGTGTTTGGCACGTCGACACTTATTTCTGACCCAGACACATTTGGTTGGTGACACATTTGTTGTATGGAATTCAATTAGTGCTTCCTTACACCAGGTAGTGATTTAAGAACCTTCTCTGTCGATAAAATTTAGGTAGATAAATTGGAGAAGACAGGACCAATTTTCAACAGTGTGATCATTTATAATGTTCCCCTGGTCAACATTTAAAAACAATTCTAAATATAGATACCAAGAATACTCATTGTAGCATTTTAGTATAGTTTTAATCATAAAGATGCCCAGCAACTGTAAGAACACAGTCCTGATTTTAGTAAGTATAATTTTTAAAGTTTTATGTTTTAATAAAGATTTCTTTCTTAATATTCTTTTGTCAGCATTTTATATGTATATTTCATATGTATATTCATAAGCGTAACCCATTTTGAAGATGCCCTTCTATCATGTTAAATAATCGTTGCTTTCATTTTTGACAATTCCTTTAAAATATATATATATATTTCTAAATATATATACATATATATATATTTCTAAATATATATACATATATATATATATATTTCTAAATATATATACATATATATATATATATTTTTGACATGGAGTTCACTCTGGTTGCCCAGGCTGGAGTGCAATGGCACGATCTCGGCTCCCCACATCCTCCGCCTCTTGGGTTCAAGCACTTCTCCTGCCTCAGCCTTCTGAGTAGCTGGGATTACAGGCATGCGCCACCATGCCCGGATAATTTTGTATTTTTAGTAGAGATGGGGTTTCTCCATGTTGGTCAGGCTGGTCTTGAACTCCCGAAATCAGGTCATCTGCCCACCTTGGCCTCCCAAAGTGCTGGGATTACAGGCGTGAGCCACCGCGCCTATAACTTTAATTTAATTTAATTTAATATTTAATTAAAATATTAATTAAATGCTAGAGAATACTGGTGTTTACTATTGGCATAATGACATTTATTAATAATTTCATTAAAAGTTCCATCTTTCATTTTGCCTGAACATTGCATTAATGGGAATGCTTTATTGGTATTTTAGCATTTCCTTTTATTGGAAACTAACTGGCATGATAAATTTGCCAAGGAAATTTTTAAAAAATCAAGTTGAAATTTTTAACATGTTTGAAAATAAGAGTATTAAAATGTCATGACAGCTCTAGACATTTTGAGAGCATTTACTCTAATATTTCATATCAGTGTAGTGACAGAGAGTCAGGAGCCACCAAGAACCACTGAACATATATATCAGTGTACATACAAACATACAAACGTCTATTTTGTAAATATATTTTATCTGAGAATTTCAAGTCAGTTTCAGAGTCAGTAGACTCGGCAACGACTGAGCCCTATCAAAGTCATGAGCATGACGCCTCTGAAGAGGGCTTAAGCCCATCTGATGCGGGTAATGGGGCATTTCTGAGTTGGCGAGTGGATTCAGCTAAAATATCTGGTATTCGTAGGCATTCTGTAAATGTCACTTCTGTTCTCCTTTTCCGCCTCCCTTCTCCGCACACACTTACATCTGCCCACGTGCCTTCTGGTAGCAGCCTGAGCTCTACCAGGTACATGCATATTAACATTGGACCTATGTCATTAGAAAGAGTCCTCTGGAGAAGCAGCCCCCATCCCAAGATAAGAAATCAGGAAGGACTTAAGAGGTGTAGAGAAGTTCAAAGCCTGTGATGTTCTGCTGTGGCTGTGACAGCAACAAATGAAAGATCCATCAAACTGGACTAATTAAATAGATTAATTAAAACTCAAAATAGATTAATTAAAACTGCCGTGCTGAAGGCCTAGCAAACGAACAGATGAATCTATTACAGGTATAAAAACAACTCGCCCCCATTTCTATTGGACTAGACCAGATGCTCAGATTTTAAAAAAAGAAGAAAATTATGGTTATGCAGCATACCAAAAGGAAAGTGTAATGGCAGACTGGTAGACAGAAATCACCAAAATCAGACTCAAATATGACAGACAGTGCAACTCTGAAAAAGAATTTAACACAATCAAATAGGATGTCAAAGACTTTAACAAACAAGGTAGACAATATGCAAGATTAGATGTGTAAGAGTGGCAGTGATGGAAACTACCAAAATGACTAAATGGGATTCCAGAAATTAAAAAACAAACAAATGCACACTGTAACAGAGACAGAGAATGCTTTTGAGAGCCTCATCAGTAAACATAACTGTGGGGAAATAAGTTATCAGTGCTCCAATAAAAAGACTCAGCTCCCTGAGAACACTTTACTTTTTACTTTTTACATACCATGAAGATCTGTAGACATTTCCTTCGTTAATTGCCTGAATCTAACAGGATAATAAATCAACTTCTCTCTCCCCAAGAAGCAAATAGTTGCAACTTAAGATAAACTCCTAAGTTAAGCTCCCAAAGAGGCAGGGAGACTAGCACACTCCTTCTCCCTAGTCTTTTACACTCAAAATGGACAAAGCTTTGGCCCCTAAAGCCATTTCCGAGTCATAAAGCCAGAGACAGATGGGCTTAGCTAGACCCTGGAGAGACTTGTATACCAACAGGCTGGATAAATGTTCCTCCTATTACACCTTGAAGAAAATACTCTCAAAAGAGGTTAGGGGAATAGACTCTTTGAGGTTTACAAGTGGAGAAAACCTATTTTTATCTGTCCCTTTCAGTCTGTAGACTGAAACCCACTGCTCATGTAAAAATTTCTCTGTCTGGTTCTCACTGCGTGTCTCTGTGGGTTTGCTGGGCCTTGCGAAGTAATGATACAGTGCTACTTAATAATACAATAATACAGTGCTATTGATAATACACTGCTACTAATAATACTTAATAATACAATGCTATTAATAATACTTAGTAATACAATGCCATTAACCTGGTTGTTTCAATAAAGAACTCTTTTCTCTGACCCTTGCATTTTTGCAATATCTATCTATCTTATTGTCTATGTGCTTGTCAATCATCTCTCTGTAATCTATCTGCCTATTATTCCAGTGGGAAAACATCTCAGATTTTTCACAGTTTTAGACAGTGTGATAAACACGCAGATGAAGAAAGAGCTAGTGAACTTTTTCAACAACTATGAAAGGTCTAATATAGTACATTATCTGGTAGCTTGTAAGTTGCCTGTCACATCATGAATATTTTCAGAAAACATTCAGTTCTGGGATCAAAGGCAGTTTCTCACTTGTGGTGCAGCACACAGCACACCCCTGTGTCCACGGCAGCTCCCCTGCAAGTCCCGCTGGCGTGAGGCATATGGCAACCCAGTGGGATGCTGCACACACAGGGCTGAGCATCACAGTCAAGTCCCTGGTGCAGGAGGACCAGGAATGTTACAGTGGGTTGCAGGGCCTTTGTTGAACTTTCCCTAGAAGGAAAACACTGTCTTTATGCAACGCAGCAAACAAACCTACTCTTGGCTCTGAAGTGACACTGTCTCTGTCTCCCAGGACTGTTCCTTCTAGAAATATCCTTGGGAAGACATTTCAGAGCAAAAGTCACCGGCATAACGGCCACTAAGACGAGCGAAAACGTGAGAGGCTGAGGGGGATGTCTCTCAACAAACTTAAAGACAACTTTAGAAAAATTACCCAAACTGGATCACAAACAGTAAAAAGAAAATGAAGAAAAAAGCAAGAGAAAGGAAGGGCATCTGAGGGCAGTGAGACAGTCTTGGTCTAGGATACGGGTAACTGGAATCCCAACACGAGAAGGGAAGACAGTGAGGCGCAACGAATTCCTGGATAATTGATGGCCACAAAGGTGTAGATCAAAGGAGCTTTGAAAACATCAAAATGGGGAAACATAGATCAATAAATCAAATAAGAATCCAAGAAACTCCACCTAGGTATATTTTATTCAAATTGCTGGAACAAAAAGCAAAGAGAAAATCCTGAAGGTGTGTGGAGGATGACCAACAAATAAAAAATACATATAAGACAAAGATAAGAATTGTAATAGACTTCTCAGAAACCTTTCAAGCCAGAAGACCACGGAAGACTCCTTTTAAGTTCAAACTGTGACCTAAGGAATTTAACTCCATGAAAATAATCCTCAAAAAGTGAAAGGGAAAAAAAGAGGGAGAATTCATGGCCTACCAGACCTACACTATAAGTAGTGTTGAAGAAAACGTTTCAGACAGAAGAGAGAGGCTGACAGAAACTTCGACCTGCACGAAGAAATGATGAGAAGTAGGCCGGGCGCAGTGGCTCATGCCTGTAATCCCAGCACTTTGGGAGGCCGAGACAGGTGGATCACGAGGTCAGGAGATCGAGACCATCCTGGCTGACACAGTGAAACCCCGTCTCTACTGAAAATACAAAAAATTAGCCAGGTGTGGTGGCAGGCGCCTGTAGTCCCAGCTACTCGGGAGGCTGAGGCAGGAGAATGGCATGAACCCGGGAGGCAGAGCTTGCAGTGAGCTGAGATTGCGCCACTGCATGCCAGCTTGGGCGACAGAGCAAGACTCTGTCTCAAAAAAAAAAAAAAAAAAGAAATGATGAGAGGTAGAAACAGAATTACAGATGGCAAAATAAAATCTAGGTTTTTTTTTTTTCATTTTACAAAGCCAGATTTGCCTTGAGACCAAAGCCCAACAAGGATACTATAAGAAAAGAAAGGTATAGATCAACATCTCTGATGAACATAGATATAAAAAGTCTCAACAGCCCTAAAGACTTTACTGAAAAACTGTTGGAACTAATTTGTAAATTCAGTAAAGTTGCAGGATATAAAGTCTATACACAAAATTCAGGAGAGTTTTTATACACTAATAACAAATTAGATTCCTCCCCAAAATTAAGAAGGTAATCTAATTTACAATAACTGCAAAAACATGGTAATAAATTTAACTAAGAAGGTGAAAAATCTCTACATTGAAAACTATAAAATTGATGAAAGAAATTGAGGAGGGCACAAATAAATGGAAAGACATCTCATGTTCATAGATTGGAAGAATAGATAGTATTAAAATGTCTATACTACCCATAGAAATCTATGTGTTTTATGCAATGTCTATTAAAATTCAGTGACATTTTTCACAGAAATAGAAAAAGCAATCTTAAAATGTATATGGCATCAAAGAAGACACTAAATAGTCAAAGCAATCTTAAGAAAAACAAAAAACTGGGGACATCACATTTCCTGATTTCAAACTATACTACAAAGCTATAGTAATCAAAGCAGCATGGCACTGGCATGAAAGCAGACACACTGACCAATGGAACAGACTAGAGAGCCCAGAAATGAACTTATTTATTTATGGTAAAATTATTTCAGACAGAGATGCCAAGATGACATTATAGGGAATGGACACTCTCTTCAATCTGTCTTTCAAATACTGGGAGCAGAGCACAACCAGAGACTATAATAGGGCCGGGGGTGCTGAGAATCCCCAAATCAAGTCTTGTCAGATACAAGAATCAAGGTGTAGAAATAGGTCCCCATGTACACTGGTCTATGCAACCTGTGAGAATCCTGCAGGAGTTCTGATCTATTCTTCAGAGATTTTAAGTAAGTGCCTTTAGCTTTGGGGGGCTTAAAATATAGATCGAAAGGGGAAGTCATTCAATAAAACCAGTTCCAAATTTTTTTTAATCCTATCTCTGGAAGTACAAATGATATAACACCTATATTTGGAGTTTCTCTGAGTGAAGAAAGGCCCTAACACTCTCCTCTCTCTCCAGGACACAGCTGAAGGGTCACTGTGGTAGGCTGTAACATTCCTCACATGTACCATGAAGCACACCTCATTGTGGACCTAACATGTTTATTTTCCTAGCTTTAGTTACAGTTGCTACATTTATGTATCCATCAACTATCTATCCATCAACTATCTAGCTGTCATCTATCTATTATCTATCTATTAATCTGTTATAACTTGCCAGTGTTTTTTATTTTATATTCTACTCTTGAATGAATCCAAGAAATTATAGCTCTGTTTCAGCCCCAGTCAAATACACAACTGAAGCTCCCTGAATGTGTGAGGTCCAGACCACATGTGTGACTATACATAAACATCTTACACCGAACACTTTGCCAAGGTTTAGCACATTATTTGTCATCAGATTTTCTTTAATATGAAACCACTAGCAAAACCCTCTCTTATTTGGGCTTGTTTAACCTATGTCCAATTGTCAGTTCTTGAACAAGCTAGAATTATTTCCCCCCTGAAGGTGAGAAGAACATTCCTGTTGGGAATCCAGAGACACTCAACTCTTACCTTCATTCTGAGGCCCTGGTCTTACATGAAGACCACTAGGGTTGGTGCACAAAATTAAATCACAGCGGTAGTCTGTCTTTTTCTGCTTTTATTCTTGGCTTTATGTGTTTAGAGGTGCATAATATAATATCTAGGCCTATCGCACACATTACACTCCAACACAAGACAAAAAGCCACAGCTAATATTTGTCAATTATGCAAACATTCTATACGTTTTGAAAATTTTATGATATTGTACAAATTTCTTCAAAATTGTGCTATGCTTGTCACTGAAGTCAACTTTCTCCTTAATTAAACTGTCTTGCTACTTGTTTCTGCTCTTAGAATTATACTTCTTCTGAATTAGATAGCAGGAAAATATTAAAGAAAAAAATGAAAAAAAAAATAACAGTATAGAACGTACTTACCTCAATTTTTCTGTGACCTCTGCCTTGAATCCTGTCCCTTTCCACTAAAATACATCATAAGTAATAGTCTCCCAGTTTCCCACAGCAGGAGCTCGATTCCAGACAACATTTACATAACATTGCATCCCTCACTGGCCATGACAAGAGCAGGGATTTTTTTCTCATCCCTCCTAGATGACAATAATGCTGCATACTCTACAGCAAGCCCACTCTGACCTTTCTGGTCCTGCTTGAATAATATCAGGTTGGTGCAAAAGTAATTTCTGTTTTCTCTGTTGCTTTTAATGATGACAACAGCAATTACTTTTGCGCCAATCTAATGTATATCTTGTGGTTGAGATTTCCAATCACAGCAATTGCTCTGCTCCATTCGCAATAAGTCCACTCAGACACCTGCACTTACTGCTCACTAGAGAGAATGATTCTTGCTCAAGGATTTCCATTAATGTCATTCTCAGTTGGAGGTTGACAAGATCTCCAAAACTTTTTTCCCCCAACTCTAGCATTTTATCAATCTGTTTTACAATTCATCTGAAGAGTTCGATCTTTAAATGGCCTGTGATTTGTATTTCTGGTTAGGGATAGAGGCCATTATTTTTTTCTGGACCTCTGCATTACCTGATGTGTCTGACCTTAACCATGAGGATGTATCTGGAAGCTCTACCCGAGCAGTGAAGCTACTCACATACCATAAAGATAATGCAAAGTTTCTATCAATATGGAAATACTTTTTTTCTCTTCAGTCAGACTGATTGGTTTAAGAGAGGCACACTGGGAGACATGACAGAGAGATGGGACCTTAAATCACCCAAATGGGTCAACTATTTTAATAGCTGTATTTCCCACCTTCCATTTTTAATTTCATTCATTAATTCATCGAATACCTTCTGAATATAGACATGTCCATTAACTGTATTAGATACAGGAGAAGGAGATGAAAACAGAGTCCCTGTTCTCAAGGAACCCTGTTATGTCAGTCAACTCTACATCTCTTTATAAAACCCGAGAATGTCTATAAAAGGCTCGTAAGTTACAGATACTTTCCTGGGCCTTGTTTCACACTTTCTAGTCTTTTGAGAATTATATTCTAAATCGAGCTTGTCCTACATGTGACCCAGGACAGCTTTGAATGCAGCCCACCACAAATTCATACACTTTCTTGAAACATTATGAGATTTTTTGTGATTTCTGTTTGTTTGTTTTTTAGTTCATCAACTATTGTTAGTGTTAGTGTGTTTTATGTTGTGTGGCCCAAGACAATTCATCTTCTTCCACTGTGGCCCAGGATAGTGAAAAGACAAGACACCCTTGTTCTAAATGCTTAACAAATATCAATCATATCTAATATTTCTTAATGTTATTTTCAAACATTCTGTTTTTGATGTTTATGGTGTGGAGGAAGTTCTACAAACGTTGCCAGCAGATAGAGCCAACAGTAGTTACTGGGACTTTTTACATGGGTGAAATTCAGTCAGAGAAGAGAAAATAAGTGAAATGATACCACAATTATGTCTTCTCAATAACATATGAGAAAATGGGAATTGTCACCAATGGCTTTGCAATCAATCACCTGAAGAAATGTGAGTGCGTGGCCTTCAGCTCCACTCAGTCATGACCACACTAGTTCTGAGCAGTGAGTTCAGAGGGTAGTAGTGTTTGAATGCTAAGAAACAGCCATAGAGGAGCAGTGTCTTTTAGCCAGTGCTATGTTTCAATAGACATTCGTTAGTAGTCCTATTAATTTGATGTTGTTTACAATATTCACAAACATATTTTTTTCCCTGAAAAGCAATTGACAGGCTTCACCAACTCCCATAGGGGTCTGTGGCATACAAATCTTACTTGCCTTGGTTAAATTACCTTATATTCCTGTGCTTATCTTAAAATAATTATAGTAATGTCTATCTCATTAAATTTGTTATGAGGATTATATGAATCAATACACACATGGTGCGCAAAGCAGCTTGTGACTCACACTGTGAATTTAATGTGCTCACTAATTGCTGTGACTTCTTGCATTAGACTCTCCTGGGCACGAATCTGAACTCCATTATAAACCATTGCATGATGTTAGGTCATCATGGACTCTTGTGGATGTTAGTGCCCTAACCCACAGGAACCCAGAACTGTCAGGAATCCTGACGGAGGCAGACTGAAGCTCCGAGAAGAAGAAACATGAATGCACTTTTTAAGTGCTAAATAATTGTATGTTTCATGCTGTAATTTTCATTGTTTGTACTGAATAATAAAATGCAGAAATAATCTCAAAGTCACTTCAATGATTTTAAATTTCTACTAAATCTAAGGGATGCAAGACGGAAACTAGCTAGGAGTCACCTGAAAAGGAAGAAAAAAAAAATTTGAGATTAACTTTACCCATTTACTACTCCTAAATACATAATATATAAAATTGAGCTATGATAACTGCTTCTGTTCAGTAACTGACTTAAAAATTAGCCAGGCGCGGTGGCTGACGCCTGTAATCCCAGCACTTTGGGAGGCCAAGGCGGGCAGATCATGAGGTCAGGGGATCGAGACCATCCTGGCTAACACTGTGAAACCCTGTCTGTACTAAAAATACAAAAAAAGTTAGCCGGGCTTGGTGGCGGGCATCTGTAGTCCCAGCTACTCGGGAGGCTGAGGCAGGAGAATGGCATGAACCCGGGAGGCGGAGCTTGCGGTGAGCCGAGATTGTGCCACTGTACTCCAGCCTGGGCAACAGAGCGAGACTCCGTCTCAAAAAAAAAAAAAATTATAAGTTTTTGCTTCTCATTCTCAGTGTCTCATGCAAAAAATAGGACAGGTCATCACAGATAAATGAGTTGAAATTATATATTTAAACTTAGTTACAATTAAAAATGTTAAGAAGTAATATGTTCAGTTTCCAACTTGAAATGAAAGCACATCTTCCCTGTTGTTAACTCTACCTACGATTGAGTAGGAAAACAAGCACAGAAAAATGCCCCAAATCCATTCCTTTAGAGCTGGGTACTGCTATTCCTCAACTCATTGCATGATGTTTGAATTTTATATTAAGATTTAGGTGTAAGTTTATTTTAAGTAGCATTTCACTATTTTTTTCACACTACATACATAAATTTAAGAATTCTTTATGATTTCTAGGCTTAACATAGCCTATTTTTTTTCCAATGTCTATTTCTGGAATACATAAATTGAGATCATTTTTGATGTCATGATCTGGAATACATAATTGAGATCATTTACATTTTATATGATGGGTTGAATGGCAATTTTTCTAAGAAACATCTTTAATTTTACAGTGATTTTTAAATCCTTATTCCAAAACAATATGAGGTCAGGCCAGCTATACTTGGTTCCTCTGAGGAGAGCTGAGGGGGATAAAAATATACACAGTTCACAGGTCTCATACCGTATAAGCATAATTTTTAAGATCTTTAGTGGGGTCCAGAAATATATATTTTTAAGATATTTCCAGGGAAATTCTTATAAACATGCAAGGTTCCTGGCAGTTCCTTCCCATCCATTAGAAGGGAACACTGCACTCAAGATTCCAGTATCCACAGGCATACTAAGTAGGAAAGGGTTAAACCAATGACGTGACTTACCCCAATGCATTAAGTTTCTTTCTTCCCAGATGCCAAACACACACACACACACACACACACACACACACACACACTCTGAAAGTGAGATGTGTGTTGCTTCTGGTGCCTCTATATTGTTAACCTGTATTTATTAAAAAGAATATTTTAAAATCAAGCCAGATGACACACCTGTTTATATGATAGGGTTGTGATATAACATAGTAAGGACGGGATTAGAATTTCTAACCTTTCATGAGAAATGCTCAAAAGCATTATTTTTGACCTTTAAAATAGAGAAGGTTGTATACCCCACAATATACAGTAGTATTAGAACGTTTATTTTCACCCATATGTCCTAAGGTAATGCATATTTTTTTCAATGAGCATGTTTTGTTAACATTGTTGGTTCTCACAGACACCTGTTTGCTTAGTGGATGAGGAAGATATACCCTGTTGGATACAACAGAGCGTATAATGGTAACCTGTGGTAATGAGGCACCTCCCTCCAGGACACTTACCTGTGAATTCATCCTCACTTTGGTCATAGACAAACCGCGGCTTCTGTCAGTGTTGGCAGGTGAACACTTGCACACACCAACGCACACACACACGACACTCTCCCATACCTCTGGCACTTTAGCTTTAAACTTCACGATCATGTTGAAGTTATGGTCTCAGGCATAATAATCTGACATTGAGGTGATTTTGCTTAAAAAAATTGTTTTGGGTCCTATGCTTCCATCAGAGGAGAGAGCATTAATCACACTCTTCAGCAAATAGGACGAGTGCATTTATTTGGCTCCAGCGTGGACGAGAGAGTGGGAAGAGAGCAGCTAAAGGTGATAAAACATCATTATATGTGATTATGGTGAAAACAACTAGAGCCAGATATTTAAATTATCCTTTCTAATACTTGGAACAATTCCAGAAAATTGATGTATTTTTCTCTGCCTCTGAGGAGCTTAGAACTGAGAGGGGGAGATAGTGCTACTTCAAATAGCAATAAATGCAAATGAGAGAAACGAAACCCTGTAAGCAATGCCTACGGCAGCTGCCCAGGGCCCTCGTGAGACCCTCAGGGTTCCTCAGAGGTCAGAGGTGGGAACCACACCTCAAGCCATGCAACTCCGTGTTGCTTATTTGCTTTGTTCCTTGGCAGACTAAACAGGGAGTGGGAGTAAAAGCAACACCCGCTCCTGAAGAACCAACTATCAGAGTCTTCATCTTTCCCAAGGAAAAGCATGTGAGTAGACACTTAAGATGTTTTAATTGCTGTAATTCAGGTACATATTTTTAAAAGTCCAATATTAATAGTATCCTGGACTTTTAGGAACCTCCTCTGCCTGCCACTGCTGTTTTCCATTTCACGGCAGCAAGTGGCTTTGAAAATGTTAGCTGCTTTTTCCGTATTTACTGTCACCTTTCTAAGTAGACTGTTTACCCGGGTCTATCTTTACTTTTCAAGTTCAGACATGTCACTGGTTTTCTGCTGCCCCTTTTGGCTCCATTCCACGTGCGTCCATACAAACCGGCTGCTGCACCTGGAGGCTGAGCAGCCCACAGCTTCATTGAGTCAGAGCCCCGTCTACACCATCACGACGGCAGTGTGGCGTCTGCACAGAGGTGAATTGCTCCGAGTGTATAATGACACTGATTTCATTGTACACTGTTTTTTCTTCTTTCCTCAAGCTCATTGTCTCACGTTCATGTTTAATGAGTGTCCTATATGATTGTCACTCATTTTGACAAAAATCTCAGAAAAAAAAGAAACAACAATATAAACCCCTCCTGACTTGATTGTACACACACATCTGAAAATTAATCTGCTTCGTTTTTTTTTCGCTTTGCAGATACGTTTCTCTTGGCTTTCTGCTGTACTCCGGGCTGGCTGTTATCAGCCCTGCTACTGTGATGGTCAACATTGAGTGTCAACTTGATTGGACTGAAGGATGAAGTACTGTTCCTTGGTGTGTCTGTGAGGAGCATGTTGATTTGGCAAAGAACAGTTTGGTAAATTCTAAGAAACGGGTCATTCCAGGTCCTCTAAGATAACCTGGGTACTTCTCTTGACCATTATCCAAGGCTTCTTATCCAAGGCTTCTCCTGGCCTTTGTCTAAATGGAAAACAGGTGTTTTCAAGGCCCACACAGGGCTTCCAGGGCACAGCAGGACACTGGGTAAGCGGGAGATGGAAACGTCACCCTTATGGTCATAGGCGAGTTTGTGGGACCCTAACACTTTGAAGCCATGTGATCACATCACCGTCATATTTTAAATCAGACCTGCCTATTTCCACCTCTCAGTTTGCCTGTCTGAACATTTCTGTTGTCTTTTTTTCTAAATGTCTTTCTTAACACATTGGTTTAATACAAACAATTACATCTCCTGGGCACCCATGATGCATAAGACAATGTGAGATATATATATATATATTAAATGCATACTTTATTACTTATGTTTTATTATACATATTAAATTGTATGTACAGCAGGCCTTCAATAACCAGAAGACTGTATATATTTATTTTCATTTGTTATGTAGTCTACTATATATTATACATTTATACGAAATATTTATATAATGAAATATTTTATAGTAATTGTATGTATATAACCTCTTGATTATAAGGCTTTGAAGAGGGAGCACCATTTTGCCTGTTTCTCATGTGTGAGCAGACGGACTCAGAAAGCACTGGTTCCAATCCAGATTTGCTGTTAAGCACAGCGCCCTCCACAACCATCCATGAAGTGGAGCAGAAGAACTTCCGCCTTTCAGAGCAAGCCTCCTGGGATTCATTGATTTTGTAATTCCTTGCCTCTATTTGTGTTATAATACATTGAAACCAAAGCTAGCATTTCAAAAATCAGGACCAAGTATTTTAGTTACTCGGGACCAAGAACATAAAGTTCCTGTGAATGAAATTAACATAAGGACAGAGCCGTTCGACCAAGAAAAAGAAAAGGTTAGTCATATTTTAAAATTTGTATCTCTTTCAAAACACATTGTTTTTGTTTTTTGTTTTGTTTTGTTTTGTTTTTGGCAAAGAAACTATAGGTGCCTGTGCTTAACTATTTAAGTGGTAAAAATAGAGTTTGGTGGTTTGCGGTGGTACCACTGGCGGCAGGTGGGATGCCTGATTTGAAAGGTGTGTGTTCGCCGCCCATGCCCCTGCCTGGGCTGTGCGGAGGGTGCCCTGCAGACAGCCGCACCCTGAGAGGGACCTTGACAGGTACACAGTATGGGTTTGTCTTCTTTGAAAGGCCATGGAGAGCCCTGGTTGGGGGATGCAGTAACCCTGGGACTCCATAATAAAGAGCTGTGCTGAGATGAAGACAGATCCGGGTTCAAATCCTGCCTCCACACATCACGGGAATAATTGAATAATTACATTTGTGCTTTAAACCTGCGCTTCCCTGTCAGCGTTTGGGCGTAGGAGATTCCAAGTAAATAACTCCTGGGCTGGTGGATACGATGGTTACATCGTGCCTGTCACACGGCTGGCACCGGGTCAGCCCTGAAGAGTGCTTACGGGTGTGTGTGCAATTGCACGCTTGGGGTGGGTCTGACCATGACAAGCGTGTTGGAGACAGGAGTGAAATCTCGAGAGTGAGCACAATCTGTCATAGCACAGAAGCTGATCGTTCACAACATTTGAAAGTATAGTTAAGCATTTATCCTGTTCAATTGTACAAGCATGAACAGGAACAAGAACACAGAGCACCTGCTACGCAGGGGTTTCCATCTTATTCTGTGCCGTAGAACCCGCATGTTAGAATCTCCCATCGTAAGAATCGTCTTCCTGCTACAAGTAATACTAGGCAGGTCATTTAGGCTCCTGTGCCCCAGTTTCCTATGAGAAACAGGCACAGTTACATTGCAGCCCCACAGGCTAGGGGGCTCAAGGATTCAGAGCTTGCAAAGTATCTGAGAAACTTCAGCTCATTCACGTTAGACATTAGGATGCCTGGTGTTGCTGCAGATGGTGTGGCCCTGTCGGCCACCTGAAAATCATGGATACCGAGCATTGGGGAGGATACGGTCCTCAAAGATATGGGGCAGTGTGGAAGCAAATAAGATTCTTGTAATGACAGGCCCCTTAACTCCCTGTCCACACACACATTCCCTGAACTGCCTGTCTTTCCCGCTCACATGTCATGATACCCTTCTGAGTGGGACATGTGCACCTGGGGCCAGAAGGGTTGCTGGAGGCAGTTCTTTGGTTTTCATAACAAAAGAACCATCCATCCGCGCTACACACTGAACAACTGGGCAGGCTGCACACACCTCTGGTTAAGCTCCCCAAGTAGACAGGCGCTCCTGGGCTGCAGAAACTCATTTATAACTTAGCAGGGATTTCTTCTATGAACAGCAGGTGAGGATTTTGTTTCTAACACATTTCACGATGCTTAAGAAGTATTTGCAAGTGCAGGCATGGCCTTAAGGAATTTAGTCCCCAGCAGAGATCCCTGGAGAATGACAGCTGAGATAAGGCTGTCCGAGAAAAGAAAGAGGAAGGATTTCCTTCCCCTGCCCTACAGTGGAGCTCTTCTGCAAACGTGACCCTTCAAGGAAGACAGAGAGAGTGTGAATTAGCAGTGAATTCTGCGCCTGAAGAGCGAGACAGACCCTTAAGAACAGAGTATGCACCCAAGGCGGGAGACACCCTCGAGGTGAAATATGAAGACGCAGCTCCCTGGGTGACCCTGGCATGCATCCCCGAGGTCATGTGATAAAAATGCTAAAATTCCCACTATATTCAGGGAGGCACTATTTAGCCTATTATTCACATTTTTACATTTAATATCTTATTTTGGTATTTATCCTGACAGCTATAAAATTAGATGTTTTCATTGCTTTTCATGCTACCCTTAGTCTGTGCCGCTGGCAAAATTTCTAATACTGTAGTAAGCTGAGGAAGAGGAAGACTAGCTTAAGCGGATTTAGCCCGAGCTTGCTCTTGGAGAACTTGCTAATTTAAAGAATTAGCAGGAGAATGTGAGTTTTTCACATCTAGGTCACCCTTAGGAGCAAGGTCCGTCTTTCTAATAAGGAACTGTGGATTAGTCATACACAGCCTGTGGGAAGGAAGGGGCGTTCTCAGCCCATTGCATAACAGAAAGACAGTCCAAGTCTTGGAAATCAGCAATTAGCAGTTCACATCGCGGACTCAGCTGGCCTGCCAAGAAGCCAGCATGCCCAATAGTGAAATAGCCTCATTTTCAGACGGCCTCCCGAGGGACCCCGTGGATATCACACTGTAAAAATGGCCCCTCTTTATAAGGCACTTTTCTGCCAACAACATAATGTAAGTACCAGCAGGTAATTCTTTATTAAATGACCTGTGCATCTCTGGGAAGCACGTACCACAAAGGAGATGGTTTCTATGAGATGCAATTTATGTTTTCCGAATCCTCATGGTAAAACGTCTCAATGAGCATTAGGAGTCCCGGCAGAGCTGCCCGTGATACAATAACACAATCGTTCCCTTCATCCTTCTGAGATCCCTGTGGGTGGCCTGACACAGCTGTTTCCTTCAGGGCAACAGGGTTGCTTTTTCAGCCAAGTGACTGGCTAATTTAAAATACAAAAGAAGATCTAAGCTGAGTAGAAACCCAGCAAGACCATGGAAAATTAATGCTGAGACCCCTTAATAAACAGGGAAAAACGTCGAAGTACCGTTATTTCTCTAAGTAGGTTAAGAAGGTTTTGAGCATCTATTTTGTGCTGATTTGAACAGTGGGGCTATAAAAATGACAAAAATACAGAGATTGTCACCATGCCACAAAATAGAACAAGAGTGTGAGCAGATAGATAACCAATTATAACATAATATGGTAAGTCCTGTTACATAAATATGCCCATAGAGAGAGGCTTGGGAACATGAAATGGTCAGGCATTGGGAAAGGCATTTTGTAAGTGAATTTTGAGTCATATTTAAAGGGTGGATATGTTTAAAGGGAGACAGGTAAAGGCGTTTAAAGCAATGTAGGCAATATGACAAAAAATACTTTTATAACTATTTCTGTTAATAAGGAAAATGAAAATATGCACAGGATTTCACAGAATGTTTGTAGTATAGATCTCCTAAATGATGCTTTGGTGTAACTTTACAGAAAAGTAGGTAAGGAGACGTTATTTTATATGTTTTCTCAGGATGTAGTGTTAATCTCTGGATTAAATAATGATTTGCACAAAGTTTTCTAGCTGAAAGTAGAATTTAGTTGACTACAAAGATTTCTACTAAGTTTCAGTTGCATGGCAAATTTAACATACTTTAATACATTCATTTCTCAGAGGTTCTTAAAGGAGATATTTATATTAAATTTGCTGAAATCCTTAATCAAGTAGGAAGGCCACATGTAGTCACACAGGAAGCCATTGGCAGAAAGTATAATTGCTTATTTTTATGGATATGAATATGTGGTTATGAATATATCAGTAGAAAAGGTAGCCTGGGAATTCATAATTAAATGTAAGAAAATTCTACCCAGAGGCTAACATTGGAATTATTAAAATACCTTTCAAATTTTCCTTTTAATTCAAAAGTCCTTCTGAGAAAACTGGTTTAAATATTTAATGGTCTTAACAAACTTAACCTCAGCCAAAACGTATTAAACTTAAAAAAAAAATGCATTTCCACCTGTCCCCAAGAGACTCACTCTGTGCTTCAGATCATATGAAGAATGTGTAAGGCCTGTCTGCGGTCAAGTGTGGTTGGTTATAAATCTGGCTGGGAAGAGTTTGGGTGAGTCCATGTTTGAAGAATACTTGATATTTAGTGAGCGCATGGTGTTGCATTTTACAAGTTTGCTACTTAAATCCAATCTGTTCAATGGGCCAAGGATAACAAAGAGAAGTAGGAACAGGGTAAGTCATAGTATGAGCCCTGCTGGGTGCAACCTTGGCCAGGCAGAATCATCCTGTGGACACGTGCCCCTGTGTCCTAAGATTTTCAATTAAATGGTCTCTGTTAGGCCCCAGGTATCAGGACTTTTGCAGGCTTTCTACAGCATTCTAACGTGCGGCCTGGATTGAGACTACTTCCCAGAATAAGACAGCGCCTGGCCCCACCTCTCCAGAAGTTTGGAACCATGTAATGAAGAGACTACATCTTAGAATTTCATAATTTAACTCTAGGCTGGAGGTCTCTCTTCATGTTCTTCCCCACAACTTTCTAACAATATTAACGTATGTATGTATCACTTCATGGTTTACAAAATGCATTCACAGGCTTTATCTCACACAACGCTCTGACTAATTGATACTATATCAATTACACATAGAAGACAACCGAGATGAACTTAACCAGACAATCTATCATTCATGATTCGAGCTTATTCAGTACATGCGGTCAGTGGTTGGAAATGTTAAGTTGTCTGCCTGAGATAATGACTCTACAAAAAAAAATGGAAGCCAGGTCATCTCATCTCAAGTATGTTCTTGTTTCTCTTCTCACCTAAACAACTTTTGGAAAACCACAATGCACTTCTGACTTGGAGGAGAATGGAACGATCAAGTAGCCTAGCTCCACCCGGGAACGGGGAGCAGAGGAACTGGGTTGGACACATGGGAATTAAAGTCCCTCAATATTCTGTTTTACAGGAAGCACTGTGGCTCTTGTCCATAGAATAGATAAGTCAGCAGTGCTCACACACACTCTGAGGATTCCACTGTAACATCGCAGATCACTTTGCATTGCACCTATTTATTTTTACGTCTGGTTCACTTTACTGTGAGGTCTTTAGTCTCTGTCGTTCACACAACCACTCAGCAAACATTTATCTGTGCCAAACATTAGACTAGACACTAAGGATGCACAGAATTATAAAAGAATTCAGGAATGAAATATACGATTATGATAGAATGTGGTGAATATAACAGTATACGCATGCAAAAGTGGTAAGGGTTGTGATCCTTGGAAAACACAGTTTTGATGTTATTAGCATCAATTTATTAATATTTGCCAAGCATGTGCTACTTTTACTTCTGGGGAAAAGTCGTCTCTACCTCTTCTTAGCTAAATAAACTGGACGAGGGCTCCATTTCTGTAAGTGTCACTCTCTCACGGATATGGAACCCACGATACTGTTTCCTACTGTGCTGTGTGAGGACTGTAAGGGAAGGCCCATAGAAAACAAGAAAGTACTTGACACAAGTTTTTAACACTGTTAATTCATGAAGAAGAGGGAATATTTTCATCATTTTTCTAACAACTAGATGATCTGTATCTAAACATGAAAGAAGCTTACTTTATTCACCACTGCAAAAAAAATAAAACAAAGCAAGGTCGAAGAAGTATTCTCAAGGTGGTGTATGTGCGTAGTGCCCTTGGCTACTGAACATGGCTGATCTGGTTTCTGCCTCACACACCATGGTCCTGAACATAATGAGAGTCAGCTCCTAGTGGCATCGTGTTTGGATTAGACTCCATTAATGTTCCTTAAGTAGCATGACTTTCAATGACTGCTTCATAACGTAAGCAACTGAATTTATAATTGAGACATTGTGTAATTTACCTACAAACATGAAATAAACCTAACATCTTTTTGAAGAGATGCTGATATGAAACCACTGATTCAATTGCTGTTGGCCAAGCTTGATTTGGGAATTCTTCTAGGTGAAAGAAACACAAACCAGTTAAATATTTTCAGTCTCCAGCCCCAATCTAACAAAGTGCCTTTATTGTGAGACTAGATGACCTCTGAAATGTCAGGGCCCACAGCCCACCAGCAAGAACCTGAACAGGCACAGAGATAGAGGAAGCCACCCAGATTGTCTACAACACACCCCAAAGCTTCCCACTCTCTATTTCCTTACCCAGCTTTATTTTACGTTATGGAATCTTCCACCAAGCTGAAAGCATGTTCCATGTCTGTAACGGTGTGTGATGTTTATTTATTCTGCCTCTCACGTAGGTGCCATGACAGGGAACTCATCTCATTCACACTGTGGCCCCAACATCTAGGACAATGCCCTGTAAATACTGGAACCCAATAAACATTTATTGAATCAACAATGAAGTTGAACTGGTATCCTAAATCATAATTTAGAGGTTGGATTCAGAGGTCCGTGGCTTTTGATATGATGGCCCATTTCTCGCCCACACCCAATGAATTGAAGGAAGAAAATCTTAGAACAAATTGACAAATTTGATTCAGTTTCACAGATAATGTCGTCCCTTAACTTTCTTGCATAGTATTTCTGTTCTTCACTCGTGCAAAGCTCCCAGAGTTTCCTGGACTTTTCTGCCACCATGAGCAGAATTGTTTCTTTCCTTGCCATGAGCAAAGAAACTGGTATGGGCTCTTTCTCTGCAGTTCTTGAGACTGTCGGAGTAAGATGAGGAAGGAGTGAGACCTTCAGAGAGTCACAAACCTTCCCCTGCATTTTGCGTTAATAAATTTAGTCTCACATATGGATTAATACTACCATTTTCCAGGCAATGTTTTACGTTTTTGAGTGTTTATTCCTGACAGACATTAAGAAATATTTCAACATTATGAAGAAGACTTGATGAATTGTAGACATTGTATTCATTTTCAGAGCTGAAAAATAAATAATGCACCATTGGTTCACGGAGGATTTCCTTGGATGGTTCTGATGAAACCCTCCCTCTTCAGACTCCCGTGGCACTGATCAGGTTGAATTCACATGTAAACACAAATCTGGGCATTGCTATGCTCCAGCAGCACTAGAAGGGGGAAGAGAGAAAAACACTAGGGTGGGAAACATTCCAGTTGGGAAGGATGGTGGAGACTGGGAAATCTTACTGTAGAGATTTTGAAGAAAACACAAAATCTCAAAGAAGGAGGAGGCTTGAGACTGTGACTATGAAGAGAAGAACTTTGAAAGGTTTAATTTGTTTCTTTCCCTCTGAATTGGAGAGCAGGATTTCCAGGGATGACCACCCACAATGTGACTGAAAAATATTAAACCTGAACAGGTTGGCGAATCAGGAATAGTGTAAGAGGTTCCACAGCATTTCAGAAACATTAAATTAGACGGTACAAAAATCCATCAGGGAAACCCTATATGGCTCCAGTCACCAGCCAGCCCATCACTCATTTTGTAGTTTACATGTGAGTATAGTCATTTGTCTGGCAGTCCAACAATCTGGGAATCCATTCATTCAGAAAACGTTTATTGGACATCCACTTTTTGGAGCAGACAATGTCAGATTAGCCTGGTCCTACACAATTTGTTTCTAAACCAAAGAATTTCCCGGTCTAGAAAAGCTGCAGTTGTGCAAATTAAAAAGTGTGGGTTACAGTGTAGGATCACTTAACCAAGCAGAGTCATGTCAACGAGGAGGAATAATAAGGGAAATTTTCAAAGATGAGATCAATGATTAAGGACAGCCTTAAAAGTTATTGTCCAGGAAACGACTCAAAGATCTATCAACAAATAAGTGGATTAAAATTTCATAACATAGCCATACAATAGAATACTATTCAAAAATAAAAAGGAGCAAATTACTGATATCTGCAACAACATAAATAAATCCCAAAGTAAATAGAGTCAGTGTAGAAGCTAGACACAAAAGAGTGCCTTACTGTATAATTGCATTTATATCAGATTTAGAAAATGCAAAGACACCTTTACTGATGAAAATAAGATTGTGGTTGAAGAGGAAGGAAGACGGGTATGAGAAAACGATTTTGGGGTGATGAATATGTTAATTTTCTGGATTTATGGTGAATACATATGTAGAAACTCATAAAGGTATATACTTTATGTTTGTGCCATTGCTACAAATCGATGAAACTTAAAAAGGCAGGAAAATAATACCCAGAGAAATTGTAGCAAAAGTAGTAGAATTGTATCTTTGAAAGCAAGGAAGAAGAAATGTTCAAGAAAAGATGTTTTACAAAGTTGTATGGTCCAACAAGATTGTGTGCAAAGAACATAGAATGCATTCCACTGGATTTTGTATTAAGAGGTCTTGATGTCAGTGTGTTGATACATTAGGGGATGATGAGGAAATAAAGACAATGGCAATTGACTTATTTAAATCTGGATTTTAAAAGTGAGGAATAAAATACTAACTAGAAAGAATGTTGCATGACTAAGAAAGATGAAGGTGATTTTGTTGTTTCTGCACTGTTAGGGTAGGGCGCCTGAAGGCACCTATAAACTGAATCCAGCAGACGTGGAAGAGATGAAAGCACAAGGAATGGAACACAGACAGCAGTGACTTCTGACAGATGTTAATAATAAAGGACGCTGTGAGGCAGACATAAAGAGATATGATTGTCCTTTTGGAAGCATGAAATGAAAGAAAGATGAAGGGCCATCTCTTTTTTTTTTTTTTTTTTTTTGCCCAAAACCTCAGCCCCAATTTCTGTTTACAGAAAAACCTGTGTGTGCCTTTTGGATAAATGTAGTTTATAGGGAAAGATTATTGTGTACATGGAAACCATTATGAAGAAAATCACTGATTTAAGAACAACAGATGCATGTTTACTTACCAACATTTCAATAATAAATTCCATTTTAGCCCAAGATGTTGATGGGGAAAGGCAGTGGCTTAAAAGCTAAGGGTAGCTTGAAAGAGAAAAATGGAATCTCGTGATCCGATCAAGCAGGGGCCTCCAGCACAGAACAGATTCACACGGGGGCCAATCCCACAGGAACAAAGCTCCCTCCACAACCCGGCTCAGTGACTGGCCTGGCATCAATCCCACCACCAAACTATTCTAAGCCAAGAAGACTAGGGATCTCCAACAGGAACTCTAATATGTGAGAGCATTTTGAACTAAAGTCTTAAGTGTGTTAGACAGTATTTTTCTCTATCCTTGTAGAATTCCTTTCTTGAGAACCTTGCTGCTGTTTATGCCAGAGCAGACCTGGCGGGGAGCTTGCACCTGCCACAGCATTTGCTTGTATCTTCTGCACACCTGAGGCAGCGTCGACACAGACCACAAGGTTTGGGGGCTTTCCCGTCCTTCATTTGCCCTGGATCTCAGGAGACATTACAGTGAAGTGGCTCTGGGGGGAGAGATAGAGGAGAGAAACACAGTAAAAGAGAGGAAGAGAAGGAAGATATTGTTACTGGTGCCTAAATAGCTTTTGGGGAAAAAATAGTTGCTATATAAGACATAATAAGGTATAGCAGTATTTTGAGAAGTTTTCTGTATTAACATAATAAATCTTTGGTTGGAATGCTTACTCTAGGGGTTGCCAGTTAACTTTTTTGTCTGTTCATATAATTTATACCTCTTTGTGTGTAGAACTATTGAATATATCATTATTTGTAAAGCTGCTTAAATGTCCAGCTCAGCACATTGCATATATACGAACATAAGTGTTCAAAGAAATAAGTGATTATATACATACACACAGAGAGACATATACATATGTATATATGTCTGTGTGCTAGAAAAAGAAATATAGTGGTAAAGATCATACCTGATTTAACTTCAGTTTTTCAGAAGTTAGCATATAATAGATGTTCAGTAACTTTTGAAAGACTTCAGCATTCCTAAAAAAATTTCATTTTTAAATTCAGTAGTCACTTTCCCTTTCATATGCTATGTGAAAAATGAATAAATATTCTGAAGAGCCAAAAGAAAAAAAGAACAAAAACAGGCAACATTTTTAAAAAGAGAAAGGTAAACAAAACTACTGTCAAAACACACCACTGTTTACAATCACTAATCCTAAATGTTAATAGCTCTATTTCAATTTTCAATACCATTGCATGTTTGTGAGATTAAATGTGTTCCATTTTATGCCCATATTATATAATTTATCATAATGACGGAAGACTAAATGTTTCACTTACTTTGCAAAAATTATCATACACTTTAAGAAATACTTTCAAAGCTAAATGCCACCCACAATTACTCTAGGTCTTCTTGGGGCCCTAAGAATTTCTGCATAAAATCTCATCAAAACAGTGATTTGCTTGGCGTTTGTTGGCATTTTTTCTGAAAGCAGCTGCAGAAGGTGCTACCTTTTGATGGTATGAGACGAATGTGCGGGTTAGAAAATGAAATCAACATTCTTCAATAAGGACCTGTTAGGGAGCCAGGTTCGTAATTGAACAGGTACTGCATACTTTCACCGTGCCTCATAGCCAATAATATCTTCAAAGCTTTGAACATCTTGAGAGAGAATTTCTCTGGAGCTCATTGATCTCCAAGTAAACATATTTTAAAATGATTCAAAGTTAGAAATGCTTTAACTCTTTTCCTGATCCCACTCTTATTTTATATTTTTGCAAGGTATTTAAAAGTTATAAATATTGAAAAGCATCTTGGTGTTTGAAATATAACTTATTTCTATTAAAACATTTTTGATGCCTTAAAGGAGAGTTGAAATACTGGATAATAAACATTTTTTTCTATTTTCAAAAGTCATTCCAAAAACATGAACACTTCCATCCCAACGTCAAATAACTTCAGAATCATGCAATGATTAATAGTGTTGCTTTGCTCTCAACACCCTCCAACAGTTCAGAATTCCTCAGTCACGTTTCTCTGTGCCTTGTAGTTGTTGACAGGGAACAAGTTTCAATCACAATATTGTGTAGTGATTTCTCATCATCCGGTACTTCTTTTAAGTCACCAATATAATTTTGAGCAGCCGGAAGCTGTATTAACGACAAAAGATTACATGGGAATATTATTTATTTATTTGTTTATTTATTTATTTATTTATTTATTTATTTATTTTTGCAGTCCAGGAGATTAAAGATACAATTCAGATGAACTGTTACAAGGTAACTCCATGTCAACAGCTGAACTCTGATCGGGTCAAGGGATACATTGGCAATGAAGGGTATGTAAACATCACGTTTCCTCTGCAGGCAGAGATGGATGCATTTTAAGGAGGAAAATTAATTCATACAAAGTAGAAATACATAGGAATCATAAAATCCAGAAGTAGGTACACAGGAAGAGGAGACGCTTTGCTATTTCTAAACATAACCATCAACACGAAAAATTCTCATAAGGGAATAGTGATAAGAAAAATATTCAGAATTCAGGATAATGAGAATATACGACTTTTCATGTCAACGTACACTCAGAAATGAGTTGTGACCTTTTTGAAGATAAATATGTCCTGCTGTTCCTCCCTCAGAAAATCATAAAGCTGACAGCCAGAGGCCTGGCTGGGGAGTGGCTCCTGTGGGGCAAGAGGTATCCAGCAGGAAGAAGGCGAAACCCTAACAGCCTCCGCTGGAGGCCAAAGCCAGCTTTCCTAGCTGGGAAAAGCACCTCCAATCCCAGCACACGCTGTTCTGTAACAGAAAATCCTTCCCGTGGACTTTGTGCTCCCAGTGGTAAGGAGCACAGATGGGCTGGTCCTATGCAGGGTTCCTGTTCCTGCCCATGGGTGTGTCGAGGTGATGGCTCCTCTTTTCCCCATCATCAAACACCCAGAGCCCCGGATCAGTTTTCCACAGCGCAGGGTGGAGAGAGGGAAGGAGAAGGCCGCTGTTCATCACCCTGGTGCCTGGTCCCCTGCACCGGGCAGAGGCCTCTCTTCCACCGGGAGCCTGGCCCCGGCCCCTTGGCTCGGTCACTGAGAAGTGCCTAACACAACCTGTCACCCACGCTCTCCTCCAGCATCCCGAGTCAGCCACTCACAGCCATTATTCTTTCCACGTGAAACTGTGAAATGAAGACATAGAGGGAGTGGAATTAAAGAACGGGCTATTAATAGAATTACTTTAAAAAGAGTTTCACTTTAATACAAAAATTGATTTCATTCAAAAAGGTAATAATGCACATTAAAAATTTAAAAGTATCAAAAGATGTACGATTATCCTCGACATTTGGGCACCCACTTTACTGCCTCAAAGTCAAATATTGTTACTAATGTTTTATGTATTATTAAAGGGTTAATTTTAAATATAAATAGTAATTAATTCTGTCGGAGGAATTATAAGGTTTTTTTTTAAAAAAAATTACTCATTTGGAAGAAATGATTTTAATCTTTCAAAAGGAAGCTTATAAAATATTGATAAAATGATATATATCCTAACATTAAATACATGGATATTCTATAAATATATGTGTGAATTTATACATATCCTATAATTATCCAAGTCTAAATGAGGAAACATTCAAGATTTTTATTTCACCAAAACGGTTTTAAGGGTTAAATTGTACTGTAACGATTAAAGTACAGAAATTATGTGTGTTAAAACAAAATGGAAATGGCAACCAGGCCTGAAAAATACCTGGGCAAACGAAACCACTGAGGTTTTAAAGACACAGATTTTCTCGTTAGTACAACTTTTCATTCATATCAATAATTCATAGTTAAATAGATCTTTACATGTTCTCAGTCAATATGACTCCATCATATGAGTTCATTGTTGACATTTACGTGTTTCAAGAACATCATAATTATTGATGGAAAGAGACGACATAATTAGGAGGCAAGTAATTTTGACATAACTACTAAATCTGAAATTTTCTATGAATAGTTATGTGACCCAAGTCTCAATTTCATACTCTCTAACATGAGAATGTTGGACTTAACAATTTACTGAGCTTTTTCTAAAATCCTATGATGGATTGGAACACATTTCGAAAATATAATCAAAAGGAATTATTTTACAAAAATGCCACATTTAATATAGCAATTAGATCAGACTGATACATGTTAAGATTTGATCCAACTGATTGTTCAAAGAGGCGTTATTGAAATATTTTACAAAAAGTAGACCGCAGTGCCATGCTGTTGCTTATTTATATTACAGGAAACATCACAGCTGTGAATAAAAGTCATTATTCTGTCGTAACTCATATATTTATCACAAGAGATGCAATGTTTATTTTCCTTAAACAGCTAGACCTGAGAAGTAGCTCATGTCCAAAGAATCTTTTCTACTTTTACGATAACAGCAGATCCCCGGCTGTCACCTGTGTCCATAAGCGACAGGCTTCTGTGGCTTGAAATCAGCTCCAAGGGTCCTCATTCTGTAAAACTTAACTTCCCATCACTATGTCTGGGGGAATTATTCATTTCATTTGTTTTCCATAAAAAAATTATTATTATCTTGGAAAGCAAAATTTCCCATTAAGAACAAAATCAGTTTTTCAAAAATACAGTAAGCAGTGCACAAAATTTTTATTTTATCCACAAAAATCTGGATGTCTGAATATTAACAAAATTGGAGAGCAATATTAATTTATAAAACAAAAAGAAAACTTATATTCGATGAAGCAAAAATTAAAAAAAATAATAGTGATGATGTTCTAAGGGGTTGAAAACATGTCTGTAATTTCAAAAGGGTCTGTTTATAAGCCTAGGGACAAGTTGCACCCCACTCATTCCCCACAAGAGACCTTCAAAATGTGGTTATAGAAAGACCCTTCCTGAAGGCCTAGGAATTTTCACCAGGGGTTAGTCACTGACCTGCCCCTGGGGGAGCCCCCACTGCAGGAAGAAGCCAGAGGAGCTTGTACCTGCTGCAGACTCTCCTTGAACCACAGGGCCCCCACCTCCATCCCAGGGCAGAGTATCCTGGTACTGCTGAGGGAGATGAGACACACAGATGCGCGTCTGTTTGGTCACACCTGTGAGGACAGGTTTGCAATGGGGAGGCAGATCTCCCAGATCGCATTGCACCTGACATGGAAATACACCCCACTGCCCATCCACACACAGCTAATCATACTCAACAATGACAAGCTGACTGGGTCAGGCCACGTGGACATTTTCTCAAGACAAAAATTTCTTTTAGAAAACACATATATCAATAGTCCTTCTTAAGTAAGTCAGATGAATATTTTAATACCTGTAATAGGATTTAGCAACAGAAGACAAGACATACTTTAATGTTAACTGATGTTTTATAACATCACTGTTGTTCCTATTAAATTTGAAAAATGTTACATGTATACATATGGCTATACATTTCTTAAATATTGATTAATTTGTATTGCCATTATACTTTTAAGATTGCAGGCTATGTAAAAATGCCAGTTTATTTCACATAAATGTGTGGTCAAGGTAAAAATGGATAGAATCACAGAAAAATTGATTTCATGAACTATTTTTAAAAAACTAAAGACATGCAAGTTTCTCAATAAGGTTTTGGGAAAATACACGCTTTCCAGGATTTTCTTTAATCTTTTGGGAAGTAAATGCTAGCTAATAGGTAGATCTTAGGTGATTCCAAAAACATTCCAAGTTAAAATGTTGGAAAAAAGTCTTTCTGGGTCCATTCTCTGCTCAAACTAAATAATCTCAGAGCACATGAATTGTTTTGAAAATGTGAATAAAGGGCAAAAAAAAAAAAAGAAAAACTAAAGCATCAGAAATCCTAATGCCATCCTGGGACTATGCGTAGAAATGTCACCCTCTTCAACTAGAAAATATGAGCAAAAACACAAGTAATTTGGAAAATAAAACACTGAAGCTGGCTAATGTGTTAAACAATGTTGCAAACTCAAAATATCCAGGCATTCATCAAATGCAGAAATACTCAAATACTTTACAAGAAACTGAAAATGTATTCCAACTAAAAAATTGTGTTGTATAATATTTTTTAAATGGCAATAGAAACAATGCAGAGAATACGGGGGTTTTGCTGGTTTTGTTTTGTTTTGTTGTTTTTTGAAGATAGGGCCTCTCTCTGTCACCCAGGCTGGAGTGTGGTGGTGCCATCCTGGCTCACTGCAGCCTCGACTTTCTGGGCTCAAGCGATCCTCCCACCTCTGCTTCCCCAGTAGCTTGGACTACAGGTGCATACCACCACAACCTGGCTAATTTTTGTACTTTTTATAGAGATGGGGTCTCACCATGTTGCCCAGGCTGGTCTCGAACTCCTGGGCTCAAGATATCCTCCTGCCTCAGCCTCCCAAAACTGGGATTACAAGCATGAGCCATGGCCCTCCGTAAACAATGCAAATAATTTGATATGTTGGAGACTCTTGGAAAGCTTTAATGATATGACAAGAAATTTGCCTTTTTTTCCCCCATGCCTTTCCTCTCAACCGTCCTCATTTCAGAAAGCTTCCTAAATTATATGAAGTGGTTTAAAGTTCCTGTCACTCTGCTAAGCAGGGCACAATACATCATGGTGCCAGGCCCTGCCCAGCTTGTCCGTGGTGGGGCCTGTGTATCCCCCAGCCCCCGGCGGGCGGCCTGTCACGCACACTAGCTGCTTCCTGAACACCTTGTGCCCCTTCCCCTGAGAGGCCCTTTAGGACACGGGTTCCTCTGGCAAGAATGTCCTCTTCCTCCCCTCCTTTGTGCCATTCATTTCTTCTCCTGCCTCCAAGCTCCATTAACATCATTCCTATAAGTCGTGTTTCAATTTCCAAAGTCTTGCTTTGTCGTCCAGGTTAGAGTGTAATGGCACTATCTCAGCTCACTGCAATCTCTGCCTCCGAGGCTCAAGTGATTATCCTGCCTCAGTCTCCTGAGTAGGAGTAGCTGGGATTAAAGGCGCCTACCACCATGCCTGGCTAGTTTTTGTATTTTTAGTAGAGACGGGGTTTCACCATGTTGGTCAGGTGGGTTTTGAACTCCTGACCTCAAGTGATCTGCCCGCCTCTGCCTCTCAAAGTGCTGGGATTACAGATGTCAGCCACCATGCCCAGCCCCTCCAGTATTTTCTTTTATAACAAAGGCTCTCATGCCCATGCAGGAACAGGGAGTAAGATAAGAAGTCAAGAGTTGGCACTCCAATTTGTCTAAGCAATTATGCTGTTTCAGCTTACAACAATTCCAAGAGATAATAATGCTGGTCTCTATTAAACAGCTAAGGAATCCACAGCTTTGACCCTTATGTCACACAACTCAGGAGTCTCCAGGGTCTCCCCCAGGCCTCTGTGCCTTGCAGCCACGTCCCCATCACACAGGTGTACACCCTTCGCTGTGGACTCCAAAAGCCTGCTGTGCTCTGGTTACACATTAATGACCTGAGGCTGTGGCCTTCTGCTACCCTAGAAAGTGGGTTTTGAAATTCTTCCAGCACAATGAGTCCTTCACATGCTAGACCAGTCCAGCTGACAGGTGCCCAGCCTGGAACAGCACGCAGCAGGCTTTTGCTTATACGAGAGAGAAAAACAGACAACAGGGCTTTGTTAGAGTGAATTCTAGTTGCCTATCTCAGATGTTGTAATGTGGTTCAAGAAAGGACCTGAAGAAAAGACGCCGAGATTGTCTTCTGTACTTCGAAAAATGGTATAAGCAGGGGAAGCTGGTGAGAGAGAATTTGAAAATAAATAGCTGTATGTATATTTACATCTGTATCTCTGTCTGTACCTTCATCTCTATTTTATTTCTGTCTCTGTATCTGTGTCTATTAAATATCTGTGTCTCTATCTCTGTCCCTATCTGCACATATGACTCTATTCTATCACTGTATCTACAGCTACCTGCATAGCTCTGTCTATATCTATAACTATATATCTACATATCCAAATCTATCTGCCTGATCTTCCCAAGAGAACCCTGGCGGCACACAAGGCTCTGTGGGTCACCCTGCACTGCCTTATCTCAGAGTGTCCCATTTGAGTTCTTAAGATTCGTTAGACCTTGCCTTACCTGAGGCAAATACTTATAGGAATTATGGCAAATTTTCCTGGGCGGAGCTTTCATTATTAGTTTTTGCAGATTGTCTGTGTCCTGGGGGAATGCTCACATATTTATGGGGCTGTTGTTTTTCCATTTTTCTAATTAAATTCAGCACAAATTTTCCTCTGATAGTCTCATGTAAAACCTTAACCCAATGCTTAAGTTTGGCCTTGGAGGTAGTAATTCACCTATCCACTGATTCAAAGATTCAACTAGTATTTATCTAACTCCTAGTGAGGTAGGAAGCAGAACTTGAATCTGAAAGTAGGGCTTGGACTCCAGACCAGATTGAAAGCTGCCAGAAACAGGGAAGATGCAAAGGCACCTCTCCCCAAGACACCCCACCAGTGCCATCTCAGTTTGCTGTTGCCATGCAACACCTACAAATTGCTGCCCCTTTCCGTGGCAACACTGAAAGTTCCCACCCTTTGTCTAGAAATTGACGCATAACCCGCCCCTTAATTAGCATATAATTAACAGTTTGAACTTTGTGAAAAGTATTTCTGGGTCCATTCTCTGCTCAAAATAAATAGTCTCAGAGTATATCAATTGTTTTGAAAACATGAATCAAGAGCAAATAAAACTTTTAATGTAAAGCGTCAGAAATCCTAATGCCATCCTGGGACCATGCTTTCAAATATTGTCCTCTTCAATGAAGTCACGTGAAATATGAGCAAAAACACAAATATGAGTGCGCGTAGCTCTGAGCACAGCACTGCCTCTGAGCTGCCACTCAGCACACGGCCTGTGGGGTCGCCCTGCTCTGCAAGGAGCAGGACCTCTGCTGCTGTCGTGCATTGTCACTTCAATAAAAGTTGTTATCAACACCACTGGCTCACCTTTGAATTCTTTCCTGGATGAAGCCTAGAACCCTCCCAGGCTGAGCCCCAATTTTGGGTTTGCTCGCCCTGCAACAAGAGCACAAAGCAGGGACTGTTTCATGCACCTCAACTGGCTGCAGCTATCCTGACAGCTCTGGGGCTCACTTTTCTCTCCATCTGATAATTCCTCTAGGGATGTACCTGCTGCTGGGTGACACCTCAGTGATGTGTGCAGCACCTGTTACCTCTGGACTGGCTTTATGGTGATATAAAATCCTGTTCTGTGACATGTGGCTGGTGTTATTCACTTTGTAATTCTTTGGGGAAGCTTTCCTTTGCTGGTGAGTATATAATTATCTTCATTTTCTTCTAATTTCACTGAA
Organism: Homo sapiens; assembly: GCF_000001405.40. Classification (NCBI taxonomy): domain Eukaryota; kingdom Metazoa; phylum Chordata; class Mammalia; order Primates; family Hominidae; genus Homo; species Homo sapiens. The sequence goes on along the minus strand of NC_000008.11, from coordinate 2,510,882 downwards.
ATATAGTCTTCCTTCTTCTGAAACAAAAATCACTACATGCTCCTTTTATTTCTATAATTCATTTTTTAAAAATGTCCTACTGTCCTTTTTTTGTTCAAATTAACTCTTCACATTTTTACTCTCACAGCAGACTTAATTCATTTTCACTTAAAATATGCATTATAGTCAATATTGGATTGGAAAGTATAGCTTTGTATAAGTGATTACTGTAATGCTTCCTAGTATACTAGTTAATTGTAAACATACTGAAGACACTGTTGGAATAGAGTTGGCCAAATCTCTCTAGTTTCTGGATTATGTAGCTAAGGTGTCTATATCTATACCTGTGTCTATCTATCTGTCTCCACTTATCTATCTATATTTAATCAAATTGGTTTGTTTTTTGATTGAGAAAAAGGAGTGTTAATTCAACTCTTTCATTTTAATTAAATTTAAGAATATGGTTAACATATTTTCTTTTTCTTTTTCTTTATTTTTTTTTTGAGACAGAGTCTCGCTCTGTCACCCAGGCTGGAGTACAGTGGAGTGATCTCAGCTCACTTCAACCTCTGCCTCCCAGGTTCAAGCGATTCTTCTGCCTCAGCCTCCCTAGTAACTGGGATTACAGGCATGTGCCACCATGCCCAGCTAATTTGTGTATTTTTAGGAGAGATGGGGTTTCACCATATTGGCCAGGCTGGTCTCTAACTCCTGACCTCATGGTCCACCCACCTCAGGCTCCCAAAGTGCTGGGATTACAGGCGTGAGCCACAGTGCCTGGCACATATTTTCTAAAGAAAAAAATAAGTGGCCATGGTCTAAAATTGTCTACTTTTAACAAAGCACCTGATAAAAATTAATAGTAATTATACTAAATTCTCATGATTCCCAAGGAAAAAAATAATTCTAACAGAAGCTTCATCAGTCCTCATTTTGCAAAAGCTTTTGAACAGCAGTTGTAGACAAATATACCAGACCGAAATGAAATAACTCTATCTCTTAATATAACATGCCACCTATTAATTCTCAGAGTAGTCATTCAAAGATTTACTGCAAAGGAATTTAGCTAGACCTGATGTAGAAAAATAAGTTGAACACAGGACACTTCTATGACCCTCTGGGTCCAAGTCGTGTGGTAATTTTTCTACGTGATGAAGTCAAACTAGCATCACAGCCAGAGGGCGGAAGAGAGGGGCACAGGTCAGAGAGTCGCTGAAGCGACAATCCCCTACCCAGGAGGCTTACAGATGCAGTGAGGACGGCAAATAGACCTTTTAAACAGAGCTAACAAATCTTTTAATACCAAGATAATCTTTTCTGAGCTGGTGAGTTTTAGAGGTCAGATATTTCAAGATTGGAATAAGAAAAGTTCAGCATCTGCCTGCTAAAGAAATTAAACAGTAACATTCAGTTCCAAGTTAAATGCTACGATTCACAATCTCATTCTAAGGTAAAAAAGAGTTTATTAGTGAATTATTTCCAAAAGTCACTTGTCACTTCCAGATTATACTAATGTGTAAAGCATTAAAGGCAGAGGAATATGTAACTTATTAGCGGTATTTAAGAGTGTCTGAGCTGATTTCATTTTATATAAAGAGCAAAGCCCTATCTATAGACCCTCAAGCCTACCCAAGGACAAAAAAAAAAATGGTGAATTTTGTGCTGTCTGAAAGAATCCTTCAATGCGTACTTCAACACAAACCAAGTCACTTAAGCTTCAATTGCCTAAGAAACAAAATCAAGAATTAACAAATCAATTTAGGCATTTGTAAAAATTATCTACTTTCATCTGACACCAAATCGTAATCATAATTGTTTATCTTAAGAACAGATTTACTCGGTATGATGAAACACAACACTGTTTGCTTCCATTAAATATTTTAAGTTCCTAAAGCTAATGGCTGATTTACACACACACACATTATATAAAATATAACATTTAATTTTACTTTTTAATGTTTTCATTATCATTGCACACAGTTCTGGCATAGCAAAAATGGTAATGCTTCCGTCGAATTTTAGTTTTTAAAGACTAGTCATAATATTCAGAAGTGTTTAAGTCTCTCTATAAGTGGTTTGTAACCAGAGTGATCTATGAAACTTTGAGTTGTGCATAGGCCAAAATGTTCAATTTTCTTTTCTTCTTTTCTTCTTTCTTTCTTTCCTTCCTTCCCCTTTCCCTTCCTCACTTATTTCTTTCTTTCCTCCCCTTCTTTTTCTTTTTGTCTTTGTCTCTTTTTTTGCTCTTCTTTGTCATTTTTGTTTTTGTTGTTTCATTTTGCTTTGTTGCCGAGTAGGCATTCAATTATATTATGATGAGAAATATCATCAGAACACATTTTAAAAACTATTTTAATGTGTTAGATTTCTATTAGATGTTTAATCATTTTTCTAAAGAATGTAATGTCCATTACGTTTTCCTGAATATGAAAGAGAAATGAAAGCATTTTAAGTTGGGCATGCACCAAATTCATTGATTCAGCTGGTACATCATATAATATTGTACAATATAATATTACGATATCAATCTGAAGTTTTCATTGCTATTATTATTATTATTCGGCACATGTGAAACCACTCAAAGACCCTCCAGGGCTCTACAGAGTAATCAGTGTGCATAGATTGTTTGTGAGGAGCTGTCACCTTTGTTGGCACCATCGAGCCATTGACAAGGTCACAAACAACGCCCTAGGGCAGCAGCCCCCAATCTTTTGGCACCAGGGACCAGTTTTGAGGAAGATAATTTTTCCATGGACAGGGCATGGGAGATGGTTTCAGGATGATTCAAGCATATTACATTTATTCTGCACTATATTTCTATTATTTTTACATTGTAAGATAAAATAATTATGCAACTCACTGTCATGCAGAATCAGTGGGAGTTCCGAGCTTGTTTTCCTGCAACTAGATGGTATCATCTGGGGATGATGGGGGACAGTGGCAGATCACCAGGCATTAAATTCTCAGCAGGAGCGCACAACCTAGATCTCGCACATACGCAGTTCACAGCAGGGTTTGAGCTCCTATGAGAATATAGTGTCACTGCTGATCTAACAGGAGGCAGAGCTCAGGTGGTAATGCGAGTGATGGGGTGCAGTCGTAGATACAGGGGAAGCGTCACTTGTTCGCCCTCCACCATTCGCCTCCTGCTGTGCAGGTCAGCTCCTAAAAGGCCAGGGACAGATAGTGGTCCATGGCCTGGGGGGTTGGGGACCCCCTGCCCTAGGGGGACCCGGGCCACTGTGGAATTAAAAACACATGGTGCACAGGCTGCCCTGAAGAAGTCACCACGGGAGGACCGACTTCAAAACTACCACCCAAAGCATGAACAAAGTGCAAAACAGCTCAGAGAAGAGAACAAGTAACTTTGGCAGAGGGATAAGGAATTGGAAGCTTCTGCAGAGAAGCTGAGTGTGAGCTGGGAGGTATTGAATAAGTAGGAGTTTGTCAGGCAGGAACGGCAGTGAGAACCCTGCAGACAGGCGGGATAAGGAATTGGAAGCTTCTGCAGAGAAGTTGAGTGTGAGCTGGGAGGTGTTGAATAAGTAGGAGTTTGTCAGGCAGAAACGGCAGTGAGAACCCTGCAGACAGGCGAAGAATCACCAGCGGAGAGTGATACAAAAGCACCGCTAGGTCTGTGACGTCAGCACATTCTCCTTCAGAGAAGCCAGACACTACTCAGTGTGTGAACTCAGCGCACTCTCCCCTACGGAAGTCGGACGCCACTCAGTCTGTGACCTTGGTGCATTCTCCTCAGGAAATCTGGACACCACTCAGCCTGTGACCTCAGCACAATCTCCTTCAGGAAAAGCGACACCACTTGCTCTGTGAACTTGGTGCAATCTCCTTCAGGGAAGCCGGACATCACTCAGTCTGTGACCTGGGTGCAGTCTCCTCAGTGAAGCTGTGCACCACTTGGTCGGTGACTTTGGTGGAATCTCCTCAGAGAAGCCGACACCACTCGGTCTGTGAACTCGGCGCAGTCTCCTTCAGGAAAGCTGGACACCAGGTCTGGGACCTGGTTACAGTTTCCTCAGGGAAGCCAGCCAACACTCAGCCTGTGACTTCCCTGCAATCTCCTTCAGAAAAGCTGGCGCCACTCGGTCTGTGACCTCAGTGCATTCTCCTCAGAGAAGGCGGCACCACTCGGTCTGTGAACTCCAACCAATCTCCTTCAGGGAAGCTGGACATCACTCGGTCTGTGACCTCAGTGCATTCTCCTCAGAGAAGGTGGCACCACTCGGTCTGTGATTTCAGTGCATTCTCCTTCAGGGAAGCCGGGCTCCACCTGGTCTGTGACCTCAGTGCAGTCTCCTCAGTGAAGCCCGGCACCGTTCAGTGTGTGAATTCGGTGCAGTCTCCTCAGAGAAGAGGGGCACCACTAGCTCTGTGAACTCCATGCAATCTCCTTCAGGAAAGCTGGGCTCCACTCCGTCTATGATCTAGGTACATTCCCCTCAGAAATGCTGGATACCACTCAGTCTGCGACCTCAGTGCAATCTCCTTAGAGAAGCCGGGCACCACTTGGGGTAAATTCGGTGCATTCTCCTCAGAGAAGCTGCGTTCCACTTGGTCTGTGACCTGGTTGCATTCTCCTCAGGGAAGCCAGCCAACACGCAGCCTGTGACTTCCGTGCGGTCTCCTTCAGGGAAGTCAGCCAACACTGGGTCTGTGATTTTGGTGCATTCTCCTCAGGGAAGCCATCACCACTTGGTCTGTGGACTCCATGCAATCGCCTTCGTGGAAGCCGGGCACCACTCGGTCTGTGACCTCGGTACCATCTCCTCAGGGAAGCCAGCACCCATTCGGTCTGTGAACTCCGTGCATTCTCCTCAGGGAAGCCGTCACCACTTGGTCTGTGGACTTCATGCAATCTCCTTCAGGAAAGCCGGACACCACTTGGTGCATTCTCCTCAGAGAAGCCGAGCAGCACTCAGTCTGTGAAATCCATGCAGTCTCCTTCAGGAAAGCCGGACACCACTTGGTCTATGACCTCGGTGCAATCTCCTCAGAGAATCTGGCACCACTCAGTCTGTGACTTCAGTGTATTCTCCTCAGTAAAGCCAGGCACCACTCCGTGTGTGAATTCGGTGCGTTCAACTCAGAGAAGCCAGCAGCACTCACTCTGTGACCTCAGTGCCGACTCCTTTTCAGGAAAGCCAGATACCACTCGGTCTATGATCTCAGTGCGTTTTCATTTATGGAAGCCAGGCACCACTCAGTCTGTGACCTCAGTGCATTCTCCTCAGAGAAGCTGGTCACCACTCGGTGTGTGAATTCAGTGCATTCTCAGGGAAGCCGGGTACCACTCGCTCTGTGAACTGCATGCACTCTCCTTCAGGAAAGCCGGACACCACTTTGTCTGTGACCTCAGTGCAATCTCCTCAGTAAAGCCGGTCACCACTTGGAGTGTGAATTCAGTGCATTCTCCTCAGAGAAGCCGGGTACCACTTGCTCTGTGAACTCCATGTAATCTCCTTCAGGAAAGCCGGGCTCTGTGACCTTGGTGCATTCCACTCAGAAATGCTGAACACCACTCAGTCTGTTACCTGGGTGCAATCTCCTCAGGGAACCCAGGCACCACGTGGTGTGTGAGCTTGGTGCAATCTCCTTCAGAGAAGCCAGGTCCATTCAGCGTGTGACCTCTTTCCACTCTCCTCAGGGAAGCCAGCGCCACTCGGTCTGTGAACTCCATGTGAAATCACCTTCATGGAAGCCAGACATCACTCGGTCTGTGACTTCGGTGCAATCTCCTTCAGGGAAGCCGGGCTCCACTTGCTCTGGAAACTTCGTGCATTCTGCTTTAAAGAAGCCGGGCCGGCGAGGAGGGAGGACGGAGGACAGAGGCCAGGCCAGCGGCTCTCAGAAAAGTCCTGTGTTGACTTCTGTGCGATGTGTCTTTATGGATTGGCATCCAACAATGTAGGGCCCTCATATTTCTAAACAGGTGACTTAAAGGATTTTAACAGTGTACTCCATGATGTTATGTTAAGCTTTCATTTTAAAAAATCTGACTTAAATATGCATCTCTTCAACAAATAATTACAGAGCCCAGCACATAGGACAGTGCTGTTGTGGGTGCTAGGAATGCACCCTGTTCAGTCAGAGGCTGCCCTCAAGTGGCTTCCCAGATGGGAGGAAGGAGAGACATCAGGCCCCACCAAACCAGCAAAGCGCTGCCTCCTGGGACGAGCTCCCTCCCCGGACAAGCTCCCTCCCAGGACAAGCACCCTGGTGGGAGTCAGGCAGACGTCTGTGTTGTCCAGATGTGAAAGGCCTGTTTCGAAAATGAATCCCACAGGCAGAGAAGATAAAATGGGGTCTAGAGGCAGAAAGTATCCTGGTGTGTTTGGTAAATGACAAAACCCCTTGTGGTCTGAGCTGGGGCAATAGTGTGGAGGGGAAGGCTGCTTCCTCTTGCTTCTATTTGGGGCATGCTTCCAGGAAAGAGCAGGGCAGGGGAGGTAAGATGCCAGTGCCAGGGAGGCCCTGGAACAGCAGCAAGGAAGCCCAGTGAGCACTGGCGGGACTGCTGGCAAGGCTCTGTGGGTTCTGGAACCTTCCACAGGAGTGGAGTGGGAACCAGCAACGGGACTGTGTGCTGTGCCGGGGCCAAAAGGGGAGGGCCACATCAAGGTATCCCACATTCTGGTTCTAAATCATTCTGGTTTTCATGAATGGAGACACACATAGTCCCGAGGCAGCCCCGGGTGACTTCTCTCCATCCTTGCAGAGAGCAGCCTGTCTTCCCGAAACTTCATGCTGCTGGAGGTTTGTTCTCAAGAGTTTCCAGGTTCAGACATCACTAAATTTCTCCTGATAGGAAATTATCACGAGCAACAGTTATACCGTTCTAATGATTGGAACAGCAGTAACAGGAGGGAGAGAGAAAAAGACAAAACAAAACAACACTGAATGTTTACAAAAGTGAGAGTATACCTTTTCAGCCACTTCAAAGTATAAAGCTTGTTTATCCACCAGCAAGGGTGCAGGACTCCAATAGAGAACTTTATTCCAATTCCTTATTTATGCTTTCCTTAACAGACTTCCATAACTCAAATGGACAAATAGGTGGAAAGGTGGTCAGAAGACTGTTGCTGAAGTGCTGATTCTGTCACTAGAGTCTCCTAGAACCCCATCTTTTTGTCTATGAAGCTGACACCATAATCTTCCTCCTAAATCTCCCCAAAAGGCCAACATCATGATTGGATTGGACGCCGGGTCCTGCTGCCCCATGCTGAGGAGTGAGGCCTGTGTGGAGAAGTCACGTGTACATCGATTCGCAATGCCAAGAAGTCTCGTCTCTGAGGCAGAACCTGCATTCTCGGCAAGCCGTGTACAGACTTGCAGTGTTCACAGCAGGCATGTGAAGCAAGCACACAGAATGTTTGAATAAATATCAGTGACTCCCCATAAGGGACTGAAAGAAGTATCCAGATGGAATGATTGGGTTGGTTTTCCACACCACCTATGCCCAGAGACCCACCTTCCCTTCTCCACCATGGTGGATAACAGCCCCAGGGGCCCCTCCCAGTGCCCATGGCCCCCGTCCGCCCACCTGCCCTCTGCAGCCCCCTTCTGGGTCCTCTCCTGCACTGCCTTGTTGGGGGGTTTGAGGCCAAGAACAACTGATCACTTGCCTTTGAATTCTCACAGTGACATAAGCTGAATACAGAGTAGAAACTCCATAAAGGTTTACTGGACAGAAATAACATAAAGTTTTAACTGGTGGGCTCAACAAACAAGGCACGTCCTTTGTCTTCTATTAAATCTTTCAAATATTTGATGCTTTATTAACATTTCACAATGAAAACGTTGACAATAAATCTTATTTATAACCATTCCTAAGAAACCAGGCTATAAAAAAAATGAGCTTTTTCCCTCCTTGCATTTCAAATTTCATGTGCCCATAATTTAAACCAAATTCTATTTCGACTGCCTGTTTCTTAATCCTAATAATGTAAATATTTTCCTACGCATAATAATTTTTGGAGTATTCTGCCCGTCATTTAAAATTATGCTACCCTTCCTATTAGGCACAAACTATCTTTCAAGACCTCCCTGGAAATAATGTTTTAATATACTACAATTGAGTTTAAATTGTCAAATTCAATTATTAGAGCCATTTCTTTACTATTTGAGCAAGTTTTGACAACTGTAAACTTTGCGACCTAAACATAAAACATGACAACTGATTATAACATGATCTCAAATGTACCCCCGTTCTCCGGTTTCATTAAAATATTAATTTATTTTCTCGATTGTGAATATTTTCAGCATTCTGGTTATAGGGTCTTTATTAGCAATGACATGAATCATGAATTTTTCATGTTTATGATATTGCAATTTCCCTGCAGAAGCTGGTATTAATGTAAATACACTTAGAAGCAGATCAGTATGAAACAACAGTTTTAAGTGCAAAATTATAAAACACAATTCCTCATTGTGTTTTGAGGAGGAAAGCTTGCCCTAAAAATATGTATCAGAAACACTCCTGCTTGTATTTCACCTTAACTGGGTTCATTTTAGCACTCTTGGGAACTCCAGCACAGTTTCTCTTCTGATGCAGTGGTGTCTTAGTACGGAATGCACTCCTGCAGGGCTTCCTGACCCATCAAAGGTACTTCCTGTAGAATGCACTCCTGCAGGGCTTCCTGACCTGTCAAAGGTACTTCCTGTAGAATGCACTCCTGCAGGGCTTCCTGACTTGTCAGAGGTGCTTCCTGTAGAATGTACTCCTGCAGGGTTTCCTGACCCGTCAAAGGTACTTCCTGTAGAATGCACTCCTGCAGGGCTTCCTGTCCCGTCAAAGGTGCTTCCTGTAGAATGCACTCCTGCAGGGTTTCCTGACCCGTCAAAGGTGCTTCCTCTACTCATGCTCCATTCAGGTGGTTGACTTTTTCAGCTCCCACATTCAAGGAAATAATGTTGGCCCCACCAGCAACTCGATTGGATTTTCTGTTAAGCATAAAGTTCTGTACCAGTAAAGAATATAGATACTTATAAAGGAGAAAACCTTGAGCACTTAATTAATCTATTCATTGATAAATTAATACATCTTAATCTCTAAAGGAAAACACATTGAGGGTGTTGTTGAAAGGAAAACATATTCCTCCAGAGTCGTAGATATTTCCAAAGTGATCACCAAATCAAGCTACGCCAACAGAAACTCTGATGCTTGGGCCACACTGAACTCGTCTCCTACAGAACTGCCTGTGATTCATGAGGTGCTTCAGGGCAGAGCACGTGATGAGCAGGGGTCCTGGGAGAGCCGTCACCGAGGCAATGTGAGGGCGTTCCTATTGCCTGGTGTACTCCACCTGAGCTATGGGTCTGCTCTATCTCATGGACAACTTGAATCATGCAACTCATTAAATTTACCTTTTTTGAGTTGAATATGGCACTTGAAACAACATCATAGAATTTGAAAGCGGAGCTGTTACCTCAAGTGAACTTGTGTCATTTGGGAGCCAGCCTATGCTGCTTTGATATGAGGGATTCTAAGTCCACACTGCAGTGAAAGGAAGGCTGTGCTGAGTCAGATACCAACCACGAGCGTTCATGTTGGGAGGGAGCATTCAAGTGGGAGGGGAGCCCCTCCATTCAGCCTGCTGTGCTCAGCCCCTTGCAGGAAGGAGCACATAAGTGAGCAAGTACGGTGTCCAGGCTGACAGCTCCGGTGTTGACACAGGAGAAACCTCCATGCAAAGCCTGCAGTGGTGCCCAGGAGGAGGTGCCTGCGATCCCAAAGCCCCAGAGCAGGTGTTGCAGTGCTTTCTTAGTTCTGCCATCCACGGACGGCAGTGTGTTAGCAGCTCAGTTGGCCCCTTGACTCATTGCCTTGAGCTGCTGCCCCGACTGGTAAAGGCAAAGGACTGGTGTGACGGCCTTTCTGGGTACCCACACTCAGTGGGTCCCAAGCTGTTTTCTGACATCCACAAAGAATGAGCTCACACAGACAATTGAAGGATGATGAAGGTGGAGAGTTTTATTGAGCAATGAAAATGGCTGTTAGTAGAAAGGGGAGCTGGAGAGGGGATAGAAAGGGCCGGTCATCTTCCCCGAGCTCAGGTTGTCTCCTACTCTACCAAGTGAGTCTGGGCTCTTTGTAGGCACAGGATGGAAGGTGCATGCTGATTGGTTTGTGAGTATGCAAAAAAGTTTAAAGTGAAGACACCACTCAAAGGCTGGCACAACAGTGTGGAAAACCAATTAGGAAAGGGGAGGTATATGTAAAATAGGTGAAGGGTGGGGATCAATCCAAGGAAAGCACACCAAACAGGAAGATAATTTCTCAATTCAGTCTGAGGATAGGAAAACAGGCTCCCAATCCAGTCTGAGAATAGGAAGACAGGTTCTCAATCCAGTCTGAGAACAGGAAGATAGGTTCTCAATCGAGTCAAAGAACAGAAAGACAGATTATCAATCCAGTTCGAGAACAGGAAGACAGGTTATCAATCCAGTGTGAGAACAGGAAGACAGGTTCACAGTCCAGTCCGAGAACTGGAAGACAGGTTCTCAATCCAGTCTGAGGATTTAACCTGTAGCTCGGCTTTTAGGCTTTAAACTGTCTTTGGCTTGATGGTAGGGGTCATTGGGTACCTGGTACCTGCCCCTATCTGCCTAGGCATTTGGCTGCTTCCTGTCACCATCACTTCCAGAGATCCCAGCCTTTTTCAACAGTCGAATCCTAGCCACAGCCATTAAAACATGTAACTAACTCATTGTTCCTCCTTAGTGGGTGGATTGCATGCTTCCTTGCACCATTTTGTCTATGCAGTTACCTTTAAAGCTGTTGTTTTAAGCCAAAGTCAATTCAGAGGAAGAACTGTTTCACTTGGGAAATTAATTTTTTCATAGAAAGGGGCATGATCAGAAAATGTATGGAAGTGACACAGCAGATGATTTGATTTTCAAGGGCCACCTTCTGGTCCCTATATTTCCATGGGCTTAAAATCTCCCAGGATGTTGCAAAGTGACCCGAGACATACTTAGCAATTTTGCATACATGTTTTAAACATACGAAGCTCAGAACTAAGTCCTTTAGCTATAACTCGAGCACCTTCTGAGGTTGTTATTGTTAACATGGCTGCTACTGCCTTGTTAAACAAATTGAGATCTTTTCCTTTCATTCTTAATTTAAGTGTGATTGACTTTGTTTAGGTTCACAAACCTCAAGTGTAAACCTTGGTCAGTTTTCACATATGTTTAGTCTTGTGGAACCACACCAAGATCAGGATAAAGAACATGTTCAGTACCCCCAAAATATGCACCCACGCTCCTTACGTCAATACTTGTGTCAGCATTAAAGGTAACCATTATTCTCATCTTCACTGACATACATTAGTTTTGCCAGTTTTTGAATGGCAAGAAATGGTCCCCAACAGTATGTACATGCTTGTTCTTGGCGTTCTTTGCTCAACATAATGTTTTTGAGATCCATTCGTGTCGTTGCAAGTAATTTTCTTCTTTTCTTTGCAGTGTAGTGTTTAATTACAAGAACATGCCACCGTCTATTTGCCCATTCTTATTTGATGGCTATTTGAGTTTCTTCCAGCATTGGACTAACGTGGTTAAGGCTGCTATAAACTTTAAGCTGTAGTGTCTTCGGGTGAATACAAATCTGTTTCTGTTGAGTATTTATTTAGTGGTGGAAATGCTGTGTGTTAGGAGATACTTACAAGTTAGTTTAGTGGACACTGCCAGTTTTTCAAAGGCATGAATCAGGCCTACCAGGAAGGAATATGAGAGTTTTGGTTAAAGATGGTTAATATAACTAAACATAGAAAGTAGAACAATATTAGAATATACCAGAATAGTATTTTTTTAAACAACAGAAAACACTAATCATAAAAAGAGACAAGGATAACTGGACTACATTAAAATTGAAAATCTCAGCTTATCAAAAAAAGTACCATAAAGAGAATGAAAGAAAAAGCCAGAACAGAAGAAAAGACCTGAAATCTATTTATCCAACAAATGACTCCTACCCTAGATGCATGAACACCTGCTACAAATTATTGTGAGAAATGATAAACAACTCCATTAAGAATAAGCACAGGACTTGCGCAAGCTCTTCCCAGAAGATGCCAAATGGTGCACTCACAGCCAAGAGCTCAAAACCATTCGGCACGAGATAAATGCAAATTCAATCATCAAAAATATATCCTCGCCAGAATGACAAATGAATATAGCTGGCAGTCTCTAGGGCTATCTAGATGTGGAAGTTTACTTTTTACACTTTTCCTTGTAATTAGGATAGGTTTAAATACGTTCGGCCACATTTGGACCTTATTCCTTTTGACATACAATATTCTCTAGTTAGAAAGCTGAGCATGGGAATACTAAAATTAACACCTCTTGGTATAACTAGCCAACACAGGAACTGGTGTATGCTATATGCACAGTTAAAAGGTTAATAAAGATTTTGGGTAGATCAATAGTTATATAACTATACCAAAAACAAACAAAAAAACTCTACTGAACGATAAACAATGATTTGATACTTTAATCCATTCTACAAAAATCCAGCCAAACAGTAAGTTACCCTGTGCTTGAACGTGTCCAGGGATAGGACACACTGCCTCCTGAGACAGTACGTTCCTTCTTTGGCCAGCTCATAGACCTTTCAAAGTTTTTCTTAGAAAAAAATATGCCTTCCAATAACTTCTATAAGTTAGTCTATATTTCACTTACCAGGATATATAAAGCCATCATGTTATTGACTTTTCAAAAATAACTATCAAATTCTCATTGGTCTATCTATACTTTAAAACTCAATAGTCATTGGTCCAAAGACTAGAGTCACATTAAATAAAGCTAATATGTGAACACAATTTATAATGCATGAGGTCCAATTCTCCCCTATAACTCTAAGAAGGTGCTAGACATTTCTCTCACAACGCAAGATCTTAATCCACACCCACAGTTTCCCCTGGTGAAAGGTAAGGACCGGAATGATTGTCCTGAACAGCAGAGGTGAGCCCAGTTGTGATTTAATGACTCCAAAACACAGGGCAACAAGAACAAGAACATTTCACTCTGAACGTCTCAGTACGGAGCTTCTGCTTCTGCCAAAAGATTTCCTGCAAGTTTTGGGAGGGGACCCCTTATGCCAGTTACAAATACTGCTACAGGGCTCACTCCACGGCAGCTGAGCTGAGCCCCCAGGATGCGCAGAGGCTGTGGGTGGTGGGTCTTGTCAGTGCAGCCAGGAACCGTGGGAAGCCTTGCACAGAGGAAGACATGACCTGAGAGTGCATTTAGCTGCATGTCTTCCCAGCTGTGGACCCCAGTGACAACTGCACACTCGGGATTTCTAGAAAGAGAGGGTCGCACATTTGCATGCTCCACCAAACCACAATTCTGTAGCTTGAGAGACTTGCAGACAGCAAATATCCTTCCACCTGGCTAACTGTCTGGGAAGCCACACAGAATGACCCCACAGCTGGCTCTGTCCTGAAGACCGCCTGGCTCAAGGTGCTGGTCTGACTCTGTGTCAGGCAGCAAAGGCCAGTGTGTGCCCAACATTTCCACGTGGACTGGTGCCTTAACTGGGCTGGCATGCCCCCAGGGCATGGCTACAATGGAGGCACAAATTCCTGTTGCTGTCTCTGTCCGGATGCATCTCTGAAGCTTACAAAGCAGCGGCTTAAAGAGAGTGCCCCTTTCTCCCAGCACACTGGCCTGCCTTCCTGATGTTCACATTGTCACAGCTGCTTACTCTATCCAACGCTGTCTTTGGGTGGATATTTACAAAATGCATTCCTAGTGTGATATCAAGAAATACACATTTTTCAGCAAAATGTCCACCTTTTGCAACACGATAGAATTTACTTAGCAGATCAGTGCAACACAAACGACGATGTGACTTTACCCCATATGCATTATTGATGATGCTCTCTTGACCCCTAAAACCAAAAATGTGCTGTTGTCCCATAAAGCCAGATTTCAAAAAGAGATATGTAATGTTTGTGGGGATTTTAAAGCTCCTATCCATCAAACCTTGATCATATCAATCTAATGTTATTTATGATATTAAATGGGTTCAGATTAATCAATCTAACTGCACAACCTGTCAGATGCCAGACTGTCCTTCTGTCTTTCTTTGCATGACCACACACCTGAGATGGAGTTATGTAGGCTCCTCCATTAATGGACTAATGGCATAACACCAAGAGCCATCTCGGTTTAATACCCTCTAACACGATGATTTATCTCCCTCACACTGTAACTGGCTGTGTTCTTGTTCCCAAATATTTGCTGCCCTGCCTTCTCTTCCTCTGCCATTCCTGTCCCAGAATTGGATGTAGTGTGTGCACAATTTCTCACCTGTGTGGAGCCAGCTAGCACCCAACCATCAAGTTTCTCCCCAAGGCAATAGGTATAAAGATGGCTCTTCCAGCTGGGGCACCCAAGTGCAGGTGACTCAGGAGAGAAATGCAGCTGTAAGAAAAACCATCTGCCTGTGAGTCACTGAGACTTTGAATCTGTTGCTGCTACAGAATGAGTGAGTTGACCCCAGAACAAAAGCTCCATTCCCTCCCTTGTCCCCCTGACTCCACCACTGTGAGAATAGGTGGACAGGCAGATATGAGTGAAATTGCCTTTGCAAAATTATGACTGAGACAGTGAAAGAGATCTAACTTAATTACAAAATTATGCCTTTGCAAAATTATGATGGAGACACTGAAAGAGATCTAACTTAATTGATTCCATCTTGCTTCTAACCTCCAAGCTGTCCTTGTTCATTCCTGGGCATAGGCTGAACTAACTTTGGGAGGAACTTATAGTTTATAGTTTAAAACAAAGATAATAACAGTCCTTTCCCAAAGCAGATCTCCTTCTCATCTGGGGATTAGATTGCCTTTATAGGACTAATATTAGCCACAAGATTAGAAATTATGGCTTAGGAGCCATGCAGCTGGAAGCTACAAGAGTCTGACCCTCCCCAAACTGCTCCTAAGATCAGTACTTGATATATTTTGCAAACCCTGCACTTGATGGATCAGCTGGCACCACCCAGACAGATAAACTGGCTCATCTGATCTTGTGACCCCCACCCAGGAATTGACTCAGTGCAAGAGAATAGCTTCAACTCTCTATGATTTCATCCCCGAACAATCAGCACTTCTGGCTCACCGGCTTCCCCCCACCCACCAAATTGTCCTTAAAAACTCTGCTCCCAAATGCTCAGAGAGACTGATTTGAGTAATAATAAAACTGCAGTCTCCTGCACAGCCTCCTCCGTGTGAATTACTATTTCTCTAACGCACGTCTTCTGTCTTGATGAATCGGCTCTGTCTAGGCAGCAGGCAAGGTGAACCCATTGGGCGGTTACAAGAGCAGAGAAGGACTAGGCTCCAAGGAATGTCAGGTGACTGTCAAGGGGCTGGTAACAGGGAAAAGAAAATTTCCTAACATACAGGAGACATCCTGAGCCTGTGGCCCACGACTTCCTAATAAGAACTTAAAAAGGAAGCATTTGACCTTCCCCTGTGGACATGTCCGGGCTTGCGCAGTAAGGGGCAAAATGGTGGAGTTTGACCTGTATATGACCTTCCTGTGCGGGTCCTAGACTGGTAAGGGAAAATTGCCCTTACACAGCATGCGCATAATTTAAACCAACAAATGGCACGTGTGGCCCCTGCAGACGCCAGCAAGACACCGCACGGGGCGATTAGCCAACAACCTGCCCAAAGGGAAGGACGAGGGAAAGAGACCAGGATAAACAACAGAGGATAGTAACTCCATAGTAGCCCTGAGCGACAGTCAGGTGGGGCACTCAGTCTTTGGAGCTGCCTGCTTCATTCTTTCTGAGTGGACTTCTCCTTGCTCCAATACATTCTCCTTTCTGCCTTAAATCTACTTCTGTCTCTTGACCAATTTTTTTCTCCCAAGAAGACAAGAATTTGAGGACTGTGGGGCCAGCCCTGACTCAATGCTGGTAACCCACCATCTGGATGTGTTTCCCGTTGGGTGTGGGGGGCATTGCTATTGCTATTCTTTGTATGTGGTATTGGGAAGTGTATGATAGATTGTCTACAAGTATTCTATTTATTTATTTTGAGACAGAGTCTCCTTCTGTCGCCCAGACTGGAGTGCAGTGGCAACATCTCAGCTCACTGCAACCTCCACCTCCCGGATTCAAGCGATTCTCCTCCCTCAGCCTCCTGAGTAGCTGGGATTACAGGTGCCCACCACCATGCCTAGCTAATTCTTGAATTTTTAGCAGAGACAATGTTTCACCATGTTGGCCAGGCTGGTCTCAAACTCCTGACTTCAAGTGATCCCCCCACCTAAGTCTCCCAAAGTGCTTGGATTGCAGGCGTGTTTCTTAAACAGATTCAGTTAAGCCAACAAAATACCAATTTTCCAATCTATTTTTTTGTAGAGAAATTCAGCATTTTCATTTAACATTTCACAATGTGTTGGCTTGGATGTTTTGAAAACATCAGGTTCTTTCTAATTACAGAGATAATGCCCCCTTCTGTATAAGGTACATTCTAATAAGCAAACTAATTTAGAAATTCACTCTGTTTCTATGTCTATTTTCCTAGATAAAGGTAATTACAAGATCATTTTGTACCTGTCTGTCAGAGACTGTTTTATTGTTTTAATTTATAATTTGTTTTCGTATAATTTAATATTAAGCATTCCTTTAGCTTACAGGAATATTTAAAAGGAATTTGCATTGATTTCTTTGCTTCTCTGGAAGACAAACCTTAATTCAATTCCAGAATAATAATAATAATAATAAAAAGTTCCCATCTTAAAATTGCTTTATTAATTTTTTACTTTGGGTTTTCATAGGGGACCAAATAGAAGATATTTGGCCTTCTCCAAGGCCATCCTGCCGACATACATGGTAGCAAACACTCAGCAAAAAGATATTTATTTGGTTGTTTTTTGCTTTCTATGTTTTTCAAAATTGCAAGGAGAAGAAGAAAATACACAAACACAGGTCTCTGCCTTGAGGTCCTAAAAGCTGCAAATGAGACCTGTCTTACAAGGAAATAAAAAAGAGACGCACTTCAGTCAAAGTCATGTTAGAGGCCCTTGTTTGCAGGTGAAAACTGAGCTGGGATTGAAGGCCAGGCTTTGACCCTGGGCACGGTCTAGGAAGACCAAAGAGCTACACAAGACGCTCTGGGGACATGGTGAGCAGAGCCACCGAGGTGTGGGTCAGCAGGAAGGCACCGTGGAGACACAGCCCTGCTTCTCTGTGACCAGTGCACAGTTCCAGCGCAAACTGAGCTACCAAAGTTGTGTGATCACAGGGGCCTTAGGAGAAGCCCACCATCTCCTCAGCTGGCAAATCTGAAATGATGATCATTACAACCTCTGACAGCCGGGCCGGAGCTGGGGTCGCCAAGGCCGCTATTCATGGTGACTCATGGAACAGAGGGTCCACAGTCCAACTCTTACCTCAGCAGATCACTATCATAACCGCTTCAGAACGAGTGCCACTGTGACTCATCAGAGTGAGACAGAGAAAAAGAGTTTCCAGTAGGAACCTTTGCTCAACGACATTGAAGGCAACCAGAAGATGCTACCTGAAAACATGCCACTCTGGCCTGAGGATTATTTTGAGTTGATGGCAATTGAGGAACAGCAAAGGCAAGGAAAGCTCTAAAACCCTTTGGTAGAGGAAATTCACTTTTACAAAAGCAATTTCTATTTGTGAAAGTGTCCTCTTCTCTCTTACCTGAGAGTAACTCTTATTGCCTGAGATGACTCTTATCTGCATAACAAACCTTTGTAAACGTCTCTTACCTGCATATCCTACTCGCATTCCCATAACTCATCCCCCATAAGCACCAAACTTCCCTTCCTTCATCTCCCTTCTTCTCCACACTTCATCATCCTTAATATCATCTGGAAGCCCCAAAGTTAACCACCTGCTTAAGCCACACTTTTTTCGAAATCCCAGGTGTTGACGTGTCATTACACCTGGTTTTCCTCTTGTTAATTTGTGTTTCGTCAGTTTACACAGAGACCCAGACACGGAATCTCGGAGAACAGATGGAAAAGTAAGTTCTTCCTCCTTCCATACTCCTTGAATTCCAGACAGTGGCATGCCTCGGTTGGCCTCTAAGTTGATCATTGGAGCAGTAAAAATGAGAACTAGCATTTTCTTACATACTTAAAAAAATTAGAATTGCCCATGTACAGATTAAAAGTTTGGAGAAAAGACATTACACATATTAAAAAATATAAAATCCACACCAGGTACAGTGGCTCACACCCTTAATCCCAGCGCTTTGGGATGCCAAGGCAAGAGAATCACTTGCACCTGGGAGTTTGAGATCAGCCTTTGCAACATGGTAAAACCTTGTGTCTACAAAAAATACAAAAATTAGCTGGGCATGGTGACACACGCCTGTGGTCCCAGCTATTTGGGAGCCTGAGGTGGGAGAATCACTTGAGCCCAGGAGGTTGAGGCTGCAGTGAGCCCTGATTGTGCCACTGCAACAAACTGAGAAGCAAGACCTTGTCACATATATATATATTTCTAAAATAGCCAACCAGTACATACTTTTTAATTATTAATAGTATTATCTTTAATACACTTTAAGGTGATTTGGAAATTTGAACACTTCAAAGCACAAATTGTTTTTTGCATTCTTGAGTATTTAGGTAATTTCAGTTGGAGTAACCATGAGCATGAATATAAAAGCTGTATTTCCATTACTTAAGAAATCAGTCTAACAAAATACAAAAATTATTAATTTCAGTCTAACCACATTTATTAATGAAGCCACTTCTATGAGCCAGTGGTGGGAGTCTAGGACCATCACTGTGGGGAAGTCAAAGAAACAGAAGTCATGATTTAAGGCCTTCAGATGGATTATTGGAGGAATACAAACAACTTTAGCCCAAGGACTCTGTGCTGCTGGGTAGACATGCCAGGATTCGTACTGGACTTGAGAAAAGCAGTGAAAATAGTCCCTGGCCCGCGAGCTTGCTCCCCCTCCTCAGGGCCTATCCACTCCTGATCTACCCTGTGCTTACCCCACCCCACCTCTTCCCCTCCCACTTACCCACCCTGCTGGAAGCTTGGCCTGGGAGCTGGGCTTTTAAACACAGCAAAGAGGAGGCCAGGGAAAGCAAAAATAGGACCTAAGTATCAGTGCAGCAGAGAAAAACTGAAATCTGTTAAATCTGTAAGCCAAAAGTAAAAATCCTAAGCCCTCCAATTGACTGATGGACCTTCCTCTCAGCCAAGGGCATTTCAAAGTTAACCTGAAAAACTAGTTCAGGCTGTGATGGCAAATGGGCTTTGGACACGCCCCATTGTACCCCTCCTTTTGGAATTCAGTCACAGCTGTGGCATTACAATCAACACAGAGATCTTAGGGCTATTGAAACAGGCCTTTTGTAACAATAAGACACCAGTTTTCAGCCCGACTCTGATATAGCATCACATGACAGGTAGTTGGCCACTAAGGAAATCAAAGTATTTTACCCCAAAATATATGTTTGGCATATTCTGAAATGGCCCTGCAAAGCTGTCTCTTCTGGGGAAAATCTATGTTCCATAGAGAATACTCTTCTTTTTCCAGATCTTTTCCCTGGCCCAATAGAGAATTAACTAAGAGTCTGGCACCTTTTTAGATCTGATAAGAGCTCTGAATCCTGCCACCTGGAGGAGTCATCTGCATGATAAGGGGGTCTCTACAACCCCTTATCTTAACCCAGACATTCTTTTATATTGATTCCGGGTCTTTAGATAATACTTCTTTTGATCAATTGCCAATCAGAAAATCTTTGCAACTGCCTATGACCTGGAGCCCCCCATCTCCCCCACTCCCATTTGCAGTCATCCCCCTTTCCAGACCAAACCAATGTAGATCTTACACATATTGATTGATGTCCCAAGTCTCCCTAAAATGTATAAAACAAGGCTGTAGCCTGGCCACCTTGGGCACATGTTCTCAGGATCTCCTGGGGCTCTGCCATGAGCCAATGGTCGTTCATATTTGGCTCAGAATAAATCCCTTCAAATATTTTGGAGAGTTTGACTCTTTTCATCAACAAATCTGAAAAGTGACTTGAAAGCCAGAAACAAGAACAAAACAGAGATACCTTGAAGAGAGAGCAAAAGCAGGAATTCATAAGATAATTGCTATGAAGCAGGCAGGAATGACCCCCGCTTTCTAAAATTTGATTGTTAATCAGCCATTGCTCACATGCTAAATAAGTTGGGTCAGGAAAGATTTAAAGCCAAAAGCTGAAGCAAAAATTATAGATTTACCAAAACTAAAAGAAAGCCAAGAAAGAAAAATAAAGGCAGGAAGAAAGAAAGGGAGGGAGGTGGAAAATTTTAATGTTGATTATAAGAGAAACAAGTTGGGAAACTCATTCATATCTTTCCAATTCTATAATTGACCCGTATTTATTGATGTGAACTGAAGATATGTGACATGGTTTGGCTGTGTCCCCACCCAAATCTCATCTTGAATTTTAGCTCCTATAATCCCCCTGTGTCATAGGAGGGACCTGGTGAAAGATAAGTGAATCATCCGGGCAGGTTTTTTCACATGCTATTCTCGTGATAAAGAGTAAGTCCCACAAGATCTGATGGTTTTATAAAGGGTAGTTCCCCTGCACACGCTCTTTTGCCACTGCCATGTAAGATGTGAGTTTAGTCCTTCACCTTCTGCCATGATTGTGAGGCCTCCTCAGCCACGTGTAACTGTGAGTCCATTAAACCTCTTTTCTTTTATAAATTACCCTATTTCAGGCTGGGCACGGTGGCTCACACCTGTAATCCCAGCACTTTGGGAGGCCGAGGTGGGTGGATCACAAGGTCAGGAGATCAAGACCATCCTGGCTAACATGGTGAAACCCCGTCTCTACTAAAATACAAAAAATTAGCCAGGTGTGGTGGAGGGAGCCTGTAGACCCAGCTACTCGGGAGGCTGAGGCAGGATAATGGCGTGAACCCAGGAGGCAGAGCTTGCAGTGAGCCGAGATCGTTCCACTGCACTCCAGCCTGGGTGACAGAGTAGGACTCTGACTCAAAAATAAATAAATAAATAAATAAAATAAATAAATAAAATGAATTACCCTATTTCAGGTATTTCTTACAGCAGTGTGAGAACAGACTAATACAATGTCCAATGTGATTTCAATCACAGCCAATAACAGTAAGTTTATGCATTGGGACATTGGATTTTCCACTTATGGGTGGATGTTTTTGAGATAATTTATATTTTATTATTTTTATTCCCTGACTTTACTCAGGACATCTTAATTTCTTGCCTCTGGGATTTCCATGGTTATAACTCAGTGTTTCTGGCAGTCAGAGTCTCACCACCAAGCATCAGCTTACCTCATTGTCCCACTTAGGTTTTAGGGGTAGAGCCTTTGAGCAACACAAGGAGAGAGGAGGGCCCAGGGGAGAGGGTCTGTGCGTCGTGCCTGGGATAGGCTGATATTGTCACCTTCTGGGGCTGCTGCTGAGAAACTGTGCCTTGGCTTCCACAGAAACAGCAGCAGAAGCCACTGAGGACAAGTGATTGTAGGAGCCAAGGGAGAACTTCCCCTTCACCCTCTGAAGGTTAGCTGAAAAATCAACTTACAAAAGGCAGGTTAATCAGAGAAAATTAACCTGGGCAACACACAAATTAGTGTGTAGACACGGGAGCCTTCAGAATGAAGGCCCAAAGATATAGGGGAAATTGTCGATCTCTATGCTTAGGTTCAGTGAGGTATGGACAGCCATATAGAAATGTGATTGGACAGCCGGACACAGTGGCTCATACCTGTAATCCCAGCACCTTGGGATGCCAAGGTGAGTGGATCACCTGAGGTCAGCAGTTCGAGACCATCCTGGCCAACATGGTGAAACCTTGTCTCTACTACAAATACAAAAATTAGCTGGGATTACAGGTGGTGGGTGCCTGTAATCCCAGCTACCCGGGAGGCTGAGGCAGGAGAATTGCTTGAACCCGGGAGGCAGAGGTTGCAGTGAGCTGAGATGGTGCCACTGCACTCCAACCCGGGCAACAGAGCAAGACTCCATCTCAAAAAAAAAAAAAAGAAAAAAGAAAAAGAAACGTGATTGGACAAAAAGGCCCATGCTGTCGTGCTAATAGACTGACTGCCCAAACCCAGCAAGGCCTGTGGGTCAATATGTTTTTTGGTCTCTCTGAACAGTTTCTTCCTTCTGGGTTGCGGGCAGGATCCTTTCTGGAACGGGGATCTTAGAACCTTCAGTCAAAGTAGGTCAGATGATTTCCTTATCAGTTTTTACACAGAAATGCAGGAGGAAAGTAAGAATCATATTTTTGGGTTTTATGGCTGGTTTTGGGGAAAAGGGGTTCTGGTTTCTATGACCCGCCTTTGGTTAAAGGGATTCTAGTTTCTATGGCCAGCCTCAGGGGAGAAAGGGACTGTGAGACGGGAGGGCAGGAAGTAAGAGAAAACCTTTCGCTCCTGAGGGTTCTTCTGATGTTTTCATTTTGGGGTGTTGTCTTCTGAACCTAACAAGATGCAGAATCAGGAGAATCCCTGGTCTCTGTCCTGCTTCCTGCCTGGGTTTGTCCGGTCCTTAGATGGAATACAGGGAGGTGAAAGTTTAGACCTGGAGTAGACTTAAGGGCAGTCGGTAAGTACATGTAGTATTTCCTGCATCCTTGAATTTGCAGAAAAAAATTGTGCCTTCCTGCATATTTCCAATAATATGGTCAATGTCTGTCTAGATAAGTGATAGCCCGGAAAAGTAATCAACAACATACACCCCTTCTTACTTACCTCAGTTATTAATAATCCAATGTCAATCTATGGCTTTTCAAATAAAACTGTATGCACTGACCATGATGCTAGAATGTGACTACAAGTGGCAAGAGGACAATGGGTTGAATTAAAGAGATCTATTATCAAGGAGAATGAACTCTCTGGCATCCACTGTGTCTGAGATAGAACATTAAAAACGAAACAAAATATATACAAACGTGGCTTGACATCTACTCAAGAAATACTAAGTAGTTGGTATGTATTAGGCATTGTGAATGATGTCAGGAATCAGATGTCATTATCCTCGACTTCAGGAAACTCTTGGGGATATTATAACATTTATGTATTAGCTACCATTTTCTTTCTCTTTCTTTTTTTTTTTTTTTGAGATGGAGTCTCGCTCTGTTGCCCAGGTTGGAGTGCAGTGACTTGATCTCGGCTCACTGGAAACTCCACCTTCTGGGTTCATGCCATTCTCCTGCCTCAGCCTCCTGAGTAGCTGGGATTACAGGTGCCCGCCACCACACCCTGCTAAGTTTTTGTATTTTTTAGTAGAGACGGGATTTCACTGTGTTAGCCAGGATGGTCTCGATCTCTTGAACTTGTGATCAGCCCACCTCGGCCTCCCAAAGTGCTGGGACTACAGGCATGAGCCATCGTGCCCGGCCTCTTTTTCTTTTTCTTTCTTTCTTTCATTTTTCTTTCTTCCTTTCTTCCTTCTTTCTTTTTTCCATCCTTCTTTCCTTTCTCTATTTCTTTCATCTACATCTATCTATCCATCCATCTGTCTCATCTGTGTATCCATCCATCCATCTGTCCATTCACCTATCTATCGATATATCCATTCATCCATCTATCCATCCATCCATCCATCAATTTATCTATCTATCATCTTCTATCTATCCACCCATTCATCTATCTATCTATCTATCTATCTATCTATCTATCTATCTACCTACCTATCTACCCTTCATCTAGCCACATGATACAAGGCTGTTGAATGAAGTGGAGGTAGGGAAGAACTATCTGTCAAATCTGGAATAAGTCAGTAACAAACAACCATCAAACTCTGCTTTTTTTGTAGTTGTTTTGTTTTTAATATTCCTGGAGAGAGTGTGAGAGACAGAGAAAAACCAGAGGCAGACTCATTCTTTCATCACCCTGAAGGCTGAGGCTGACCACTGTGAGGTGGCCACCTTACCTGCCACATGGGCTGAAAAAAATCCACATCTGTGGACTTTTTACAGGTGGGAGAGAGACAGCTCTGGAGAGCTCTGGAGAGCCCATCCTGCACATGTATCCCAGAACTTAAATAAAATAAAAATTCTGGGTGCATATTTATAATAATTGTGCTTGAAGCAAAAGATTCAAGGAGGACACTGTGCGGAAGGGGCTGGATCAGACCAAGAGTGAAGGGGGACGGGGCCATCTTGGGTCTGCAGACCTCCTGCATGTCCTCAATGGGGCCAGGTCACCTAACCTCTCAGCCTTCCTTCCTCATCTGTAAAATGGGGAGGAAACTCCAAAACTCATGTCTTGAATTTATTATGAGGATGAATTGGAAAAATAGAGGCAAAACGCTCACAGAGGCCACATCCTATGTATTGATGGTGGTGATTAATAGTTGGTTCTGCATGCCAGGGATAAAGCAGTGAACCGAGCAGGCAGAAGATCTCGAGTCTTCAGAGAGCTCATGTCAGCTCAGGGAAGATGGACAGCCATCAGATGGGCTTGCCATTAGAGCGCTCAGTGGGTGCAAGAGCTATGTGCAAAATTAGGGCAGAAGAAGAGGGTCTGGGAGGGCTGGGGTGGGTGAGAGATCTAAGGCCATGCCCAGGAGAGACCTCGGTGAGAAGGGCCTTTGGAGAATGGACTGGAAAGAAGGGAGGGAGCCTGGTGGGTGTTTGGAGGATGGAGAGGCAGGTGCCGCTGGGGCAGGAGTGGCCTGGTGTGTCTGGAGAAGCACACAGCCACCGCAGTGGGTGGAGAGAGAGAGGACAGCAGGTAGGCAAAGGAAGAAGTGCTCATGCAGAGCACACAGGCCAGGCATGGACAGGAGAGAGGAGTGTCACATGCAGAGCACACAGGCCGGGCGTGGACAGGAGAGAAGAGTGTCACATGCAGAGCACACAGGCCGGGCGTGGACGGGAGAGAGGAGTGTCACATGCAGAGCACACAGGCCAGGCACAGACAGGAGAGAAGTGTGTTATGTGCAGCCAGTGTTTCCTCGGCCTCTTGTTTGCAGAAGGATCAGGCGGATACAGAGAGGAAGGTAGAACTGGACCAGCGAAGGGGCTCCTTAGCCACCCAGAAGCAGGAGGTGGGTGAAGGGAGAGCTGGTGAGAGCTGACTGACCTGGCCATATTCTGGAGTTAGAGGCAGCCGGGGTTTCTGGCAGATGGACAGTGAGATGCTGAGGAAAGAGGAACCTGGGCAGCCGAGAAGAGGAACTCACCAAGCACAGGGAGGGGACTGAGGTGGGGCAGGGCTGGGGAGCAGGAGGATCCCAGCAGGGTGCCCCGAGGCAGGTGTTGAGAGGTGGGAATCCCTTAAGTGATATGCTACTGTCTGTGTTAATCACTCAGGTGTGTGGTGAGAACACCCAGACCAGGCTACTTAGAACTGGATTTCGATAGCACTCAAATCTGTTGCCAGGGCTAGGACACCTGAATGTTGGGAGAACCACAGAAGACCCTGGGAAAGGGACAGGAAATTCTCTTTGAAAAGTGAGTTTGTGGGCCTGGTGAGCTTCACTTTTGCTCACTTGGGGCTTTGGAAACAGGTGAGATGTCTGAGTATGTGCTCTTTGAGGGCAGGAACCCTTGTTTTTCATCCTGGCTTCCAAAAAGCACGACAGACACACTGGTACAGACAGTCTTAAATATCTGTGGGCCTTTCCTCGCCCACGTGAAGATGAGTTTTCCTGTAAGGAAGGAAACATTTGGAGCGGACAGGGCTGAGAGCTGCCTGGTGGGAGGTGCAGAGTCCTGCACTAGCCGCAACGGGGGAGCAGAGGAACCGTGTCACCTCTCGGAGGGGGGTGACACCGATGGCTCCAGAAGAGAGTCTGCAAATGAGGACACATGAGGCTAAGCCTGGAAGCTCAGGCAGGCGTGCTAGGTTGCGACTCTGCAAATGAGGACACAGGAGGCTAAGCCTGGAAGCGTGGGAAGCTCAGGCGGGGGTGCTGGGTCGCGGGCCGAGGAGTCTGTTTGCTTCCCTGAACTCCTCCGTGCTTTGAATCCAAACACCTGGGCGGCTTTCACTTTCGTGGGGAGTTGATGTCACTCCCCACGGCAATTTGAATGACTGGTTCTGGGACTTGATGAGGACTGGAAGATATTTCTGGTGGTTGTCATTGCAGCCAAGTGTGGAGACCCTGTCTCCGGGAATAAAATTAGGTTGAGAAAAGCTATGGGGTGGACGTGTTTATTCCCCGAATATCACTGGGGTCTTTACCTTGCTAATTCCCAGCTCTATGTTGCTGAGCCGTTGCTAGAGTGCGGTTCATTGAAGGCATCATTTAAACGCCTAGCCGCGAGATTTTATACCACAACATTTTCCCCCTAAAAAAGCATTCATATTACAATGCCAGGCCAGACATGGTGTCTTACAGCTGTAATTCCAGCAATTTTGGCGTCCGAGGTAGGAGGATCACTTGAGCCTTGGAGTTAAAAACTTTGTCTCTACAAACAAACAAACAGACAAAAATTACAATGCTATTATATTTATTTATTGTTTTAAAACTAATTATTGAGTTTGAAACTTTTATTATTGACAACCATTATTCTAAGTAATGACTTACTGCATCTTATAAAAGTCATATAAAGTCTTATAAAGACAGAATCAATTGCTCAACTCTGAAATTATAACCTCTAAGCAACTCGTCTTTCTTAAATATTTCTTTAAAACGATGTGCTGTTCTCTATTTCATTCCTCTTTGCCTGGAATGTAATTTTATTTCTCTTCACCTGGCTCATCTCCTCTCATCCTGAGGCCTCAGATTGCAGGCCACTTCCTTCCAGAGCCGCTTCCTCCCAGAGGGCCGGCGCCTTCCTCCCTCTTCCCCTGGCTGTTAGCGTTCCATCTTCTCTCCCCTGGGGGGCTCACACGTCCTGTATTTTAGAGCTCTCCTCTCTGTTGTATTATTGACTGTGTAGACATCAAATTTCCTACTATGCAGTTAGTTGCAATAGAGAAAAAACAATCTTTTGTTATTATTTTATCCCCAAGGTCTAATGTGTTATTAGATATTCAATACTTATTGAATGAGTAAACAACTGCTGATACCGTGAAGGATATAAAAATGCAAAATGTGATTCTTTCCTTGAAGAACTTCCAATCTCTGGGTGAAAACCATGCACACAGGAAGAGTAAAGGACAGCATGAGATCGCCTATATGAGTTTATGTGTTTACTGCAACGTAAACTCAGAAAGTGCAGAATCCACAGCCATCGTGCTCCCCGTTGTGTGGCCTAAGCCCCGCATGCAGCAGGCGGCAGACAGTGAACTGTGCCTGAACAAACGAAGAGGGAGCGGTGGAGAGGGAAATCTGGGAGGTGATGGGGGATGAGAGGAGCTTGGGCGTATTCTTGAATCACAGTTGAGCAGGATGTGGTTTCTGGGGATGAAACGTATCCTGCTAAATGCCCAGTGGGAAATGGGGGTTTGATTGACAGGCAGGCAGGGACCACTGTTGCCTACAAGGAAGGGAGGACCCAAGAAAGCATCTGCAGCTAATGCTGAGTATCACCGTCATTGTGCTCACCTGTTACTCACAGCGTATGCAGCGCTTCGGGATATGTTGTCCAACTTAATCCTACAATGTAGTGTGAACTGAGCAGAATAAGCACCATTATTTCCACGATATGAAAGAGCGAATAGTCATGAGGGAACTGATGACTGTGTAGAGAAAATGCTGTGTTCTATGGGCTGGTTCCACATTTAATTTTTCCATCATCCTCTGTCTTGTTTTCTTTAAATACATCTTTTGAAGGATATAAAAAATAGATAAAATTATGTATACAATGTCCATAATAGTAGTGCTATTTATCTTATTAAAGGGTTATGAAAGCCATGTTATTCGTGGACATACACATGCTCATTAACAGTAACATATAAGCATGCATCAACACACAAATATAAACATACACATTCACATACAATGCACACCCTTACATATACACATTCACACACTCACACAGGCACACACATGCATGAATCCACACGTGCACACTCACATACACACATACACACACACACGAACACCTGTGCCCATACACACATGCACATGTTCACACATGTGCAACACTCGCATGCACACAATACTCACATTCACATATGCACACACAGGCACATTCTCACATGTACACATATACACTGTCATGCAGGCACACGTGCACAAACATGCATGCACACATCCACAGATATGCACACATGCATAAGCACACACAATCACATGCACACACCTAGTCACACATACACACATGCACAGACACACGCACAGTCTCACATGAGTGCACAGACACATGCTCATACATGCACACATACGCATACTTGCACACTCTCACACACGCACCAATTCTTGCTAGGAATTTTCAAAGTTTCTACACATAAATCAGCGCAGGAAGACAAACACCAGCCCAGAGCAGGGCAGCTGCAATGGGAAGCTCGCCTGAGAGGAGCGGGCATTGCCGCAGGTCACCAGGAAGCCCTCCTTGGGCGCTCGCCTCAGGGCCCGCCAGGAAGTTGTGCATCTCTAGGAGGATCCCACTCAGCTGCAGCAAAGCCCTGCGCCGGGAAGGGAGCTCCATGCCCGCATGACTGTCCCTGAGAGCCGAGCTGCCCTGCCATAGGGTGGCTCAGCTGCTCCTCACTCACATTCATAATTCCAGAAAACAAGATATGTTTGTTTTCAACATATTTGATAAGGTGGGAGGGTGAATTTTATTTCTTTGGGTTACATAAATATGAGTATAAGTAGTATAAGACAAAACAAAAAAGGAATGACCAGATATATGTCCTAACACAAAAATGTACTAAACATTAGGTTGCAATTCTTCTCCTTGACTTTAAAAATGAGGTGAGCACCTTTCTTTACATTGTCAGATGATGTATCTAAGTATGGCTGCAAGCTTTGCATTGAGACCTGTTGGCTGCGGGGTTCATGCTGTCTGTGATTTGTTGTGTGGATTCAAAACACAATAAACATGTAATAGAAATAATTACATAAAGATACATTGATGTGGGTCATCTTTCAGCAACATCAAGCTCTTTAATAAGTTTTTCAATTTTATATGAAATGAAAACAAATTATTCCACCATAGATAATTTCTTACATCCTAATATTGGGGCATTAAAAGAATAAGTTGTGGTATAAGAATCAGGAACGTGATTTTACAATGGTGATGAGAAAGCACTCAAGGAGGCCGTAGCCTGAATGCCGCGTGGCCGCACCTCCTGCGTGGACTCCCCAGGGACTGTCTTGACTCCGACTGGAGCACCGCAGCCGTGCGCCCTCTCCCAGGAGAGCAAGGTGCACCTTTAAAGATTCCAGATGATTTTCTTCACATATCTTTTTTTTTTTTTTTTTTAACATGGAGTCTCACTCTATCACCCAGGCTGGAGTGCAGTGGTGTGATCTCGGCTCACTGTAACCTCTGCCCCCCAGGTTCAAGCGATTCTCCTGCCTCAGCCTCCCGAGAAGGTGGGATTACAGGTGCCTGCCACCACACCCGGCTAATTTTTTTTTATTTTTAGTAGAGATGGGGTTTCGCCGCATTGGCCAAGCTGGTCTTGAACTCGTGACCTCAGGTGAGCCACCTGCCTTGGCCTCCCAAAGTGCTGGGATTATAGGCTTGAGCCACCACGCCCGACCTCTTCACATATATTTGATTAAAAAAAAATCTTCGAGACAGGGAAAGAAAAGAGGAGACGAGGAACAAAAAGAGAAAGGACTCAGATCAACATCCCCAAACGCCGCAGCCGCGACAATCGCTGTGGCCACTAGGTGGCGGGCTTGGTCCGCATTTCAGGCTGTGCGGCTCCTGCGCGGTGGGCGAGGCCTGGTCTGCAGGATTTCCAGGCTTTCTGTCCTGAGCCTCCTGCTTGAATTACGCCTGTGACTTTCAACACACGCAACGCCGTCCGGGGAGGTGAAGAGCGAAGAGGGTATTTTGCTTTGCTGAGTAGCCCGACGTTCCTTAGGAATGAAACCCACATATTCGTCGTCCATTTATTTTGAAGTACTTGGGTGTTTGAGGAGGGGAGACATGTAATATTTAATATACGTATTTTTTGCTTTCTGCGTAATTAGTAATGAACACTTCCCCCCACGCCCTTTATGTAGTTATTTAATTGAGTTTTCATGAAAGAACCTTTTCTCTGATGAAATTTAAACCCAATTAAGTATTTCAAAGTGTTGTGGGTAACCAGTGCTTCCAAGGTATTTTTCCCACAGGATGCCAGCATCGCATTGACAGTATTTGGAATGGTCAGCCTTTAGCAGCGTGTGGGAAAGGTGCGGTGGCTTCATTCTGTTATTGTCTATAACTCCTCAGTGAAAACAGGTGACTTGTTCTTAATGAATGTTTCTTTCCCTTTTGTCAGACAATAAAAATGAAAGAAAATGTTGTTGACTTCATATTTGTGAAAGCAGAAGGTTACCAAAATCATCGGCAGGACACATGGAAGGGGAGTGTGAATTAGGGTAAAATTACTACACCAAATTATACTTCTATCATTGCTTTTATACATATGCTGTAAGCCGGTTGGCTCAGGAAAAAACCCACACAATCAGTAAGTCTTAAGAAAGTTGTACCTTTAGCCCCCTCTGCCTTTGTTCTGGAACCCTCTGGTCAGGATCTGCCCCAGGCCCCAATTTGTGGTCTGTGGTCACATTCAGGACCCCTGCCTCAGTGGCCCCTCGACATCACCATCACCTGGCAGGAGCTGCCAGGAATGCCAATGAGTCATCGGTGCTGGAAGGCTTTTCTCCAGAGCCGACTTGCCTGACTTCTGTTTATATTTCCTTGGCCACAGGAAGTGACATGGCCAAGTCCAACCTCCAGCTGGTGGTAGGTGCAGCTCTACCAGATTCCCAGGTCAGGAAAACCTAGAAGGCTGGTGGGTTGCAGTGAAGACCCGATCTCGGGCGTTAGAGACCAGTGTCCCATTTCCTTCTGTAATACACAGCAGCAGGGACCGCCTGCCACCCTCCCCTCTCTGGGGCACAGCAGCTGCGTCTGGGAAGGGTGTGAGACTGTCCTATGCCAGCTGCCACCAACAACGGCAGTGCAGGCTGAGGCAGTTCCCCATGGCCAGCGGCTCCCCGGGATCAAGGCTGGGGGGTCCCCAAATGTCTTGCAGAGCTCTCTGACTTAAGCAGCTGCCTTAAGTGTTGTTTTTCAAGCTGTAAGTAGCCAAGCGCTAGTGGGTGGTGAGGTCTGTTGAGTGGGTCACGACCGGCCTCAAAGACACCAGGTGGCATTCTGTGTGGGAGGAGTGAGTGCTGTTCTGCCGCGCAGTATTCTAATGTACAAGATCACCAAAGGAAATGCATTTCCTACCAGGGATTGAGGTCAACACAATTGAAAGACCCTGGCCAGCTACAGCTCAGCAATACTCGGCGACACTCAGAGTTGTTTTTGAAATGCAACATGTAATTCCTTCTCTGCAGAGCCTGGTAAGTCTTAGGAATGTTACCTGGTTCTGCCAATAAAGAGCTTTTCGTAGGAACCTTTCAAAGTCCCCAGAATTACATTAGGAAAGAGTATTACACGGATGACATCCCATGTGCCTCCTTGAAAGATACCAACTTAATTACGCTTTTCTCCCTGAGCTTACCACAGCAGTAACGATAATAGTAAACAACATTCACTTATTTAGCGTTTACTATATATTAGGCATTTTGCTAAGTGCCAGACCCTATATTAAACGCTAATAAACACTGTTGTATTAACCTCCACAACCCTAAGAGGCAGAAAAGGAGCATATTTTGAGGGGTCCAGTGAAGAATGGAAATGAGGGTCCCCTTGTTCAAAAATTATTAAGAATTTCTAGATGGGGAAAGCAGAACATTAAATCAAGTATGGGTCTTTCCCAGTGAGTAGGGGGCCCTATGAGATGGCACAGATTTCAGGCTCATGAAGCCAGTCAGCCCAGCCAGTAGGAGTAAACTACATTTTGCAGTGATGAAGTGGAGCTGTTCAAGGTCAGCTGCTGGTTGGAGGTCGCACGTCTAACTTTTGTGGAACAGAGACCTGAACCCTGGCCACCTCACTCATCAACTCTCTTCTGTTATATCCACCAAAAGCATCTGGTGTCGCAGCAGGTCACTCGCTGGGAGCCCCACGTTCCGTGGGCACCTTCACATTTTTATAATCAGCTCTTGGTCTATTTGAACTCACCATCCCAGGGGTTTTGCACATCAGATGTGGTTGGATTGCCATTATACATAATGGTTAGTGTTCTCCTTGTCTCATTGTGAAATTGTGCTGAAATGGAGTAATTACGTTAGCCTTGACTTCAACTCTTCAGTAGAGAGAACAATTTTTACTTATCTCTATCCAAGCACTTTTCTTATAGTAGGAGTTTGTTAAGTGTTTGTTGAATTATTCTGTAAATGTCCACTTTGTGTTAATTCTAGGGCAAAAGTTCCTCTCAGAAGCCCGTACCTCTTTGAGCCTCACTACTTGAGTATTCAAAGCTGGAGGACAGAAATGTTGGTGTTTGATACGTCTCTGCGAGCAACAACTTCTCCGCAGCCTTGTGATGAGGAAGAAACAATTTAGAGCCTCCTCTACCCACTGATCCTTGCCTGCTGAAGACATCAAGTCTCTAAGGGCCTCATTGACACTATCGGCAAGTAGCCAGCATTTAC